>NC_000003.12:136129816-136432846 GCF_000001405.40 Homo sapiens
TGATCAAGTCAGCTTCATCCCTGGGATGCAAGCCTGGTTCAACATACGCAAATCAATAAATGTAATCCATCACATAAACAGAACCAATGACAAAAACCACACGATTATCTCAATAGATGCAGAAAAGGCCTTCAACAAAATTCAACAGCCCTTCATGCTAAACACTCTCAATAAACTAGGTATTGATGGAACATAATCTCAAAATAATAAGAGCTCTTTATGACAGACCCACAACCAGTATCATACTGAATGGGCAAAAACTGGAAGCATTCCCTTTGAAAACCGGCACGAGACAAGGATGCCCTCTCTAACCACTCCTATTCAACATAGTATTGGAAGTTCTGTCCAGGGCAGTCAGGCAAGAGAAAGAAATAAAGGGTATTCAGATAGGAAAAGAGGAAGTCAAATTGTCCCTGTTTGCAGATGCCATGATTGTATATTGAGAAAACCCCATCGTCTCAGCCAAAAATCTCCTTAAGCTGATAAGCAACTTCAGCAAAGTCTCAGGATACAAAATCAATTGTGCAAAAATCACAGGCATTCCTATCTACCAATAACAAACAGCCAAATAATGAGTGAACTCCCATTCACCATTGCTATAAAGAGAATAAAATACCTAGGAATCCCACTTACAAGGGATGTGAAGGACCTCTTCAAGGAGAACTACAAATCACTGCTCAATGAAATAAAAGAGAACACAAACAAATGGAAGAATATTCCATGCTCATGGATAGGAAGAATCAATATCATGAAAATGGCCATACTGCCCAAAGTAATTTATAGATGCAGTGCCATCCCCTTCAAGCTACCAATGACTTTCTTCACAAAATTGGAAAAAACTACTTTAAAATTCATATGGAACCAAAAAAGAGCCTGCATTGCCAAGACAATCCTAAGCAAAAAGAACAAAGCAGGAGGCATCATGCTACCTGACTTCAAACTATACTACAAGGCTTCAGTAACAAAAACAGCATGATACTGGTACCAAAACAGATGTATAGACCAATGAAACAACAGAGTCCTCAGAAATAACACCACACATCTACAACCATCTGATCTTTGACAAACCTGACAAAAACAAGAAATGGGGAAAGGATTCCCTATTTAATAAATGGTGCTGGGAAAATTGGCTAGCCATATGCAGAAAGCTGAAACTGGATCCCTTCCTTACACCTTATACAAAAGTTAATTCAAGATGGATTAAAGACTTAATTAAGTTAGACCTAAAACCATAAAAACCCTAGAAGAAAACCTAGGCAATACCATTCAGGACATAGGCATGGGCAAGGACTTCATGATTAAAACACCAAAAGCAATGGCAACAAAAGCCAAAATTGACAAATGGGATCTAATTAAACTAAAGAGCTTCTGCACAGCAAAAGAAACTACCATCACCATCAGAGTGAACAGGCAACCTACAGAATGGGAGAAAATTTTTGCAATCTACCCACCTGACAAAGGGCTAATATCCAAAATCTACAAAGAACTCAAACAAATTTACAAGAAAAAAACAACCCCATCAAAAAGTAGGCAAAGGATATGAACAGACACTTCTCAAAAGAAGACACCTATGCAGCCAACAGACACATGAAAAAATGCTCATCATCACTGGTCATCAGAGAAATGCAAATCAAAACCACAATGAGATATCATCTCATGCCAGTTAGAATGGCAATCATTAAAACGTCAGGAAACAACAGATGCTGGAGAGGATGTGGAGAAATAGGAATGCTTTTACACTGTTGGTGGGAGTGTAAATTAGTTGAACCATTGTGGAAGACGGTGTGGCGATTCCTCAACGATCTAGAACTAGAATTACCATTTGACCCAACAATCCCATTACTGGGTATATACCCAAAGGATTATACATCATGCTGCTTAGACACATACACACATATAAACATATTGTGGCACTATTTGCAATAGCAAAGACTTGGAACCAACCCAAATGTCCATCAGTGATAGACTGGATTAAGAAAATGTGGTACATATACACCATGGAATACTATGCAGCCATAAAAAAGGATGAGTTCATGTCCTTTGCAGGGACATGGATGAAGCCGAAAACCATCATTCTCAGCAAACTGCCACAAGGACAGAAAACCAAACACCGCATGTTCTCACTCATAGGTGGGAATTGAACAATGAGAACATATGGACACAGGGCGGGGAACATCACACACCAGGGCCTGTCAGGGGGTGGGGGGGGCTGGGGGAGGGATAGCATTGGGAGAGATACCTAATGTAAATGATGAGTTGATGGCTGCAGCAAACCACCATGGCACATGTATACCTATGTATCAAATCTGCACGTTGTGCACATGTACCCTAGAACTTTAAGTATAATAAAAAAAAAACGAATGCCTTTTTCCTGAGATCAAGAACCAGGCAAGGATGTTTCTATTCCTCACTGTTTCTACTCAACAATTGTAACTGGGGGGTCCTAGCCAGGGCAGTAAGGCAAGAAAAAAACTTTTTAAAGGCATTCAGATTGGAAAGGAAGATGTAAAACTGTATATTCACAGATGATGTGACCTACAAATTGAAAACTAAGGAATCTACATAAAAGATACCAGTGCTATTAAGTGAATTAGCACAATCTCAGAATACAAGCTCAATACACAAAAATCAGTAGTACAGTATTTCTATATACTAGCAATGAGCCCCTCCAGTGATGAAATTGAAATAAAAAGAATAATTCTATTCACAGTCATATCAAAAAGAATATGAAAAATAGGAATAAATATAATAAAATAATAATACTTGTACAATGAAACTAAAAAAACAATGCTGAGAGAAATTAAAGAAGACCTAAATAACTGGAAAGATTAGAAGGCTCAGCGTTGTTAAAATGTCAATTATCCCCAAATCGATGTACGGATTTAACATAATCCCTATCAAAATCCCGGCAGACTTTTGGTGTAGAAATTAGTAAACTAATCCTAAAACTTGTATAGAAAATGAAAAATATCTAGAATAGCCAAAACACTTTTTTAAAAGAACAAAGTTGAAGGACTAGATTACCTGATTTCAAAATGTACTGTAAACCAATCATCAAGACATTGTAGCACTGGTATATATATACACAGAGATCAGTGTAACACTCCAACTAATTTTCAACCAAAAGAGAAAAGATAGTCTTTTCAAAAATGATGCTAAAATAATTGGATATCCATGTGCCAAAAAGAACCCCAATCCATATCTTGTGCTAAATATAAAAATAATTAAAAAGGAATCATAGAACTAACTGTAAGGGCTAAAACTACAAAGCTTCTGGAATAAAACAAAGGAAAATCTTTGTGACCTTGGGTTGGGCAAGAGTAATTTTTAAAAATTGATACATTGGACTTCCTTCAAAATTAAAAACGATTGCTCTTCAGAAGACACCATTAAGAAAATGAAAAAACAGACCAGGAGAAAATATTTCCAAAACATTCTGATAAAGAACTCATATCCAGAATATGTAAAGAACTCTAAATAACAAAAAGACTAATATCTCAATTTTTTAAATAGAACATGTGAATACACACTAAAAAGGAGGTACAAACAGTAAATAAGTGTATGAAAAGATGTTCTGTATTATTAGACATTAGGAAATTGCAAATTAAAACCTCAGTGAGATATACTACACAGCCACTTGAACAACTAAAATCACCAGTTGGCAGTAATGTGGAGAAACCAAAACTCTCATACATTGGGCTGGTAAGGATGTAAAACTATACAGCTTCTTTAGAAAAGTTTGGCAGTTTCTTAAAAAGTTAAACATACATTTGGCTTATGAATCAATAATCTCACTCCTAGAAATCTACCTAAGAGAAAAGCTCACCCAGTGTTCATAACAGCATTATTCCTAGTAGCTCAAAACTGGAAATAATCCACATGTCCATCAAACTGGTGAACTGATAAAGCAAAATACATCTTTTCATGAGAGACTTTCAAGCAAGGACAAAAATAAATATGTATATATATATATTTTTAAATATATGTATTTTTTATAACATTCCACCATATGATGGTGAGCTGAGATTGTGCCATTGCACTCCAGCCTGGGGAACAAGAGTGAAACTCCATCTCAAAAAAAAAAAAAAAAAAGAAATTTACTAAAATGCACTGAACACTTAAAATTGGTAAAATCTATGGTATGTAAATTAACCTAAATAAAGCTGTTTTTAAAAAAGCAAGAGCCAAAAAACTTCAGCTTATTAAATTGGCAGCAATTTTTAAAACATAAGTTTTAAGGATAATATTCAATAAATGTTTGCATTACTACTGTATATTAAGCATTATTGGATACTGGCAAATGCAAGACAGGATGGGAAGACAGACAGATGCAGTTAAAATATAGTGTCTTCACTGCTGTCTCATAGAAGAAACAAATTGCAGAAACACCTCACTCTAGGCTTACTGCAGGAAGACACGCACTTTCAAACATTGCTGGTAAAAGCATATTGCCCCAGTGTCCCTGGAAAGTAATTTGACAATATGTAGCAACAACTTGAATTTATGCCCTTTGACTCCCTGATAGTAATTCTGAGTATCTATTGTAAATAATCAGAAATTTGGATAGAATTGTGTAATCTAAACAATTGGCACTGGTCACAGGTAATTCTAAAATAAATTCAAAGCAACACAAATGTTCAATATAGAATGGTTAAATAAGTCATGGTATCTGTGTCATAACATGCAGCTATTGAAATGTACTTGAAAATTTTTAATTTCATAGAAAAATCCAGATTACAAAATTGTGATATAATCTCAGTACTTAAAATGTGTGTATGTATATACACAAGCTAAAAGATAACACCCCAAAATATTAACAGTCATTAACTCTGGGCTGTGGAATTGCAAGTAATTTGGTTTTTTATACTGTTCTATAATTTATAAAGGTTCATGTAATGAGCGTGTACTGTATTACTTTAACAAATGGGAAAAAATTATTTTTCTCCTTTATCTGTTTATATAGGTAATACATGTTCATTGCAGAAGAGTTAGAATATAAACAAAAATCTACACCTAAAATTCACCACCCAAAGACAGGCTGTTTTATCACTTTGGAGTATACCCTTCTATACATTTCTGTGCAACTAGATCATGTATTTTACAAAAAATATTACTATTGTTTTATAACCTGCTTTAAAGGAAGAAGAAATAGATAGCAGATCTAAACAAATAGACATGTTCATCTGAAAAGAGAAACTAGTGGCATCTAAAGAGAATAAATAATTGGCTCAAGCGAAAGTTTTTTTCAAGTTGTGGTAGCACTGAGAGAACGTGCCAGTGGAAGGAAGAAAGAGGAGGCAGGGGGTTGCAGACAGAAGCACAGGTGAGGAGGGGTCACAAGAGGAGACGCAGAGACCAGCTGGAGTGAAATTCAACCGTTGTATATGAGAGGCTCTTGCTGCTTGCTGGATACCCCACTTCTGTTGTGGGAGATAAGATAAGGCCTACACAGAACACATGTGGGTTATGAGGTCCCAAGGGGCAAGGAGGCTTACAACAGCCACAGTCTATAGAGCAAGCACTAGAATGTGAACAAAGGAAAGGAAAGGAAAAAGCCCGTTTACAGGAATAACAACTGACCAACTCGTGCAAAAGCAAGGCCAGACCTAAATTCCCAAGGCTAAATCAACTAGGGTTTCATCTCAAGAAAGAATCACAGATATGTCAGGGAGAGTCTAATTGTCAAACAGAAATTGCCAGACTCAGGTATCAGAAAGGGAGGAATGTTAGTACCACAGAAAGACCAGAGGCTTAGGAGCCAGACAGATCTGGTCCACTCACCAGCTGGGCAGGTTACTTGACTCCTGAGGCTCAGTTTCAGAAGGCATCAGCATCCACTTCCTGAGGTGGTTGTGAGAATCTAAGATATTATATGTAAACACCTGGCACATGGCTCATGATAAATAGTAGCTATTACTACTCCATATAGGAGAAATACAATGTAACATCATGGGCCCACTGCAGTGGCTCACGCCTGTAATCTCAACACTTTGGGAGGCCGAGGCAGGCAGATGAGGCCAGGAGTTCGAGACCTGCCTGGCCAACATGGCAAAACCCCATCTCTACTAAAAGTTAGCTGGGCGTGGTGATGTGTGCCTATAATCCCAGCTACTTGGGAGGCTGGGGCGGGAGGATCATTTGAATGAACCTAGGAAGGAGGTGGAGGTTGCAGTGAGCTGTGATCATGCCATTGCACTCCAGCCTGGGCAACAGAGCAAGACTCCGTCTCAAAAAAAAAAAAAAAAAAAAAAAAAAAATTATATATATATATATATATAAAAAACATCATGGTTAAGAGCATGAAATTTGAAGTTAGACGAACCTAACTTCAAATCCTTGCTTTATCACACAAGCTGTGTAATCTCAGGCATCCAAGCCTCAGCATCCTCTATAAAAATAAGGGTACGACTTGGCACACTGAGCTGTTTTAAGGATTAAATAAGACAGTGTATATAATATAAGGCCCTTAGGCATAGTGTCTGTGTAATCAATAAACAATGGCTATTTATTGCTACCACTTTTGTGATCACATTACCTAACCTCTCTGAAGTAGAGTTTATTCAGCTGTAACATTAGCATTCTATCCCTTATCTTGTTCCCTTCACTCCTAGGGCACATTTTACTGCTTGACACAGTAAATATCTGTTGCATGAACAGCAGGATTGTACTGAGAATTAAGAGATAATGTATATAATGAATCTAACAGTGTCTGGTATATTAATGCTAAAAAAAAATGGAGCTATTTGTTTTACCATTAGATTGTGAGCTCCTCAGGGGCCAAGAACGTTTTCTTAGTCTTGTAGTCCCAGCACCTGGCAAACTGTTACGTAGGAGGTCCTCAGCAAATGTTTACTGAAAGGCACAGACCACAGCAATACAGCAGCCACCCTCACTACAAGGATATCTACAGTAGTCCAGATGATTTGGCCCTCCAAAAACAACTTAAAATCCTCCACCTACTTTACCATCTAACAACAATCACAGGTAGCCATTGTGCTAAGCATCTGTACCTCCTGATTTCAAGACTGGTACTTATGTAATGTCTTCAGTAAGTAACCTCGTAATCACTGCAGGTCTCAGTGAGGTGAAGCAAGACCAAAGCTTCCGTAAGTATGAGGCTGTAAACATTGCAAATTAACATGTCTAGCACACAAAGTGATCACAGCATACAACAGCATTTATATAAACTCAACCCTCGTAAGAGAAGCCAGAAAGACAGGGTACCAGTTACTTAATCCAAGTCAACTAAATGTGTTACCTATATGAAGATAACAGGTTATGATACCATATTTATAATTAACATTCTTATGGTTTATGCAATGGAGTACATTAAAAACACCACAGAAATTATGTAAAGAAGGCTAAAGGGTCTTCCATGTTACTATCCTAAGAAACTGAGACCCTCAATAATCAGAAACAAGCTTTTCTGCCAATTTGACTAATACTTGAAAAAATGGAAAATATAAAGAGATTAAAATCACTCTTGGTTCAATGATCCAGGGATAACCATTATTTTATACTTGGTATATTTCTTTTTAACACTTGTTACTAATGTGTTCAAAAACAGGAATTTTAGTGCTTCAGTGTTCTCAAGCAGTAACTCACATCCATTTCCCTATTATTGGACATTTGGGCAGATTAGAACTGTTTTCTATTGAATGTTTTTAAAGGCAGCTTTTTCCTTTATATTAAAAATATATGAATTACTCTGTCAGAGATTTTTTTTTTTTTTTTTTTTTTTTTGAGATGGAGGCTCGCTCTGTCGCCTAGGCTGGAGTGCAGTAGCGCGATCTCCGCTCACTGCAAGCTCCGCCTCCCAGGTTCAGGCCATTCTCCTGGCTCAGCCTACCGAGTAGCTGGGACTACAGGCGCCTGCAAGCACACCCGGCTAATTTTTTGTATTTTTAGTAGAGACGGGGTTTCACCGTGTTAGCCAGGACGATCTCGATCTCCTGACCTCGTGATCCGCCCACCTGGGCCTCCCAAAGTGCTGGGATTACAGGCGTGAGCCACCGCGCCCGGCCTCTGTCAGAGATCTACATTTACATCCATCAGCACTGGAAACTAAGGCACTATAGGTAAAGAAAGCCAGCCAGAAACCCATTAGAGCAATCGTCCAGGAATGTAACTAGTGAGAAGTATGAAGCCCAACTCTCCTCAGTGAGGTGGGAGAATGTAGGAGAGGAACAGGGAAACAGGGAGAATGGAGGCTTGTGTGTATATATTAGGGTATAGGGAAAGAAAAAGAAGGAATGACATGAATTAATATTCTAAAACATGAGTTATAATATTACAGATATATGAGTTTAGAATTATTTTTTAATGCTTAATAAACAGAGCCTCTACGTGGGCCTGAAGTTAATGTTTTATTTTTTTCCACATTGAACGAACCATATCAAAGCCCAATTTTAATTTATTTCAACAGATATTTACTGGTACCTACTCTATGCCAGGCACTGTGCTTGGTAATAAACATGAATTCAGACCGCGTCCTTCCAGTTCATAATTAGAATATATTTAGCCCACATTTTTATGCTGTCTACATCCACAATGAGTAAGAATTAACAGTTGATAGCTCATGATTCTGAAGAACTGCAAGAGTTCCTTTAACCATCAAAACTGAAGTGAAATCTACTTCCTGGGACAGGAAAGCAAGTGGTACATATTAGGAAACTTCAACAAGAGTTGAAACTAAAGATTTTCTGGTCACTGGATGGGTTAAGGAAATTCAGTGAACCAAATATCCAACTTCCAAAATTTCAGCTAATCCATTTTATATAAGTGGCTTAGGATATCTATTTTTAACTTAAAAGTATAAAGATAAATCACACACTTGTATTTCTGAAGCATTATAGACTCCAAACTAGAGAAATATTGAATTTTTTTTTTTTTTTTTTTTTTTTTTTTTTTTTTTGAGACAGTTTCGCTCTTGTCATCCAGGCTGGAGTGCAGTGGCACAATCTCAGCTCACAGCAACCTCCACCTCCCAGGTTCAAGCGATTCTCCTGCCTCAGCCTCCCGAGTAGCTGGGATTACAGGCATGCACCACCACGCCCAGCTAATTTTGTATTTTTAGTAGAGACAGGGTTTCTCCATGTTGGTCAGGCTGGTCTCGAACTCCCAACCTCAGGTGATCTGCCCACATTGGCCTCCCCCAAAGTGCTGGGATTACAGGCATGAGTCACCATGCCAGGCCAAAATATTGAACATTTTATTCTATGCCTATAGGTACCATGTGTCTTAGATATGCCCAGATAATCCCTGAATCAAATATTCTATTCCTTTGTCCCTGTAAATAGTCAGAATCCTGGAAACTGGAATCAAAACATAACTCCCAGACAACACCCTGAAACTGCATACAATCCTTTGTCAAACAATTTATGTCCCAGTCATTATCTCTGCTCATTCCAACTTTTATATTTCCATCCCAGGAATCTGCAGAGCCCGCCTTAATGCTTTTGCCCAGAAACTGCTCATCTGAAAGGGAAGACTTACTTAGGGAAGTAAGTTTCTAAAGGCAGTGGTGTTGCTGGCCAAATTACATGAACCACCATATCCCCTCATGCTAACAAAACTATGTTAGAGAATTTGTTCTCAGGCTAGGTGCGGTGGTTCACACCTGTACTCCCAGCCCTTTGGGAGGCCGAGGGGGGGGATCATGAGGTCAGGAGATCGAGGCCATCCTAGCCAACATGGTGAAACCCCATCTCTACTAAAAATACAAAAGTTAGCTGGGCATGGTGTTATGTGCCTGTAATCCCAACTACTCACGTGGCTGAGGCAGGAGAATCGCTTGAACCTCGGAGGCAGAGGTTGCAGTGAGCCGAGATCACGCCACTGCCCTCCAGCCTGGTGACAGAGCGAGACTCCATCTCAAAAAAAAAAAAAAAAAAGAGTTTGTTCTCAGCTGGGCATGGTGGCTCAAGCCTGTAATCCCAACATTTTTGGAGGCCGAGGCAGGCGGATCACCTGAGGTTGGGAGTTCAAGACTAGCCTGGCCAACATGGTGAAAACCCTATCTCTACTAAAAATAAAAAAAATTAGCTAGGTGTGGTGGTGCATGCCTGTAATCCCAGCTACTCAGGAGGCTGAGGCAGGAGAATCGCTTGAACCCAGGAGGTGGAGGTTGCAGTGAGCTGAGATAGTGCCACTGCACTCCAGTCTGAGCAACAGAGCGAGACTCTGTCTCAAAAAAAAAAAAAAAAAAGAATATGTTCTCAATTTGATACCTATGATTTCTAGTAAATTGTTTGTGAACCCTGTGAGTTCTGCTTTAATCCTCTGACCCCTCTGTTCATTCAAAAATGGCCAGTTAACAGAAAACACCTAATAAAATAATCTTCATTTGAGCCCCGGGGAATACCACTGAACCCAGAAGTGGCCATGCAGAAGGAGTCAGTTAACATACTTTGTTCTCCACGTTCTCAAGAATTCCTGGAGAGCAGGATAAAGATTAAGGTTCTAACAGATCTGACTCAAGATGAATTGTGAGGCCAAGCTCAGTAGCTGACACCTATAATTCCCAGCACTTTGGGAGGCCAAGGCAGGAGGATTCCTTGAGCCTAGGAGTTTGAGGCTAAGATCATGCCACTGTACTCCAGCCTGGGTGACAGAGTGAGACTCTTTAAAAAAAAAAAAAAAAAAAAAACCCGGGCTCAGTGGCTCACGCCTGTAATAATGTCAGCACTTTGGGAGACCGAGGCGGGCGGATCACCTGAGGTCGGGAGTTTGAGACCAGCCTGACCAACATGGAGAAACCCTGTCTCTACTAAAAATACAAAATTAGCCAGGTGTGGTGGCACATGCCTGTAATCGCAGCTACTTGGGAGGCTGAGGCAGGAGAATCGCTTGAACCCCGGAGGCAGAGTTTGCAGTGAGCCGAGATCGCGCCACTGCACTCCAGCCTGGGCAACAAGAACAAAACTCAGTCTCAAAAAAAAAAAAAAAGCCGGTTGTGGTGGCACACGCCTATAATCCCAGCTACTCAGGAGGCTGAGGCAGGATAATTGCTTGAACCTGGGAGGCGGAGGGTGCAGTGAGCCGAGATCACGCCGTTGCCCTCCTGGGCGACAGAGCGAGACTCTGTCTCAAAAATAAATGAATGAATGAATGATCATGAATGAATTCTGCACTCTTACCATTTTACTGACTCCAATCCTGTCCCGGCAACTCTACACATTGTTTCACAAGAGCATTAGGACATCACTTTCCATTCAGCAATTCATTTTGAGCACCTAGTGCCAATCACTGTACTATAGCCCAAGGAAATTAGTGAGTTACAAAACGGACACTTTACAATCAAGTGAGGAACAGATTTAATTATGTAAATATGAAGGAGACAAATAAATAAGATGAACCAGTAATGGACAAGGAGTTGCAACTTATGGTGCTGAGGGAAGAATTTTCTGAGTAGTTGATAACACCTAAAAGGTTGAAAAGAAAAAACAGCAAAAATGTCCTAGGCAGGGAGTAAAATATGTGACTGTGTGCAGTGATTTTGAGGCAGGAAACAGCATGTTGGGGAGATTTTTAAAGCCTAGTATGGCCAGAATATAGTGAGCAACAGAGGGAGATGTGGTTACAAAGTCTAGCAGGGGCCAGATCATGCAGGGCCTAGGGAAGCCACTGAAAATTGTTAAGCAAGGGAGTGATATAATCCCTACCCCTTAGGTTTTCTGAAGATTATTCTGCCAGATTAGTGGAAGTGCAAGAACAGAAGTAGGGAGACAAATAAGGAAGCCATTACATACATCTGAATCAGAGATGTGGTTAATTAATTCAGGAGTGAATAATCAGAAAACCTGTACATGACATCTCAGATTAAAAGATGAACACAAGCTAGCCAAAGAGGGAAGGGCATTTCAGGCAATTGAAAAACATGTACAGTGGCATTAGGTCCCAAGACCATAACCTATTCCAACACTATAAACAGCCTGGTATGGCAGTAGCAAAGGATATGTGGCAAGAGTGTAATCCAAACAAGAAAGTATGGTACCCTGAACTTAAGCCAGTGGTGGTAGGGAGGAAGAGGCAGGGTTGTATCCATATGGTCAACTGTAGTGAGGTGAGGAAAGAGGAACTTGGGATAACCGAGTTTCTGGCTTTGAGTGGGCAGATGACAGTGCCATTGACTAAAATAGGGAGAACCAGGGCAGTGGGAAAGATGAGTTCAAGTTTATACATGCTGCTGTTCTGAAAGAGCCATCTATATAGTAGGCAGCTGGATATATGGAGTTCTCCAGCTTAGAAAGAGGCTGAGGCTGGACATAGTTTGGAAACCACAGGTGAGTAGGCAGTGAGTAAAGCCATGGGAAAGACTAAGCTTACCAGGGAAGTACAAAACGAGAAGAGCTTATTAGTCCAGAACCTGGGACGCACTGGCATTGAAGGAGCAAGAGTTCTAAGATGGGTAATTTTATTGTGAGACATACGGCACATTGTAGGATGTTTAGCACCATCCCTGCACTCTACCCACTAGATGCCAGTAGGACCCACTCAGTGGTGACAGTCAAGACACAGACATGTCTCCAGACATGCCCAAATGTCCCCTGGCGGCGGGGGACAAAATCACCCTAGTTGAGAACCACCAAAATTAAGAGGAGTCTCCAGGATGCTGACAAAGGAGGGTTATTGAATGAACTTCCTTTTGCAAATGTTTTATTCAAAAATGACATACACAAAAATGTATAATCCCTCCCCCAATATAGGATTAGGTGTCACTCACCAACATGCCCAAAATCACATTAAGTGATCAAACCCAGATTGGAACCTGACTTTTATAGTCTGACTCCAAAGCCTGTGCTCTAAGCCTAAATCACTTAACCCCTAACTCCATAAGGTCTCCATTAGGCTTCAAGTGCTGTGAGGAGAGGGCTGATTCAGTCTTTTTCATCATTATAATCCTAGCATTTGGCTCTGACACTTAGCAACAGGAGTTCAAATATTTACTGAATGAGTCACACTTCACACTTAACTCTGAAAATATGCGTTATTCATAGACCTACACTGAGGTATTTAACACTGATAGCTTACAGACAACACGTTAGGGCACCAAGGGGAAGATGCTCCCATCCTGACAAGAAATCAGCAGCATTGGTTTTGAGAATTTTGTTCCCCAGAACAGAGGCTCTGCCATCAACCATTTCACTTGCATTAGCGGAAAGTTCCTCTCCTATTGCCTCCTTATCCAGCACATCCCATGCCGCATTGAGGCCTCAAGGAGATGGGGGAAGAGGAGTGGAAACAAGAATGGAATGGAATATTTTTATTAAATGAACAAATTATAACTTTTGACAGTATCATAAACTGGTAGTCATAGGGAACAATTTTCTATCAAGTAAGCTTTTTAAAAGGTTTAAACCTCTAACCTCTATTCAAAAATGTTGGCCTAGGCTGGGTGCAGTGGCTCACACCTTTAATCCCAGCACTTTGGGAGGCTGATGGGGGTGGATCACCTGAGGTCAGGAGTTGAAGACCAGCCTGGCCAACATGGCGAAACCCTGTTGCTACTAAGAAAACACAAAAACCAGCCAGGAGTGGTGATATACGTCCGTAATCCCTGCTTCTTGGGAGGCTGAGGCAGGAGAATTGCTTGAACCCAGAAAGCAGAGGTTGCAGTGAACCAAGATCATGCCACTGCACTCCAGCCTGGGCAACAGAGCAAGACTCCATCTCAAAAACAAAAAGATGTTGACTGGGCGCAGTGGCTCATGCCTGTAATCCCAGCATTTTGGGAGGCCGAGACAGGTGGATCACTTGAGGTTAGGAGTTCAAGACCAGTCTGGCAAACATGGTGAAACCCTGTCTCTACTGAAAATACAAAAATTACCCGGGCATGGTGGCACATGCCTGTAAATCCCAGCTACTCGGGAGGCTGAGGCAGGAGAATCACTTGAACTTGGGAGGCAGAGGTTGCAATGAGCCAAGATGGCCCCACTGTACTCCAGCCTGGGCGACACAGCGAGACTCCATCTCAAAAGAAAAAACACACACAATGTTTTAGGAACTTGAATAGGTGCCACTTACTGTATATACCTACCTCAGCATATTTTCCCTCACTAATTGGCCCCAATTGGTACCTTTTTGATGAAGGGACTGTATGTCCACAAATTCCTGCTTAAATATTGTGGGAGATCCCTGCAAGGGCTAAGCCAGTGATGTCAAATACTATAATAGACATTGCTGATGTACATTTTTCTGATGTACATATCTACATATGAGGCTCAGAGATATAGCCTCAGAATATTTATCAATATTTCAGGCAGCCACATCATTTCCAAGAGAAAATATTTCATCTCTGCCTAAAGCCAACCTTAGGGGTAGCCTGGAGGATACAGAATTCAGGGGATACCAGCAACACCTAAAAGGTTTAGCAGAAGGACATCTTCCCAGGATGAGTATCCAGGTCCAGGTATGCTATAGAGACCTAAAAAGTAGAATGATGGGAAATCCATAAATGCACTTTAGTCAGTTCAACCTACATACTTGAACATCTTTTTGTGTTGCTTGGAAGCCACGGAGGGAAGCTATAAAGCAATCTGAGAGTTGAGAAAGTTTGCCACTCTGGCCGACCAGTGGCTCAAGCCTGTAATCCCAGCACTTTGAGAGGCCAAAGTGGGCAGATCACCTGAGGTCAGGAGTTCCAGACCAGCCTGGCCAACATGGTGAAACCCCATCTCTACTAAAAATACAAAACTTAGCCAGGTGTGGTGGCGCATGCATGTAGTCCCAGCTACTGAGGAGGCTGAGGCAGGAGAATCGCCTGAACCTGGGAGGCAGAGGTTGCAGTGAGCCAAGATCGTGCCACTTCACTCCAGACTGGGTGACAGAGCAAGGCTCCGTCTCAAAAAAAAAAAAGGTTTGCCACTCTGAGTGGAAACCACTTTTAATAAGGTCAAGTAATGCTCATACTTCATGGACCTCAAATTTTTCTTTACCTAGCACCATCTGTAATTCTCTCACTCCCACCAACCACCCTAGGGAAAGCTTGATACGGAACATTTTCAACAAATTCTGACATGGACTTAAGCTTTAAGGAACAGGGAGAAGAATGTGTTTTCTGCTCTAGAGTGTTGCCTCCTTCACGGCAGTTGAGTTGCTCACGGCCTCCATTTAGCAATTCAAGGTACCTTTGTGGGCTGGTCTTGAGGCTCGGATTTGCCATATTGATTTCTACCCAAACTTTAATCAATCAATCAGTTAATTCACTTTTGCTTTGTTATTTCAGCTTTGAAGATTATGAAACAGATGAACCTGCCTCTCCCTCTGAATTTGGAAACAAAAGCAATAAAATATTAAGTGCAAGCCTTCCAGAGAAATGTGGAAAGCTTCAATCAGTGGATGAAGAATAGCTGCCGGTGTCTACAATGAAACGAAGATGTGTATTTTAAATGTTTCTTTCTTGTGAAGAGATGTTCTCGTTTGCATACTGCTTTTTAAAGACTTTGATTTCTCCAAGTGTGTATCATCTGCACTAGGAACTTTGTTTTTAAGCAATAGGTCTGGATACACATTTAACTTAGGAGGCTCCTCCAATTTGCCTCAAACCTCTTACGGAGCTTCTCCTCAGAAGTGGTACCATCGCCTTCCAAAGTCAGCACTCTACACTCTTGAATGTACCAAGGATCTCTTGGCGACAGTACCAAGCACGGTTCTCTACACAGGTGACTGAAGTTGCCTCTGTGTTGGCTGGCATCCCTGAGTCCCCTCCGGGCTCCTATGGAGCCTAGAAGAAACCTTCACTTGCAGAAAACTTGAGTCAGAAAATTCTGGAACTTGAAAAAGTAGTAAGGGCCTCCAGAATTGACTTAGCCCTAGTAATAAAAGCACTGCCAAAACATCTCAGAGACTTCTTTTATGTATACTGGAGTTCAAAGATCTTTAACTTACCTGGCTTAATGTAATTTCACAGTTACCTGCCAAACTACTAGTCACTTTACATCCTCAGGTATTGTAACCACTGGGCCTTCCAACTTTGCTGGCAAGCTCTGGTAACCTCCCTGACTGTGGATCTTATATAAAATCTCAAGATAAAAAAACACTTCTTAAATGAAGTATAGAATTTGACTCATACTTGGAAAAAGCCCTTTTAACTTTTATCTTTTATTCATTGAACTATTGAATGATGTATTTAATATCCAAATTAGTTGATAACTGTTTTCACTTCCTATCAGAAGGCCTGCTTGAAGACATAAAGGAATAATGATACATTAAAATTCTTACTAGATAGATATATTCCTTCCTCCCAGGAGTATTAGACTAGCTAATAGTAAAGGCCTCAACGTTATTCTTTACTTCATGTTGAAAACAATTACTACAGATATTTCATCCACCTCAGTATTTATCAAGGAAATGGAAAATGATACAGCTATAAAAGAAAGCTGTTATTTACTGTAGTTGTAGATGTATTCACTACAGAATCCTACATTTTTCAGCAGGCCACAGTCCAGCCAAATCCTATAATATCCTTGAAAAGAAACTATTAAAAAGGATAGACATTTCTGATGTAAGTAAAACCCCCAAGCAACTTAATATCCATCTGTCAGTCATCAACTTTTCCCCTAGATTTTTTTTTTAACTAGTTCTGAAAGTGTCAAGAATAGCTTCCCTTTCCACCCTACCTAGGTTCCCTCCTTGCTGGCATAAAGGCCAAGCAGTGAAATGAACCTTGGGTTAGAGTTATGGTAGGCAAAAAGAAAAGGAGAATTTAGGAAATAAATATGCTATAAACAAGGTACAGTACAGTGAGAGTTAACAATCCTAGGAATCCTGCCTGTCACAAGCTCCCAGTTCCCTGTCATTTTATCTTCATGATTAGAACTGATCTTCCATTTAACTATTACAGAAAGCAGTAACTATTGCAACTATCTAATAGTTCACACAAAAGAATTAAAAGCTTAAAAATAATTTTTAGGAAACACAATATTCAAAATCTAAACACACTGATAAATTATTAAGATTAAGATTATTTATGTGATAAATGAAATCTCCTACCAATCCATCCAGCCTTTACCAGGGAAGAAAAGCAATTATTTCATTTCAGATAGAAATACAAAAAAAAAAAAAATACTTTTCTTAGAAGCCAGATATGGTTTAAATGTTTTATTATCCATAATGATCTAAACTAATAAGATTCACCAAAAAGTAAAAATTCAATTTTACAATATACATTTTTTTTTTTAACTATTTGGCTTTACCTTTTTACCTTGGTTCTCCTTACTGAAGTCCTCTTGCTTTCACTTTGATCTGGTTTTTGAAGTCTCTTAATTATTGGCTGGGCATGGTGACTCATGCCTGTAATCCCGGCACTTTGGGAGGCCAAGGGAGGTGATCACTTGAGCCCAGGAGTAAAGACCAGCCTGGGCAACATAGTGAGACTCCGTCTCTACAAAAAATAAATTTAGCTGGGCATGGTGGTGCACATCTGTAGTCCTACCAACTTGGGAGGCTGAGGCAGGAGAATCGCTTGAGCCCCAGGCTTCGAGGCTGCAGTGAGCTATGATTACGACACTGCACTCCAGCCTAGGCGACAGAGCAAGACCCCATTCTCTTACAAAGTCTCTATTATAAAAGTACATCCATCAATACCATTCCATTTAAAATGGGCTATTGTAATTTACCCACATTATCACATTTTCAGGAATTATAAGAATGTGTTTTATTGTACTCCTTCCTTGGAGCTGAATGCAAGGAATGTGAATTCTGAGGAATTAAGGTAGAATATATTTGACTTTCTGGTAAAGATCATGGTTAAGTATAATCATTACTGCCAAACTGGAATTTTCAAGTTATTATAATATCCCAGGCCCCTTGATAAAAGCTGAGGGTTATCATGACCTTAATGCTAATTCAATGAGAAATGAGTTTAATAGCATAACATTACCAAGGTAATCAAACTAATAAAATTCCATATATCTTCCCTGCATCTTGTCACTGTGTACCATTCAAAGTGTTTATAAAACTCTAGATTCATCAAATGAGATTTGCTCAGCTTTTTGAAATGTTAAGATGTGTTTGGAGAAGGCTGCATGACTTTGTTTTTCCCTTTTAGCAAAACTAAATAAAGTTGTCAAATATGAATCATGTTCATTAAGGTAATTACTACACACTTGTGCTTTTAATCATATTTGCACCTCATTTTTTTGTCTGCAAGAGTAACACTGTAAACAAGCTTGAATGTCAGAGAATAACTCTTTGAGCCCATGTGAAAACTACAAAGAAAGGTCTTTGTAGTAATGACAATATACTGAGAAATGATTTCTTCAGGGGATAGGGAAGAGGACCAGGGTTTGTGAATGAGGCGGAGTTCACAGGAATCAAGGTAGACTTTAGCCTCATCTATAATGCATTATTTTAAAAGAATGTGTAACGGCATGTTTTGGGGTACCTAAATTTTATTTCAGAGGCAAGGTCTATGTTGCCCAGGCTGAGTTCGAACTCCTGAGCTTAAGTGATCCTCCCACCTCAGCCTCCTAAGTAGCTGAGATTACAGGCACACACCACTGTGCCTAGCTTTTAATTTTTTTAAAAAGAGAAAAGTATAAAATACCATACTTTGAACTTAGTATTTTCTAAAGCATTTCTGTTTTTTATCTATGATATGGTTATGGACAATTTATTTTTCATCTGATTCCCATAAAACTTTTACTCTTCTTCAACAAGGTCACCAATAAATTGTTTTAACTAAGAATACAATGAAATAAAAGGAATTCTTTATCCCTAGGACCATACTACACCTCCTCCCGGAAATGCAGACTTAATAAGGCTAACCAAAAAGATAAAATTGTCAGCTCTAAAACTATTACCTAAGGTAAAAGATCATTTGATCATTTATATTAATAACAAGGACTCAACAATTCAGGATGTGTCTTATTAAATGCTGCTGTTCTTTGGTGGTTTCAAATCCTGATGAAGTAAATCCAGTTACTTCAGTAATAATCTCTCAATCATCCCTCGTTAGCCATTTGTCAGCATTCCTAAGTAACTCGTGGTATAAAGAAAAATAATATAAAAATCAAGGCACTGTGATTACTCTTCCCCAGATGTATATAATACAGACCATTCAGAGCATGCTATCCCAAACTCTTCAGTATTCTACAACATAGAATTAGAAAACTATCATTTATTGATAGATTTAAGGTGTAATACAGGTTTCCAAAAATGTGGCAGTGAGAATACCAGCATAAAAAAGAGAAACTTGTGCTAAAAACAACCTGAATTCATCATTGGCAATATTACATAACAATCAAGGCCCTCACATACTAATGATTTCCACTTTGTCTATATTGCCAACCTCCCATGCATCAAAAAAAAAAAAAAACCCACAAGATTATCAAACTTGGGAAGCAATAAAGTACTCTATGAATTTTAAGATCATAATATTAGGAAAGTTTGGTCGATTTGCAAAATATATCCTCATCCATGTGTACAATCTCATTTCTAATCATTTTTGCAGTGATCATTAGTGAATAAAGAACAGATTTACAACTTTATATAGCAGGGCATCTGGGTTCAACACAAAACTGTTACAAACGTTAGGTAAATACACGTTTCATAAGACACTGCTAACACTTAAAGGAATTAAATAAAATTCCAAATCTTGGAAAGCAAATAAAGACAAGACAACTAAGAAGCATTTTCCACCATTTACTCTTGTTATCAAAAATAGTTCAACTCTTCTTGCAAAACAAAAACAAAATAGTACATACTGGACACATACATCACATTTTTCTTCCTATGGCTTTAGCCCACCCCCACCCCACCAAAAGAGACCAAAAAAAAAAAAAGAAAAAAAAGCCCAACAACAACAACAAAAACAACTCTACCTGACCACATTCACAGAAAATGACACCAGGATACACTACAAAACAGAAGGAGGTGTCATCTGCTCTGTGTCCAAAGGTTTCTTCTCCATGTCTTGTACTAGGCGAGTAACCATCATTGAACATGCTGTGTGCCAAATCAAAACATAACTTCAGCATATGTCAGATCTTACTAGAGATGGTGAACGTAGTAGAAATTGGAAATTTTCCAGCAGTATTTTTCTTTAAATAAGCACTGTCAAAGCTGCAGCTCTTCTTTTAAATCACAGGTTATTTCATTACACCTAGTCAGTCCTTGTTTTATTTGGGCTGTGCTCTTTCAAGCAACTGACTAGATTTCCCTTCAACAGAATGTTTGTGACTCACTTGTCTTCCCCATAAAAATTAACCGGAAGAAGTGCATTTAAACTGAAACATACTTTGTGCTTTACATGCAAAAGAGCATTCTAAAGAAAATCCTCCTAGCTTCAACCTACCTAAATGCACAGGCTTTATAAAAAGGCATTCTTATTAGGCCTCTATAAAGAAGCCTTCATAATGAACAGCACCCTAAAAAAAAACTAGGAGCATATTCAAAATAAAGACTGTGGCAAATAAACTATTAGAGAAAATAAGTCAAAGTGGCGGCCAGTGGCAATAAGTACAATACACAAATCTGGGCAAGTCTGGGAGCATTATTCCAAAATTATTTTAAGTAAATCCCAATTACTAAATAAAATCTTTTTATAATTTTAAAAAAATTCTGTCACATACTACATAGTCTAAATTTAATTACCTTCAGAATAAAACTACTCTCCTTCATTTATCCAATTAGAACACTGCTCAAAGTGAAGGAGGGATTTAGAATTTCTTCCCTAGAAATGAGTAACAGCTAAACATTTGTAGTCTGACAGAATTTTACTTTTTAAAAAGATTTCTTAAACATTCTAATGAGGGGGAATTTTTTTTCATAATACTGCTGATTTAAGAACTGCTACATACACCAGTAGCCAATATTTCATGATCAGAAATGGTATGATGTCAGCACAAAGGTTGAGCTGGACACATCAGCTTTCCAACAGGAGAAACATCAATGACATCTGAAGGCAGCACTGAGTTTCCTGAACTAATGGCTACTTTTCCACAAAAAAATTAGCACAATCTTTATGGACTGACTAGATACCACTTCCTTACATTTAATCATAAACTTTGATTATGCACAAAGCATGGCCATAAACAATGAGGTTAATGTTATTTTTCTTGCCAAAGTTCATTTTGTATAAATCAGTTGCATCAGCTTTGTTCTCAAACTATGAGGTTCTGTAAGAACTAAGGACATATAGTTGTAGGGTTACTCCTCCATTATCTGCAAACTATTTCCCCGACACTAACACATATAACTTAGCAATGAAAACACTTGATACAAGTGATCTATATGCAGGAGCTCCGGCAAGTTAAACCAACAGAACCATAGCTGCCGTAAAACTGTAGCTATTTCCCTACCAGGAGTAGGTTTAAAAGACCCACTGATTTAACAGTCGAATCTCATGTCTATAGCTTCATCCAAACTTTTATCATCATGTGTACTGGCAGCTAAAAACGTCGTTACTGGGGACCCTGTGACATTTATTACACTGGTGCTGGTACTAGCGTTACGCACAGCAATGCTAGTCACGTTAATGCCCAAAGTGAGCCTGGTCTGCTCCAAGGCCTTTTCTGGCACGGCAAATGCCTCCAGCTTCTTCTCCCCATTGGCCATATAGGAGTTTTGGCAGCCACGACATATACAATCTAAGCAGGCTTTGCGGTTAGAGTAGCAAGGGCAGCGTTGGCCTCGGCATGTAAGAACACTTGGATTTTGAGTAGCACGCCCACATTTACACCCTTTCTTTTCCTGGGGTTTTTTGTACACAGTCTTGGTAGGACTTCCTGGCATAAAATGATGACTAGGAATCTTTTCCTTTACTGCTTTGTCTTTTTTAAGAATACCTGGCTTGGTTTTAGAGTGAGATTTCTTGGATCCATGTTCATGACTCTTTTTCATGCTTTTAGTAGATAAAAGTACAGTTTTGCTGATTTTAGGTGTTGTGCCTCCATTGGGAACAGTTGCTATAGGTTGAAGAGAAATTTTGCTCTCCCGTTTCACTGTCACAGGAGCAGATGCCCCCAGTGTTGGGCCTCGGATAATGGTAGAAATTGGAAGTGGCTGAACTTTCTCACTGTCACTCTCTGATCTGGATCGTTTTCTATTCAATTTTGCTATCTTCGGAGTTGCTGCTGTACATGATAACCCATGAAGTGCAGGACTGGTGGACATAAAAACATTATGGCTAAGAGACTGGGAAGAAAGCTGCAGAAAAGGTCCATTGGATACAGTGGCTTCCAAGTTCGGCTGCAAATTAGGGCAACAGACCTCTGTATTTGAAACAGTTTCTAAGCTGCGGAGTACTTCCTCAACACTCAGTAACAGAGAGTCTCCAGGTTTTATATCTTCACTGAAACTGCAGATATCAATGCCTGTGGAACATAAGTCAGTGGCTACTGTGTCACAAACGGGTGGCAGGCTGTCAGACAGATCCTCAGTTTTTATGTCAACAGTATTACATACGTCAATCGTATTTGAATGTTCAGGTGAAGGAATATTTATACCAAATCTATCTATTGAAAGCCCATTATAAGTAGGCAAACCATTGATAACAGAACTGCCAATAGCAATGCTGAGGGTGCTTTCAGACATTGGAGATAAACTAGCTTGAGGATCAGTTGTGGGTTCTGAGGTTGAAGGTAAAGGGGAATGTGTCAAACACAAAGTAAAGGATGAATCTGAGGGTTTTTCTGTCTCCTCACAAAACAATGATCCATCATTAAGCAAAGCCAAAATATCAGAAGAACAGTCAACTGCTTCTATTATATCCCGTGCCAGTGTAGTCTGTGTTATATACTCGCATAGTTTTTTGTAGCAGTTCACTAGGATGCTTAACTGCTTGTTTTCCTCAAACTGCTCATAGTCTTTGCACCAGCTACAGGAAGGTTTCATCATCATTTTCTTGCCTTTACAAGTTTTGCAGACATAATGTTGGCAGGTGGAGTTGGTGGGTGCAATAGGATCTTGTAGCAAATGTCCTAAGGGGGAGAAGGAGGAAAGCAAAGATTTTAGTAAAATAAATTTACCATTTCATAAACTGAAGTTTAGATGACATAAGTAGTCTATCAAAATTGAGATGAATTAAACTCACTAGACCAGATAACAGAAAATATATCTTAGAAGAAACGGAAGAATCTTCAATTAGCTCGCTTGATTTCATGCCATATTCCCCATTCAGTTATCTCAAACCAAAATCATCCTTGATTCTGTGTCTCTCTCCCCAAGCAATACGTTCTGGTCCACCTTCTTATCCTCTTCCTCCAAAGGCTATAAAGTTAAAGAGGTGAAGATCAGACACCAGAAGCACAAACTAGGGTTAAAACCCTTTGGATAGCCAGGTGTGGTGGTGTGTGCCTGTAATCCCAGCTATTCAGGAGGCTGAGGTGATGGCTTGAGCCCTAGAGTTCAGGCTACGGTGAACTATGATCTTGCCACTGCACTCCCGCCTGGGTGACAAAGCGAGACCCTGTCTCAAAAACAAAACCAAAACCCTTTGGACCTCAACCTAACACAACATGGCAATGCTACAACATGCTGAACAAAATCATATTGATTATTTTTTGCTGGACACTGGGGAAACAGATATGAGTAAGAGAGATTTAGTCCCTGCCCTCATAAAAGATAGTCTTGAGGGCATTCATCAGTAGAAAAGTATCTTCACAGAAAAAAAAATTTTTTCAACCAGTTTTTAATGCATATATACTAATCATAAACTTTAAAGAAAAAAGATCAAAATGTCATTTCAGGCCGGACACAGTGGCTCATGCCTATAATCCCAGCACTTTGGGAGGCTGAGGTGGGCGGATCACCTGAGGTCAGGAGTTCAAGGCCAGCCTGGCCAACATGGTAAAACCCCATTTCTATTAAAAATACAAAAAAATTAACCGGGCATGGTGGTACGCACCTGTAGTCCCAGCTGCTAGGGAGGCTGAGGCAGGAGCATCACTTGAACCCAGGAAACTGAGGTAGCAGTGAGCTGAGATCACACCACTGCAATCCAGCCTAAGCAATAGAGCGAGACTTAGTCTCAAAAAAAAAAAGGCCAGGTGTGGTGGCTCATGCCTGTAACCCCAGCACTTTGGGGGGCTGAGGTGGGCAGATCACCTGAGGTCAGGACTTTGAGACTAGCCTGGCCAACATGGTGAAACCCTGTCTCTACTAAAAACGCAAAAATTAGCCGGGCAGGGTGATGGGCACCTGTAATCCCAGCTATTCAGGAGGCTGAGGCAGGAGAATCCCTTGAACCCAGGAGGCGGAGGTTGCAGCGAGCTGAGATTGTGTCACTGCACTCCAGCCTGGGCGACAAGAGCAAAACTCCGTCTCATTTAAAAAAAAAAAAAAAGGAGTTTCAGTAGGAGAGAACTATGTTCAACTACATTAAAACAAAGAAAAAAGGAGTACTACTCAACTCAAATTCTTCTAGAAAAAAATACAAAATGGAAAAAATTATATTTAAACTTATTAAAGAAAACAAAACTAGGGTATAATACTGGGCTCAAATTCTTCTGACAGATTTCAAAACGACCATGGTTTAATTATAAACCACAAGTATCCTAACTGCGACAATACAGTATAATGAAGTAGTCCCCCGACTTGACACAATTCTCAAATTATCAATGACATATACATACAAACCAAGAAGGGAAAGGAACTAGACCCAGTTCCCATCTCCACTCTTACTCTCCAAAGCTGCAACTGCTCCTTGGTTCCCAATCCAGACAAATGGTCAGCAATTACCCAAAGCGGTACCTCTTCTCATAAATCACACAAAGAATATGTTCAACCACAACAGAAATTAGAAATCAGTGGGAAAAAAAAAAATGAGAAAAATCCCCAAGTATCTGGAAATTAAACATATACCAAAATAACTTATAAGCCAAAAACATCATAAGAGAAACTGAGAAAACATTTACCAAATGAAAACACCACATATCAAAATTTGGAGAATGCAACTAAAGCAGTGTTTAGTGGGAAATCTATAGCTCTGAAAGTCTGTATCAGAAAATAAGGTCTTAAGCTAGGCACAGTGGCACGTGCCTGTTGTTCTAGCTCTCTGAGAGGCAGAGGTGGACACTCATTTAAGCCCAGGAGTTCAAGACCAGCTTGGGCAAGACAGCAAGACCCTGTCTCTAAAAAAAATTATAATACATTTTAAGAAAGCGGCTGGGCAGGGCGCAGTGGCTCACAACTGCAAATCCCAGCACTTTGGGAGGCCGAGGTAGGCAGATCACGAGGTCAAGAGACTGAGACCATCCTGGCCAACATGGTGAAACTCCATCTCTACTAAAAATACAAAAATTAGCTGGGAGTGGTGGCACACGCCTGTAGTCCCAGCTACTCGGGGGAGCTGAGGCAGGACAATCGCTTGAACCCGGGAGGCAGAGGTTGCAATGAGCTGAGTATGGTGCCACTGCACTCCAGCCTGGCGACAGGGCAAGACTGTCTGGAAAAAAAAAAAAAGACGCTGGATGCGGTGGCTCATGCTTGTAATCCCAGCACCTTGGGAGGCCAAGGCACATGGATCACCTGACGTCAGGAGTTCAAGACCAGCCTGACCAACATGGTGAAACCCTGTCTCTACTAAAATAACAAAATTAGCTGGGCATGGTGGTGCATGCCTGTAATCCCAGCTACTTGGGAGGCTGAGGCAAAAGAATCGTTTGAACCTGGGAGGCAGAGGTTGCAGTGAGCGGAGATCGTGCCATTCATTGCACTCCAAGCCTGGGCAATAAGAGCAAAACTCCACCTCAAAAAAATAAATAAATAAATTTAAAAAAAGAAAGGGGTGTCCATCTCAGGGAGACCTGGCCTTCAGAGATGACAGCATTCAACCCCAAGAGGAGCCTGCTTTTCATCCTCAGCCTTCCCAACCTGTGCCGCCCATGGGGATACAGGACAGTAACGAGCTAAACAAAACCTGCTGCCTGAATGGGGGGAACTTGTATGCTGGGGTCCTTTTGTGCCTGCTTCCCCTCCTTCTACAGACGGAATTGTGAGCACCATGTACGTATGCAAAGAGAACTGTGGGTCTGTGCCCCGTGACACCCGGCTGCCCAAGAACTGTTCTATGTGTAAATGCTGGCATGGCCAGCTCCGCTGCTTTCCTCAGGCATTTCTACCTGGCTGTGATGGCCTTGTGATGGATGAGCACCTCATGGTTTCCAATACTCCAGAACTACTACTGTCTGCATGTACCACTCTTATGCTTTAAAATAATGAATACATTTCCATAATGGTCTCTAACATTTCCTTATAGTACCAACTACTTCTTACCTCTCTGCCCTGCCCTCCCCCAAAAAACTACCTTTTTCAAAAGGAAATCAGCTATATCTCCACTGTGCTGGAGTCCAGTATTTCTTGATACATGTAATTCTACCAAGGTCTTCTTAATATGTTCTTTTAAACAACTGAATTATATCTTCAGATTATTAAAGATTAATCCTAATGCGAAACTTAGGATACAGTTTTGAGTACAGCTGATCAAAATCAAAGTAGTCTCTAAAAGGAAAAAAAGCCTCTTTAAGGGGAGGAACCAGAGTGCTGAAGTAATGGAAGTCCGTCTGCATGTGGAAGGAAATGGGAAGCAAATGGGAGAGGGAGGTTGGAAAACATAAAATGGGTTACTTGACTGGTGATTAGGTGGGTGTAGAGAAGCAAGTTAAAAGGCTAAATGGAAAGGCAAGTTTCCATCATCTACAGAAAGCTATATAAGACAAGGGCTCCCCCTTTTTTCCCAAAAGCATTGTAAAAAGAATGAAGTCTCCTTAGAAAAAAAATTATGCCTCAATATCCCCAACAAGATGGCTTAATAAATTATGTTTCTGGCCGGGCACAGTGGCTCACGCCTGTAATCCAGCACCTTGGGAGGCCAAGGCAGGCGGATCACGAGGTCAGGAGATTGAGACCATCCTGGCTAACACGGTGAAACCCCATCAATACAAAAAATTAGCCGGGCGTGGTGGCAGCCGCCTGTAGTCCCAGCTACTCGGGAGGCTGAGGCAGGAGAATAGCGTGAACCCAGGAGGCGGAGCTTGCAGTGAGCCAAGATGGCGCCACTGCACTCCAGCCTGGGCGACAGAGCCAGACTCCATCTCAAAAGCAAACAAACTAAATAAATAAATAAATTATGTTTCCTCCAAGCTATGCAATCCTTTTAACTGTTGAAGAAGAGAAAATGTTCACAATATATTTAGTTGTAAACCGAGTGATAAAACTACATATTGTAAAGCCCATTTTTAAAACACACTGTATATATGTGTATGCACAGTAAAAATAGAAAATATAAAAAATAAAAAAGCAAAGTCTCAAGTCAATAACCAAAGCTTTCTTTCACCTTAATAGGAATCCCAAACTAATCAGGTTAAAGCAAATAATGAAGATTAGAGCAGGCCACAGTGGCTCACACCTGTAATCTCATCACTTTGGGAGGCCAAGGTGGGCTGATCACCTGAGGTCAGGAAGGCGGGCCGATCACCTGAGGTCAGGAAGGCGGGCCGATCACCTGAGGTCAGGAAGGCGGGCCAATCACCTGAGGTCAGGAGTTCGACACCAGCCTGGCCAATATGGTAAAACCCTGTCTCTACTAAAAATACAAAAATTATCCAAGGGTGGTGAACACCTGTAATCCCAGCTACTCAGAGACTGAGGCAGGAGAACTGCTTGAACCTGGGAGGAGAGGTTGCAGTGAGCCAAGATAGTGCCACTCAACTCCAGCCTGGGCGACAGAGCCAGACTCCAACTCAAAAAAACGAAAATAAATAAATGAATACAGATTAGGGCAGAAACCAATACAAGAGAAAGCAGAAAAACCAAAGAGAAAAATAAATAACACCAAAAGTTGGTTGTTTTAAAAGATCAAAGAAAACAAGAATACAAATTACCAAAATTAGAAATGAAAGGAGTCAGAGTATCACTAGTGCCCTACAAAATGTGAAGAATTAAGGAAGCCCTATGAACAACTTTATGCCAACAATTTTAGACTACTTCGATGAAATGGATACATTTCTCTAAAGACACAAATGACCAAAATTCACTGGAGAAAAAGTTTTAAAACTGAATAGACCTGTAATAAAAGTTTTAAATAGCCACTGAAGATTTTCCTCAAAAGAAGACTCCAGGGCTAAATGCCTTCACTGGTAAATTCTAACAAATAATTAAAAAGGAATAACACCCAAACATAGAGGAGGAGAAAACACTTCCCAACTCATATTTAAAGGCCAGTAACTACTATGAAAGAAAACAAGGCCACCAGACAAAAGAAAATACAAACCGCCGGGAGCAGTGGCTCACGCCTGTAATCCCAACACTTTGGGAGGCCAAGGTGGGCGGATCACCTGAAGTGGGGAGTTCGAGACCAGCCTGACCAACATGGAGAAACCCCATCTCTACTAAAAATGCAAAAATTAGCCGGGCGTGGTGGCGCATGCCTGTAATCCCAGCTACTCAGGAGGCTGAGGCAGGAGAATCGCTTCAATCCAGGAGGCGGAGGCTGCGGTGAGCCGAGATCATGCCACTGCACTCCAGCCTGGGCAACTAAATCATCTCAAAAAAATTAAAATTAAAAAAAAAAAAAAGAAAATACAAACCAAAATCTCCCATAAACATGACAAAATCCATAACAAAACATTCAAGAGAATTCCACAACATATAATACAATACCTATTCACACACACACACAAATTCACAAACGAGAAATTGAACTTCTTTAACTTGATGGTGGTGGGCACCAAAAAATCTAAAGCCAACTTTACTTAAAGGTAAAACACAACGCTTTCCTTCCAAAGATCAGGAACAAGGAAAGGATGCCTGCTGTTGCCACTTCTTTTCAAAATTGTACTTGTTCTAGCTGGTGCAGTAAGGTTCAAAAGGAAAAGAAAAAAAAAGGCATCAAGACTAAAAAGAAACAAGTAAAATTGTTTTAGTAATGGATTACACAATTCTGCTTACAGAAAATCTCAAAAAACGCACACACGCAAACTACTAGTACCAATAAGCAAATTTAGCAAGGTCATAGCACAAACAATATATACAAAAGTCCACTGCATTTTCCATTTCTATATGCTAGGAATGAACAAACTAATTTTTTAAAATTCCATTCACAATAGCATCAAGAATATACTTAAAATATTTAGAAAAACTTTAACAAAGACTTCTACACTCAGCACTACAAAACACAGCTGAAAGAAATTAAAGAGTATCTAAACAGACATGTTCATGGATTAGAAGACTACCAATATATTGTCAAGATGGCAGTTTTCCCCAAAATTGATGTGTCTGTAAGTTCAATGCAATCTTTAATCCCAGGCAGCTTTTTTTCTTAAAGAAATTGACAGGCTGATCCTAAAATTCATATGGAATCACAGAGGACAGGCAAAACAACTTTGAAAAACAACAAAATTACAGGACTTACACTACCAAATTCCAAATTTTACTATAAAGCCATAGTAATCAAGACAGTGTGGTAATGACAAAAGTATAGACACATGCATCAGTGGAACAGAATTCAGAGTCCAGAAACAAATTATTACATTTATGGTCAACCAATTTGTGCGACAGGGTATCCAGATGATTCAATGGGGAAAGGAGAGTACTTTCTTTTTTTTTTTTTTTTTTTTTTTTTTTGAGACGGATTCTCGCTCTGTCGCCCAGGCTGGAGTGCAGTGGTGCCATCTCGGCTCACTGCAAGCTCCGCCTCTCGGGTTCACACCGTTCTCCTGCCTCAGCCTCCCGAGTAGCTGGGACTACAGGCGCCCGCCACCACGCCCAGCTATTTTTTTTTTTTTTGCATTTTTAGTAGAGACGAGGTTTCACCGTGTTAGCCAGGATGGTCTTGATCTCCTGGCCTCGTGATCCGCCCGCCTCGGCCTCCCAAAGTGCTGCGATTACAGGCGTGAGCCACCACGCCTGGCCAAGGAGAGTATTTTCAACATACCATGTGAAACAATTTGATATCCAAATGCCAAAAGGAAAAAAACAAACTTATACCCTTACCTCACAACATACACAAAAATTAAAATGATCACAAACCTAAATGTAAGAGCTAAAATATAGAAATTCTAGAAGAAAACGGAGAAGAAAATCTTTGTAACTTTCTATTGGCCAAAGTGTTCTTATACGTGACATCAAATGCACAATTCACAAAAAGGAAAAAAAAATAGTTAAATGGATTTTCTCAAAATTAAAAACTTACTGTGCTTCAACAAAAGACACCATTAAGAAAATGAAAAAATGGTCAGGCGAGGTGGTTCACACCTGTAATCCCAGCACTTTGGGAGGCTAAGGTGGGCAGATCACGTGAGGTCAGGAGTTCAAGACCAGCCTGGCCAATGTGGCAAAACCCTGTCTCTACTAAAAATATAAAATAAAATTAGCTAGGCGTGATGGCACACGCCTGTAGTCCCAGCTACTCAGGAGTCTGGGGCAGGAGAATTGCTTGAATCTGAGAAGCAGAGGTTGCAGTGAGCCAAGATGGTGCCAATGCACTCCAGCTTGGGCGACAGAGAAAGACTCTGTCTCAAAAAAAAAAAAAAAAAAAAAAAGAGGGAAGGAAGGAGGGAGGGAGGGAAGGAGGGAAGGAAGGAGGGAGGGAGGGAGGGAGGGAGGGAGGGAGGGAGGGAGATCAAAAATAAACCACAGACTGAGAGAAAATATTTGCAAATCACAATTAAAAAAAAAAAAACAATGCAAGCCAGGCGTGGGGGCTCACTCCCAGCACTTCGGAAGGCCGAGGCGGGCAGTTCAGGAGTTCGAGACCAGCCTGGCCAACACAGTAAAACCCCATCTCCACTAAAAATACAAAAATTAGCTGGCTGTGGTGGCATGCACCTGTAGTCCCAGCTACTCAGGAGGCTGAGGCAGGAGAATCGCTTGAACTCAGGAGGCGGAGGTGCAGCGAGCCGAGACCATGCCATTGCACTCCAGCCTGGGAGACACAGCAAGCCTCCATCTCAATTAAAAAAAAAAAAATTCAAATCGGTAAAATGACAATATAATTTTAAAAGCAAAAATCTGAATAAACATTTCACCAAAGAAAATATATGAATGACCAGCCGGGCACAGTGGCTCACACCAGTAATCCCAGCACTTTAGGAGGACAAGATGGGCAGATCACGAGGTCAGGAGATCGAGACGATCCTGGCCGACACGGTGAAACCCCATCTCTACTAAAATACAAAAAATTAGCCAGGCATGGTGGTGCATGCCTGTAATCCCAGCTACTCGGGAGGCTGAGGCAGGGGAATCACTTGAACCCGGGAGGCGGAGGTTGCAGTGAGCCAAGAGAGCGCCACTGCACTCCAGCCTGACGACAGAGCAAAGGTTCCATCTCAAAAAATAAAGTAAAATGAATGACCATAAGCACATGAAAATATGCTCAATATTATTAGTCAAAGTAAAACTGTGGCACACTACTGCCCACCCATTAGAATGGCTAAATTCAAAACAACAATGCCAAAAGTTGGCAAAGATGTGAAGAAACTGGAACCCTTATATACTGCTCGTAAAATGTAAAACAGGTACAACAATCACACTGAAATACAGTTTGGTAGTTTCTTAAAAAGTTAAGACACAAATTTACCATAGAAACCAGCAAAATTCTACTCCTAGGAACCTACCTAAAGAGAAATAAAAACATATCCACACAGAAAAACGTATGTGAATGTGCACAGCAGCATGATTCCTAATGGCCAAAAATTAGACACAATCCAAATGTCCATTAATTGGTGAGTAGATAAACAAAATGTATATTCATGCAATGGAGTTCAGCAATTTAAAGGAATAAAGTATTGGTACATGCCACAACATGGATGAACTTCCAAAACATTTGCTAAGTGAAAGAAGCAGATACAAGAGTACATTATTGCATAATTCCATTTATATAAAATGCCCAGAAATGATAGGAAAGCAGAAAAACAGTGGTTGCCTAGGGCTGAGAGTGGAGCAGTCATTAACAGTAAATGGGCACAATGGAACCTTTTAGGGGGATGAAAGTGTTCTAAAATCAGATAGTGGTGATGGTTACACAACTCTAAAATTTAAAAATAACACTTTAAGACAAGGCACCAATAGTTACAGAATCCAACCTTCTACCTAATGCCAATGCAAGGATCCCTTAAAGAGTGTCCTTAGCTTCATCTAAGGAAGGACACAAGGGATAGGAAGGGAAAAAAATACATATATATGCATTTTTTTTTTCTCAAGACGGAGTCTTTCTCTGTCGCCCAGGCTAGAGCACAGTGGCGTGATCTCGGCTCACTACAACCTCTGCCTCCTGGGTTCAAGCAATTCTCCTGCCTCAGTCTCCCGAGTAGCTGGGATTTACAGGTGCCCGCCACCACGCCTGGTTAATTTTTTATTTTTAGTAGAGACGGGGTCTCACCATGTTGGTCAGGCTGGTCTCGAACTCCTGACCTCGTGATCCACACACCTCAGCCTCCCAAAGTGCTGGGATTACAGGCATGAGCCACAACACCTGGCCCTATATATGCATTTGAAAAGATAAACCATAAGGTTTTTAAAAAAAAAAAAAAAAGAGGGCTACCAGGCCAGGTGTGGTGGCTCACACCTGTAATCCCAGCAGTTTGAGAGGCCAGCGTAGGCAGATCACTTATCTCAGGAGTTAGAAACCAGCCTGGGCAATATGGCAAAACCCCATCTCTACAAAAAATAAAAAAAATTAGCCATGGACGCTGGCACGCACCTTAGTCCCAGCTACTCAAGAGGCTAAGATGAGACGATGGCTTGAGCCTGGGCCAGAGGTTGCAGTGAGCCGAGATTGCGCCACTGCGGTCCAGCCTGGGCAACAGAGCCTGCACCTGTCTCAAAAACAAAATAAAAGGGCTACCAATTAGGAGGGAGAGACAGAACAAAGTGAAATAGGAAAACACTGCTCTGAGTTTAATCTGTCTTATAGATTTTACTTTCAAACCATGTAAATATTTTATATAATAGTGTAACAAAACCAAAATGTTACATGAAATCTCTGAAAACCAAAATAAAGTAACCATAATTTTATATCAAATTGGTGGTATAACAATCCAAAGAGTAACTATTTCGAATGACTATAACACAGAAAATTGGCTCAATCCTTGCAATCCTCATTTTTCTTATTTTCAGTAACCACACTGTTGGCGGCAGTGTTGATAATAATTACAAAAGTGTTAGTGCATACCGTGGGATAAAAAGTCAATGTTAATGCCTTGAGGACTTGGATTTTTTTTTTTTTTTTCAGTAGGGAGGAGGAGGAAAGTTGTTAAGAGAGAAAAGGTTACATTAAAAATCCTGTAGACCTGGAGTTCAAGACTAGCCTGGTGAACATGGTGAAACCCCGTCTCTACTAAAAATACAACATATTAGCTGGGCATGGTGGTGGGCGCCTGTAATCCCAGCTACTCGGAAGGCTACGGCAGGAGAACTGTTTGAACCCAGGAGGTGGAGGATGCAGTGTGCTGAGATCGCACCATTGCACTCCAACCTGGGCAACAGAGCGAGACTCCGTCTCAAATAAATATAAATATAAATATAAATCCTGTAGCCCTAAAATGAATTTCAACTGGACTTAACACTATGAACTCATGTTTTAATCTTAAATGTGTATTTCCTAGCACTATGTGTGTGTGTATTTCCTAGCACTATCCACTGAAGAGGCCTGGAAACAAAGAACCCCAGCAGCAATGAATACAGATTACAGGATTGAAAAACAATTTCCTTTTCAAAGGAATCAGAGCTTCTTGGACAAATGGCTAATTTCAAGTTTGTGCCATGAATTGCACAAGAGGAGTTTTGATCACCTTGTTATGCCAGGAAGCAGAGAAACTATCAAAATCAAGACTCGGGGCAAACCTGAAGAGGTTCCCACTGGCCAAAGACAAGAAAATCTAAACATGCATGATATAATTAGGCTTTGTGTCCCCATCCAAATCTCATCTTGAATTGTAATCCCCATAATCCCCATGTGCCAAGGGACAGACCAGGTGGAGATAACTGAATCATGGGAGCAGTTTCCCCAGCTGTTCTTGTGATAATCAGTTCTCAGGAGATCTGATGGTTTTATAAGGGGCTCTTCCTCCCTTCACTGGGCACTTCTCCTTCCTGCCACCATGTGAAGAAGGTGCCCTGCTTCCCCTCTTTGTCTTCCACCAAGATTGTTAAGTTCCTGAGGCCTCCCCAGCCATGCTGAACTGTGAGTCAATTAAGCCTCTTTCCTTTGTAAATTACCCAGTCTCAGGCAGTTCTTTATAGCAGTATGAAAACAGACTAATACAATGCATAAATGCAATGAAATGAAGCACATCTAAAATGTTCAAATCTGAGTTCATTTTTTTAAAAAAGAAAACAAAATCAGTTTCAGGATATTAGTGAAGCAGCTCATGAGTCTGAAAACTAGTAAATAAGAGCAAGAATCAAGTATTTGTCCTAATTTAACTTTAGGAAATATACCACCAAATCATGGAGAAGTTTCTCCTCACAGGAATAATCCAGCTAATATGTTAATCAAAACCTCCGCTAACCATGGAGCACCTTAAAGGACTCATACTCTACATGTCTTTAGTCTTCTATGAGGTTTTAGAAGAGTAACCATGCCAACTGTTGAGAAATGAAAATAAGCTGGAAGGCACCAAAACTCACTTAGCTTCACAGACTGCCCACCATTCCCCACCACAAATATCTGAAACTTAACTATTAAAGATGCCCATTGGCAAACTAACTTTATGCACTCAGATAACCATCCTAACTCTTCAAAGTTTCCCCAAGGGTTCTCTATACACTTCACAATGAAGGCAGCTCCAATGATGTGAGAAATAGAAAAGAGTCATTCAGGAGCTTCTTAGCTGGGATCACAGTTAATCAAATATCTAACTATGTCTCTAAGAAACCCCCCACCTCCAACTTAAGAAATACCAGACAACATACTTGAATTTGTTGGAAAAAAAAATGCATCTTATCCTAGAAAATAAAATGGATGGGCAATATACAACAGGAGGAAATATGTCAGTCACTGGTAGATTCTCCTATAAAAACTGTGGAGTGTTTAAGGAAAGGTTTGATTTAGCATAGATCGTGTTCCATATAGTTACACACACAAGTACAAAAAAAGACTCACTCAAAATACACACCTTCAGACTTTTTTTTTTTGAGTCGAAGTCTCGCTCTGTTGCCCACCTGGAGTGCAGTGGCGTGATCTTGGCTCACCGCAACCTCCATCTCCCAGGTTCAAGCAATTCTCCCGCCTCAGCCTCCCGAGCAGCTGGGACCACAGGTGAGCACCACTGCGTCTGGCTAATTTTTTGTATTTTTAGTAGAGACGGGGTTTCACCATGTTGGCCAGGCTGGTCTTGAACTGCTGGCGCTCAGGTGATCCGCCCGCCTTGGCCTCCCAAAGTGCTGGGATTACAGGCATGAGCCACCGCACAAGCCCAGACTTTTAAAAAAAAATGTAAAGTTCGTGACAAAAAAAAAAAAAAAAAGTCTCACTGCACTGCCTTGAAACCTTATCTGCAATATTTCACGATTACCATCCTTTTCATAAGTGGACATATAACTAAACGAATGATATTTATGTGCTCTGTCTAAACAAATAATGTGATATTGACCCTAAAAATATTCATTTTTGTGCCTCAACATTTTCATTTTTGTTTAGTTACCAATTTCTTATTTACTCTCCCTCTTCTTAACTGCTTTTCCTCAAGTCAGTCAATTTTAAATTTAAGGCTAAGACATAGTTTTAGGATACCACAATGCTAATTTTTGTAATTTCTGGGAAAATATAACTGTTGATAATTAATTTACTAAGATATTTAATATCAGATTTTTTAATGCTCTTAATGAGTGAATCTTTTTATTATGGAGACTTTCAAACAGACAAAAGAACACAATACAAGTAACCTCCATATACTCATAACCCAGAATAATTCTTATGCCACATTTAATTCACCTACTCATCTTCTGTTCTTTATTTCAAAAAGCAAATCCAGACATCATTAATTTTTAAACCAGATTAAGATTTAATTGTTAATGGCTACAAAAGAAATAGAAAGAATGAATAAGACCTAGTATTTGATAGCATAACAGGGTGACTACAGTCACTAATAATTGTAAATTTAAAGTTAAGAGTATAATGGGATAACTAAAAGAGTATAATGGAATTGTTCGTAACACAAAGGATAAATACTTGAGGGGATTTTACATGATGTCATGATTATGCATTGAGTGCCTGTATCAAAACATTTAATGTACCCCACAAATACATACACCTACTATGTACCCATAAAAATTAAAATAAAATATTTAAATGTACGTACCAGTAAAAAAAAAAAAAAAAAAAAAAAAAGATTCAGGAGAAAAAACTGGGCCAGGCACGATGGCTCACACCTGTAATCCCAGTACTTTGGGAGGCCGAGGTGGGCGGGTCACTTGAGGTCAGGAGTTCAAGACCAGTCTGGACAACATGGTCCAGGCTGTCTCTACTAAAAATACAAAAATTAGCCGGGCGTGGTGACAGACGCCTATAATCCCAGCTACTCAGGAGGCTGAGGCAGGAGAATTGTCTGAGCCCGGGAGGTGGAGGTGGCAGTGAGACAAGATCGCACCACTGCACTCCAGCCTGGGCGACAGAGCGAGACTCTATCTCAAAAAAAAAGTAAGTTTTAAGGCCCCAGAAAGGGGCTTTAATTCAGCCACCAAAAAGAAAAAAAAAAATTTGTTAAGTAATATTTTTTTGAATCAACATGCTTTTTAAAGCAATAAACCTTCCCTCTTATTAAAACAAATTTAACATAGATCATTCAAATAATTACAGTATTAACATGCCAAAACTAGAACCTAGATTGACTGGCATTTATCCTCATGCATATCCCTGACAAGACTCACTGCCAGCCAGCATCAAGATTTACAGAGCAGTGTAAATTTGAAGCAGCATAAGTTTGAGAGGCAAATAGCGCTAAAATAAATAAACCGTAACTAAGTCTCAAATTGCTTGCCCGTCTCTATACAAGAGATGAGCACTCCTCCTTAGCACAGATAAACAACAAGGTTATCAGTACTCTTGGAAAACTCTTTAAATACATAGTTGATCCCAGTTTTCAATAAAGCAACTAGTAATTCACTCACTTCAAAATACTACTGGTAAAGGCAGCTGTACTACAAATTTTATGCTGATGTGCAGACTACCAAGTAAATTATGTCTTAATTACTTCTGAAGCAAGATTTTTTAATTCTCCATTCTAACTGAAGTATTTAATGTCACAAATACTTTGACCAGATTATGGGAGAAATTAAGTTTATGGAAATGAGGAGAAGGGGCACAAGAAAAAAAATATATAAAACTGATAATGGCTAATACTTAGCAAAATTTGTTAACAACTAAAAATAAACCTGTGAACACTGGACCTGGCAATAATAATGATCATAAAATGGCAAAAATTATCAGAGATTAAAATGTAACATGGACAAATTAAACATGAACAACAAGAGACTTTATCAATCAAATCCTCATTTTAAAGTTCACATGCAAAAGAAATCCCAATGAAAATTTCAGTAAAATAAAAACTTGGTAAAAGTGAAAAATGGTTTAGTTGTTCTATAGAAAAAAAAAAATATCAAGGAATTAAACTACCTCAATGGCTTAACTTTGGCCTTTGACAAAAATGCATCATATAATTCTAATTTAAATGTCATATGCACAAAAAAAATTCTCAGAATCAAAACATTCTGTATTTACCACCAGCCTCTCTCCATAATTCTTTTTCTGGTCATGCTTCCATTACAGCAAGGACTAACTAATCAATAACCTCAAATAATGCAAATAATTTTACATAAACCTTTTGTTTATGACTCATGAGGATGAAGGAAAATTAATGAAGACTCACATGAATATCATGAAATGCCACTAACAGAAAGCAAAAAATGGACACATGCAGGTGATTTATAATTAAAACCATCATGTCATTTGTCCAAGATGCATTCTCAGAAACCAGAATTTTAAATGGTCAAGGTATCCACAAGAAGACTCAAATCTTATAATACTTAAATATATGGGAAAATATTTGGAATGGAAAAAAATCAGTTTTTGTAATACCCTCAATCAACTTTTCCAACGTAATGAAAGAGAAAAATAACAGTACAGAATCAAACAGCTATAAAATATGTGGCATCCTACAAAAGACAGGAAACAGTTTTCCGCTTTTATTGACGAGAACCACATGAAACAAGAGATATCTACACAGTACCTCAATAAAATATGCTTTACATCAGAGCCTAAATTTGCTTCCCAAAAAACGGACCCACACCAAAAACAGGAATAAAAAGCGGCCAGAGAAACTCATAATAAGTTCTCAAGATGGCTGGGAGTGGTGGCTCACACCTGTAATCCCAGCACTTTGGGAGTCCAAGGCAGGAGTTATCGCTTGAAGCCAGGAGTTCAAGATTAGCTGGGTAATGAAGTGAGACCCCAACTCTACCAAAAAAAAAGCAAACAAGCTCTTAAGGCAAAAGAAAAAGAATTAAAAATGACAAAAACTTCACTTGCTAAAATGGGATAACAACAGTCGTGAGACTTTAAAATCATTACTAAAGAAAGAAGAAAAAGAACACAAACCAGTTATCTTAAAATACTCAAAAAAATTACTGGATAAAGAAAATGTGGCACACATAAACCATGGAATACTACGCAGCCATAAAAAACGATGAGTTCATATCCTTTGCAGGGACATGGATGAAGCTGGAAACCATCATTCTCAGCAAACTAACACAAGAACACAAAACCAAACACCGCATGTTCTCACTCATAAGTGGGAGTTGAACAATGAGAACACATGGATACAAGGAGGGGAACATCACACATCTGAGCCTGTTGGGGGTAGGGAGCTAGGGGTGGAGTAGCATTAGGAGAAATACCTCGATGACCGGTTGATGGGTGCAGCAAACCACCATGGCACGTGTACACCTATGTAACAAACCTGCACGTTCTGCACATGTATCCCAGAACTTGAGTATAATAATAAAAAAAAAAAACTCACCAAAGTTTTTAAATATTAAGTTTTCCAGGTTCACTAATTCTAAAACCAATTTCCTCAGCAATTACTGTTCAATGAGATAACACCCTTTTTGACAGCCACTGCTTTCCAAATGGCCCAGATAACTTTACTGATCATCTAAGCATAGCTACAATCATATATACAGAAGAAAATACAGAAGAAAAAAAAGAAAACCTTTATTAACAGCAAAAAGCATTTTGTTGCCAGCCATATCACACGGCTGTGAGGCTCTTGATCAAAAGACAGGATGGTAACTTAAGCAATGACAAAACATTTTTAATGGATGACAAGAGGCGCACTTTATCTTGGAAAGGCACTCTGAAACGCTGCAAACAGAAAATCTTCCACTATTTTGTACAGGAATGTAGTCTTGGATTCTGCCAGGCAAATCTTTCCTGTACCATGGGGGCATGGCTTGTTTTTGTTGTTGTTGTTTTGGCGGGGGGGGGGGGGGGGGGGGGTGCTTATTTTTTAAATGGTTACGGGTACATAATTTTTGTGCATATGTATGGGGGTACACGTGATATTCTGACAAGCATATAACCTGTAACAATCAAATGAGGCTAACTGGAATATCCATCACCTCAAACATTTATCATTTCCTTGTGTTGGGAACATTCCAAATCCACTCCTATTATTGGTTTTGGTGGGTTGTTTGTTTTTTGTGTTTTTTTTGAGACGCAGTCTCACTCTGTCACCTAGGCTGCAGTGGAGTGGCATAATCTGGGCTCACTGCAACCTCTGCCTCCCTGGTTCAAGCAATTCTCCTGCCTCAACCTCCTGAGTAACTGGGATTACAGGTGCACACCACCACGCCCAGCTAATATTTTGTATTTTTAGTAGAGACGGGGTTTCACCATGTTGGCCAGGGTGGTCTTGAACTCCTCCTGACCTCAGGTGATCCACCTGCCTCGGCCTCCCAAAGTGCTGGGATTACAGGCGTGAGCCACCGCACCCAGCCTCTACGTGTTTTGAAATATACAATAAATCATGGTTAACTGGCCAGGCACGCTCCAGCACTTTGGGAGGCCAAGGTGGATTGATCACTTGAGGTCAGGAGTTCAAGACCAGCCTGGTCAACATGGTAAAACCTCATCTCTACTAAAAATAAAAAAGTAGCCAGGTGTGGTGGCAGATGCCTGTAATCCCAGTTACTCGGGCTGAGGCACAAATCATTTGAGCCCAGGAGGTGAAAGATGCAGTGATCCAGGATCGCGCCACTGCACTCCAGCCTGGGCGACAGAGAGACTCCATTAAAAAAAAAAAAATCAGCGGGGCGGTGGCTCATGTCTATAATCCCAGCACTTTGGGAGGCTGAGGCAGGCAGATCACCTGAGGTCAGGGGTTCACGACCAGCCTGGCCAACATGGTGAAACCCCGTCTCTACTTAAAAATATATATATATACAAAAATTAGCTGGGCGTGGTGGTGCATGCCTGTAATCCCATCTACTCAGGAGGCTGAGGCAGGAGAATCATTTGAGCCCAGGAGGCAGAAGCTACAGTGAGCCGACATCACACTACTGCACTCCAGCCTGGGAGACAAGAGCAAAAATCCCTCTCAAAAAAAAAAAACCATTGTTAACTATAGTCATTCTACTGTGTGACTGAAGTACAAGACCTTTCCATAAAGACTCAATCCAACCATATTTGTTTCAAATATACTTCACAGCTTTCCATTTTCTACAGGATGACCAAAAGGAAAAAAAACTCTGTCCTTTTTTTTTTTTTTTTTTTTTTTTGAGATGGGAGTCTCGCTCTGTCGCCAGGCTGGAGTGCAGTGGCGTGATCTCGGCTCACTGCTGCCTCCTGGGTTCAAGCGATTCTCCTGCCTCAGCCTCCCGAGTAGCTGGGACTACAGGCGTGCGTCACCATGCCCAGCTAATTTTTGTATTTTTAGTAGAGACATTCACTATGTTGGCCAGGATGGTCTCGATCTCTTGACTTCGTGATCCGCCCACCTCAGCCTCCCAAAGTGCTGGGATTACAGGCGTGAGCCACTGTGCCCAGCCTGTCCATATTTTTAAATAACTCCAATCAGGCCAAAAAAGAATACAAGCCTGATCTCAAACTGGCAGGGGGATACCTTTTTAATTTATAAAAGGAGGTAAAAATGAGGTAGCAGAACCCTAACAATGATGGGAGGGAAAAGAGGCCAATTATATGCCAAGATTTGTTCAATATGTTTGAGAAAGTATTCTACTTTCTGTTCCATCCCGAAACATGTCCTAATGATGAATGTTTTCTGTATGTTTGGCATTGTAAAAGTAATCATTTTCTTTCATTATATTATTACTCAACATTTACCTGGGTATGTCTCACAAACATGAGAAAATGAGACATGTTAAATCTTTAAAAATTTAGCAAGTCATTGCTGTTTCAAATCAAAAGGAAGTGTAAAGTTAGTCACTGTTACAAGTCAGATTCCTAGGCATGCAAACTCTTAGGACAGGTTAGTGTGCAGAAAACTTATGAAGAGCTTCTCTCAGGATTATCATTTGTAAAGGAAGGAAGGAAGTGGCTGGGATGAACTCACAAAAAAGGCCTCAGATGACCCAAAAGAAACTCTAAAGCTGAATGACTCCTTAGGGTTGTCCTATGCTGGGCCCAAGGAGCCAGGTACTTTAATGAACCAGAACCTGGAGGCACACTACTCACAACGAAAGCATGTGACCATGAATGAGTTGCTCTCTTCAGCCAAGGATGATTCCCAGACAGGTCTCACAGCCTCAGCAGCACACCCACTAGCTAAAAGAATGAATTTCTTTAAGCCTTAAGTGGGGATTTGGGTATTACATCATGGCATCCACTACAATCAGTAATTCTGTAACTGTCCAAGTCTGACAAATTTTGAGTAAAACAATGTCATATATATTAATAGTGTGCTCCTAAGTGATTTGGCCCTCAGTTTCTTAAAGCTATTAACTAAATATCTAGGTTCTTTTCACAGCTGTAAAATTTGATGATTCCAAGACGTATGGCCAGGTCTATAAAGGGTGTATCAAAAGCCTTGCATTTGGGTATAATTAATTTTCACTAGGTATCATGTTGAGGTAACAGGTATGTATGTGAGAGTTTTATTCTACTTTGTATGTTGAAACTTTTTCTTTTTTTTGGAGACAGGGTCCCACTCTGTTGCCCAGTCGCTTAGGATGAAGTGCAGTGTCATGGCTCATCGTAGCCTCAACCTCCTGGGGCTCAAGCAATCCTCCTAACTCAGCCTTCTGCGTAGGTGGGACCACAACTCCTGGCTCAAGCGATCCACCCACCTTGGCCTCCCAAAGGGCTGGGATTACAGGCGTGAGCCACCGCACCTGGCCTGTATATTGAAATTTTCTATAAACGTGACAAAATAAAGTCCAATGAAAGCTTGAATATTTCTACTTATGTCAATTTTTTCATGCTTCCAAATTTACCAGAAGGTTTACATATTTAAGTATTCTCCCTCTCTCCACCTCTCATCATACTCATACTCACTCCCCGACAACACATACACACATACAGTACCCTTTTCTTCTTCCCTCCTACGTAAATCCTCCTCTCCCTCCAATGCTTTGGCTCACATACCTCCCATACTCCCCCCACCCAGTTACCTATACCTAATGTTATTTATACCCTCTCTCTCACTTCCACCTTCAACCTTCCTTCCTATAGCAACTCCCCATCCAGTTATTCCCTATGCAGAAGCTTCTCACCAGAATGTGTCTTCTAATGAAAGGCAAAAATTGCTAATCCCAAATGTAGTGGGCACTTCTGGTTCATTATTCTTCCCTTGAAATGCTCTCCTCCTTTCTCCCCTAACACTGTCTCCGTCATCTCCTCTACATCCTCTTCTGTCCCCTCATTAATTTTAGTATTTCCCATGTTTCCTTAATAGGATCTACTCTCCTTACTCCCTTTCAGTAATCCTTAGTAATCCTTACTGACACAGACCCCTTTGAGAATCTGACTATACAAATGTGTACGTCTTCAGTTCAAGAGCTAATAAAAAAAAAAGTACAAATTGTTGTTCAGAATCTTATGAGGATCATTAATCTTTTCCCCTTTTGAAACAGACATGACACCATACAAACTTTAAAACTGACCTACGGGGCCGGGCACAGTGGCTCACACCTGTAATCCCAGTACTTTGGGAGGCCAAGGCAAGAGGATCACTTGAGGTCAGGAGTTCAAGACCTGACTGTCCAACATGGCGAAACCCTACCTCTACTAAAAATACAAAACCAGCCAGGCATGGTGGTGTGCGCCTGTAATCCCAGCTACTTGGGAGGCTGAGGCACAAAAATCGCTTGAACCCAGAAAGCAGAGGTTGCAGTGAGCTGAGATCACGCCACTGCACTCCAGCCTGGGCGACAGAGCAAGACTTTGTCTCAAAATAAACAAACAAACAAACAAAAGAAGGTGGAACATACTTCTTTCTAGAGTGATTGCCCATAAAGCTGTTTTAACTACTGTTCATAAACTGGTGACTTCTGAATCTGTATCTCCAACTCAAATCTTTCTCCCCTGAACTTCAGACCCAATATCGAAGTGCCTACTAGGAATCTCATCTCTCTTTTGCCAACCCACAGGTAATTCAAGCTTAACATGAGCAAATATAAATTTTATCTCCCATAAATCCCCACCTAAAAGCCTGGTCTTCCTCCTGCATCCCTTATTCTCTTGGTACTGACACTATCATTCATTCACAAACTAAATACCTTGAAACCACCCAGACTCTTCACCTCCATTCCATATCCAATTGTTCTCCCTGCATGTAGTTTATAAAAATCTGCCAATTCCACCCCTTCAGGTTTTATTTGCATGACTACTACTGCCTTAGTTCAACCTTCATCATTGTTCACCCCGAATTTCGAGTTTTCTAGCTTATCTCCGTGCCTTACCTAATCAATTCATCTTCCACACTGCCACCATATGATCTTTCTAAAACACAAGTCTGATTACATGCCTTTCTCTTGAAAACCCTTGAAGCGAACTTTAAAATCCAAAGACTTTGGAATGACATATAAGGCCTTCCAGAATCTAGCCCCTACCTACCTGTCTTCCACCCCAAATCTCATTTCACTAAGCTTTCTCCAAGAACTCCATACTCCATTCTCACCCACCACTGACCATTCCAAAACATGCAATGCTTACTCATCCTCCATGATTTGCTGTTCCTAGAATGTCCTTCTTCCTGCCTTGCATGGTCAATTCTTCTTCAAAAATCAATTCAAATATGACCTCCAAGAGGAAGCCTTTCTTAATTAACCTCCCTCAATCTGTTGAAAAAGCACTTTACACATTCTCCTATTACAGCACTTAATCACATTATATTGTCATTGTTCACTGGGTCTCACTCAAGGCCAGAAACTTATTTATCTCTAAATCTTTAAACTAGTGTTGGCACATAAGCCAGCACCTAATAAATGTAAAATGAATTAATCATAAAAAGAACATTAAATCTGGGAGTGACCTTGGTAATCACTTGTTCTGTGACCTCATTTTAACCAAGATGGACTTTCATGGATTACATAACTGGGTACTAGCAATGAAAAATAGAGGCTCAGTCTACTGATTCCCAGCCTAGAATTATTTTCACTTATCCAGCACTATCTGTACTTCTATTAAAACAGTCCATGGCATACACAGAGACAATTTTAGCTTCTTGCCCCTTCCCAAAAATGATTACAGAAACTGAGCAATAGGCAGAATAATTAGCCACAAGATATACAACCTTTTATTGGAAAGAAGAAATAGGAACAGGTACTGGCAATAATGGATAGTGACTGAGGCAGGAAGAGCAAAAGGAAGGGGAGGATGGATTCTCAATAACAGGTTTGTGAGGGTCAGGAAATCCTTACTGCACAAAAACTGGACCAGCAAGAGCCCTGCCTAAATTCTCTACACACTAACTTCAATTTTTAAAGTTAGCCTTAAATGCTTCAAGTGGACATATATGCTATAAAGCATTTGTACCATCTTCTGTGTAAAAGAGATTCCAACAAAAAACAAAGATCGGCCTATATACCAGTCTAAAATTTACAGCATCAGAAACCTTAATATGTATATGTATATTAAATGTGTATGCATAATGTATTCATGTGTAATATATATGTTTAAAATAAGTAAATACATATATACTAAACTCATGATTAGACTAAGCTGGTTTTCATTCATTTATAAAATTTTCTGGGAATGTAATAGCAATAAACCGATGCTGATCAACCCAAATAAACACGTACACTCTATTTCTCTTGTGGTATGAGAGTAACTATGCTGAATTTGAGTCATGGCTGGGCATGGTGGCTCACGCCTATAATCCCAGCACTTTGGGAGGCCGAGGCAGGTGGATCACGAGGTCAGGAGTTCGATACCAGCCTGACCAACATGGTGAAACCCCATCTCTACTAAAAATACAAAAAGTAGCCAGACGTGGTGGCGCACACCTGTAATCTCAGCTATTCAGGAGGCTGAGGCAGGAGAATCACTTCAACCCAGGAGGCGGAGGTTGCAGTGAGCCGAGATCGCGCCACTGCACTCCAGCCTGGGCGACAGAGCAAGACTCCGTCTCAAAAAAAAAAAAAAAAGTGGGAGAATACACTTCTCTCACTGATGTCAAAAGTCTGAGATAGGCCAGGTGCAGTGGCTCACACTTACAATACCAGCATTTTGGGAGGCTGGGGCAGGAGGATCACTCAAGCCCAGGAGTTCGAGACCAGCCTAAGCAGCATAGTGAAACCCTGCCTCTACGAAAAATAAACAAAATTAGCCAGACATGGTGGCACATGCCTGTGGTCCCAGCTACTAAGGAGGCTGAAGTGGGAGGATCATTAGAGTCCAGGAGTTCGAGGCTGCAAGTGAGCCATGATCGGATCACTGCACCCTAGCCTGCGTGACAGAGGCCCCATCTCAAAAAACAACAACAACAACAAGTCTGAGATAGGGCCGGAACAATAACCGTTTCATAATCAATTTATCTAAATTTCCCCATTTTTCACCTTTTCCAAATGAAGAGTGAATTGTTTAGCCTATGTTCATTGAATAAAACATTTCTCCTTCCTCCATTACATATGTAAATAATTCCTGGGACCCAGCTATATGCCAAACACTGTGCTAAGCCTGCCACTGTGCTAAGCCTGCCATCACTTAGCAAGGCATTCTCAAACCTTTTTTAAATCTCTGAATTATAGCACCAAAATTAAACTCCAAAATTAAAGATGTCGAGTATGTTTCCAAACAATAACTAGTAGGACATATTCTAGATACATATACAAGGAAATAATCTCTGGATTCAGCCAAACAAAAACGACTATACCATAAAAAGTTAGTATTTATCATTTCCAAATTGGTGCAAATTAATCAACAGTTCTTGGACAAGTAAAACTATATTCTTTGCCCAATATAGTTGTGTGCAGGCATATTTTAAAGTCTAAACTTCTTTTAAAACTTTTCAGTGGCCGGCTGGGTGTGGTGGCTCATGCCTGTAATCCCAGCACTATGGGAAGCCACGGCAGGTGGATTGCTTGAGTCCAGGAGTTCAAGACCAGCCTGGGCAACACAGCAAAACCCCGTCTCTACTAAAAATACAAAAAATTAGCAGGACATGGGGGCATGCACCTGCAATCCCAGCTACTCGGGAGGGTGAGGTGGAACAATCACCTAAGCCCAGGAGGTTGAAGCTGTATTGAGCCAAGATCGTGTCACTGCACTCCAGCCTGGGCAACCAGAATGAGACCCTCTCTCAAAAAAAAAAAAAAAAAAAAAAACTTTTCGGCTGGGCACAGTGGTTCATGCCTATCATCTCAGCATTGGGAGGCTGAGGCAGGAGAATCACTTGAGCCCATGAATCTAAGACCAGCCTGGGCAACTGAGTGAGACCCTGTTACTACAAAAAAAAAAAAATTTAAAAATTAACCAGGTGTGGTGGCACACACCCTTCTCTCTCTTGCTCCTTCTTTCGCCATGTGATAGGCCTGCTCCCCTTTAGCCTTCTGCCATGATTGGAAGCTTCTTGAGACCCTCACCAGAAGCAGATGCTGGCACCATACTCCCTGTACAGCCTGCAGAACCGTGAACCAAAATAAATATCTTTTCTTTATAAATTACCCAGCCTCAGGTATTCCTTAACAGCAACACAAACGGACTTACACATTGCTATAAAAGATAACAAGCTCAGGTCAAAGAGAAATGAACTTGAGACCAGAGAACTCTCCTAAGACAGCACAAGTTTACCTTTGTGAGGCTTCCTAGCCCAAGTCTGTTTTTCTTCTTTAAATTTTTTATTGAGCAGCACTTAAAACCTGTTACTGTAAACCTCCACCCACTTTATTTTAGTACTGAACCAAAAAGCAAATACATGCCTCAAAAAATCACTGAATCTAAATAACAAACTAAGGTTTTGAAGAAATTAGCAGTTCTCTAATATTCAAGCAACTATGCCCAAATCAGCATTAGCCCATTTAAATATCCCTGATCAGCTGGATTCCAAAGACCTGTCAACTATTTCTTTAAAATATCTAGCACAAATAATCATATGCCAGAAAAATATGCATTTTAATTAAAAACAAGAAAGAATAATTAATATGGCAGATGTGCCTTAGTCACTAAAAATAATGCTACAGGCCGGGCACGGTGGTTCATGCCTGTAATCCCAGCACCCTGGGAGGCTGAGGCAGGAGGATCATGAGGTCAGGAGATCGAGACCATCCTGGCTAACAAGGTGAAAACCCATCTCAACTAAAAATACAAAAAACAAAATTAGCCGGGCATGGTGGTGGGCACCTGTAGTCCCAGCTACTCGGGAGGCTGAGGCAGGAGAATGGCATGAACCCAGGAGGCAGAGCTCGCAGTGAGCTGAGATCACGACACTGCACTCCAGCCTGGGCGACAGAGCGAGACTCCGTCTCATAAAAAAAAAAAAAAAAAAAAAAAGATGCTACAAAGTGTAATATTTTGACCACTTGACTGAGTAATTACTTTAACGTTCACTATAGCACTTTAAATAACTAAATACCATTATATTTGAGAGACCAGTGATAGCTAAACATATATGCCAATTTTACAGGGAAGTGGAGGTGAAGAAAAAGAACAGTTAAACACTGTAATTTTAAAAATATAAATGTCACTCAAGCCAAGCTGTTCACTGAAAACCTGAACAGTTAAACTTCGGAGTTTTTTTAATTTTGTATTGAATCATCTTTGGGTAAGTCAGTACTTTATACATGCACTTTTGACGAATAAGTTTCACCAGTCAACTACCATTAAACAAAGACTCATCATAGGTTATTAAAAATGGATGATGTATATGTATAACCACTCAGACCCACAACATATTCATATACTCAAGCCATGCCTCATTTCATATTCTGGTAAGAACTAAAAGAGAACGCCAGACATCGTTTATCTTAATAACTAAGTAGGGGAGGCTTTTATAGAATGTTTGTGGTTACAGAGCACTTTTATAATATTCCATTATTTTCCTATTTTGGCAAAGCAATGACAGCCACTCACAAAATTATTACCTATAAGATAATGTAGGCTGATTAATTAGGCAAAATTAAGTTGATTCATACCTGAACAAACATTAATCAATAAACCAACATAAATTAAGATCCAAATTTCCCAAATTGGTGTTGCACGGAACCAGGTTTGCTTTATTACCCTCTTAAGAGAGTCATCCCAAAATACATTAGCATCTTAAAACTGAATATTCTATAGGTGTCAAAAAACTTAAGACAGCACTGCTTAAATTTACTGGCACTTTTTTTTTTTTTTTTTTGAGACAGGGTCTCACTCTGTCGCCCAGGCTGGAGTGCAGTGCTGCAATCTCAGCTCACTGCAACCTTGCCTCACAAGGTTCAAGCAATTCTCCTGCCTCAGCCTCCCAAGTAGCTGGGAAATTACAGGCGCCCACCATGGCACCCAGCTAACTTTTTTATTTTTAGTAGAGACGGGGTTTCACCATGTTGGCCAGGCTGGTCTCGAACTCCTCCTGACCTCAGGTGATCCACCCACCTGGGCCTCCCAAAGTGCTGGGATTACAGGCATGAGTCGCTGCGCCCCGCCAGCACACACTTTTTTTAACCTCACACGTGGAGTATTCCAAGACAGCACTACTACCATCAAACGGTTATTACCAGGATCACTTACATGGCCTACTCCAGCTCTGAGGATGCTGCCCAGGAATGTAGTTATTTTGTTGGTTTTCTTTTTTTTTTTTTTTTTTTTTTTTAAGAGACAAGGTCTCACTCTGTCACCCAGGCTGGAACGCAGTGGCACAATCAGAATTCACCACAGCCTTGACCTCCAAGGCTCAAGCAATCCTCCCACCTCAGCCTCCCAATTAGCTATACCAGTCTTAGTGTAATGGTCATAAACCTTGTGTTCAAATTTGGTCACAGGTGTTCACTTTGTTCACTTTTTTCTTTTTTAAAGACAGAGTACTCCCTCTATCGCCCAGGCTGGAGTGCAGCAGCACCATCATGGTTCAAACCAGCCTCAACCTCCTGGGTTCAAGCAATCCCTGCACCTCAAGCTCCCGAGTAGCTGGGATTACAGGCAGGGACCACCATCCTTAATGTTTTATTTTCTGGTAGAGACAGGGTCTCACTATACTGCCCAAACTGGTCTTGAACTCCTGGGCTCAAGCAATCTACCTGCCTTGGCATCTCAAGTGCTGGGATTACAGCATGAGCCATCCTGCCCAGCGAGGAATGTGTATTTTGTAAAAGCTTCCCAAATTCTGATGAACCAGGATAAGGAATCACTAAAAATACTTTTAACTTTTTCTTCCCTTGAAGTCATCTTCCACAGTAATAAGAACTCCTGGCGACATTTCATCATTTAAGTAGTAAATGTGATTAAATGATTTGAAGGAAAAAAAACTACTTTTAATCAGCATATTAGGCAAGATTATACTATAAAGATCATCTTAAAGCATACAAAGACAATTTTATCTAAATTAAGTTTTAAAATGCATTTGTTGACATATCTACTTTAAAACGGCTTATCTTGGGCTGGGCATGGTGCTCACACCTGTAATCACAGCACTTTGGGAGGCCAAGGCAGGTGATCACCTGAGGTCAAGAGTTTGAGATCAGCCTGGCCAACACGGTGAAACTCCACCTCTACTAAAAATACAAAAACTAGCCAGGCGTGGTGGCGGGGGCCTGTAGTCCCAGCTACTCAAGAGGCTGAGGCAAGAGAACACTTGAACCCAGGAGGCAGAGGTTGCAGTGAGCTGAGATCCCTCCACTGCACTCCAGCTTGGGCAACAGAGCGAGACTCCGTCTCAAAAAAAAAATAAAAAATAAAAATAAAATGGCATGCCCTGTTTGTAAACTCATGAATGTTAAAAATGTAGGCTAAAATGGCATACATTACACAGGGGCAAAACTGCCTATGTACCCTGATATTTGGACTTCTTATGTTTCCGACTAAAATTTTTTTTTAACAATTTTTGTATTTTGTTACTACGTGATAAGCTAAAAGTGGCTTCAAAACGGCATCTACAAACACTTCAAATAACACATTCCAAGTATGAACAGTCTCTGGTCTCCAAAAATAAAAAGCAATACTGGGTAGCACTGTATTTTCTCTTTTTAACGTTACTTTTTGAAATATTACCAAGGACCTGTTCAGATACAGGATGTTAACACAGACAACTTATAAAGAATAAAAGACACTTTGGGAGGCTGAGGTGGGCAGATCACGAGATCAGGAGTTCAAGACCAGCCTGGCCAAAATGGTGAAATCCCATCTCTACTAAAAATACAAAAATTAGCCGGGCACGGAGGCTGGCACCTGTAATCCCAGCTACTCGGGAGGCTGAGGCAGGAGAATTGCTGGAACCCGGGAGGCGGAGGTTGTAGTGAGCCAAGATCGCACCACTGCACTCCAGCCTGGGCGACAGAGCAAGACTCCGTCTCAGAAAAAAAAGAAAAAACAAAAGAAAAGAAAAGAAGAGGAGGAGAGGAGGGAAGGAGGGAAGGAGGGAGGGAGGGAGGGAGGGAGGGAGGGAGGGAGGGAGGGAGGGAGGGAAGGAGGGAAGGAAGGAAGGAAGGAAGGAAGGAAGGAAGGAAAAAGGAGTTGGCCGGGCGTGGTAGCTCAAGCCTGTAATCCCAGCACTTTGCGGGGCGGGGGAGCAGAGGAGGGTGGATCATCTGAGGTCAGAAGTTCAACACTAGCCTGACCAATGTAGTGAAATTCTGACTCTATTAAATAAAAAAAAAAAAAATCAGGCATGGTGGCACATGCCTGTAATCCCAGCTACTTAAGAGGCTGAGGCAGGAGAATCACTTGAACACAGGAGGTGGAGGTTGCAGTGAGGTGAGATTGCGCCACTGCACTCCAACCTGGCGACAGAGTAAAACTCTGTCTCAAAAAAAAAGAAAAAAGTAACAAAAATCGTGAACCAAATATTTAGAATCATTTACATTTTTATGCTCATCATCTAGTATTTCATTATCGACTTAATTTTCTTAATGCTTCTTGTCTCTAACCGTTGATCTATTGAATGAAGTATTGAAACAATGAGTAAGAGTTAATAAAATACATGACTAAGATTAAAACAATATGAAACCTTCATGACAGAAGGATTAAGCTGAATTATTAACTGGTTACAGCACCACTAATTTGTCTCATGCTCATTTGACATCTCTTCACATTACCTCATTTTAAAGGAAGATAAACATTTAAAATGTTTTCTCTTTTTCTAAAGTAACAGAAGTCCTTTCACTACCACCGTGGAACACCTTCTTGGGCCCGATTACTAAGGTGAAGAAATTGTTCTAAAGGTCTGTAAATGGTAAGCTCCAAAAATTTGTTCACAACCCCATCCAGCTCAATGTTTTAAAATCAAAACTTGGCCGGGCGCGGTGGTTCACACCTGTAATCTGAGCACTTTGGGAGGCTGAGGCAGGTGGATCACCTGAGGTCAGGAGTTGAAGACCAGCCTGGCCAACATGGTGAAATCCCGTATCTACTAAAAATACAAAAACTAGCCGGGCGTGGTGGTAGACGCCTGTAATCCCAGCTACTCGGGAGGCTGAGGCAGAAGAACTGCTGGAACCCAGGAGACGAAGGTTGCAGTGAGCCAACACAGTGTCACTGCACTCCAGCCTCGGCAACAGAGTGAGACTCTGTCTCAAAAAATAAATAAATAAATAAATAAATAAATAAATAAATAATCAAAACTTACGTGGGCTGAAGAAAAAAAAATTTTTTAATTTAAAATTTTTTTAAAAAATCAAAACTTAAACAAGATGAAAACACTGAAGGCAAATTTCTCACACAGTTTTAAGAACAAATCTAAGTTCTTTAAATGTTATAACACTGTCCAACAGAACTTTATGCAACAATGGAAATGTTTTATATCTGCAATGTCCAATAAGGAAGCCATTACACTCACATGTGGCTACTGAGCATTTACAATGTTGTTAAGGATAACAGAAGAACTGGATTTTAAATTGTATTTACTTTTAATTAGACGAAATTTAAATTGTCACATATGGCTAGTGGCTTTGTATAAAATGTAGGTTTAGAATGTGATCTTATTCTGCTTCCAGACAAAATTGGAATAATCAGATTTACTCTCCTAACTGAAATAACTAAAAAACAGAATAGAACAATAGGTTTTCAAATATTGACGAACAGGCGGCACAGGACAGTGATCCCTGAAAAGGGGAACAAATATAAACCCTACAACCATCCTAGCTTATTGCCTGGGAATACTTTTCAGGCCAAAAAGCACAGGGAGGGAGAATCCAAAGCCTGGATTGAGGGGGGTGGGGGAGAAAAAGCTCCCCTGAATTGAGAAGCCAGAGCTGGAAGCCAAGGCAGCTGGACTTGTCAGAGCGAAGCACAGAGATGAGAGAGCTGCACAGAGAAAGAGGTCCAGCGCACCACTGCACTCCAGCCTGGGAGACAGAGCGAGACTCCGTCTCAAAAAAAAAAAAAAAGAGAAAGAAGTCCAGAGTGGTGTACCAGGTCCCTCTCAAGTCTTCAGCTCAGTACTGATTAATTAGCACATGCGTATAAACTACCAGAGAAGCCCCAGAAAGAAGCAGTGGAAACAATCCCCACAACTCACAGAAGTAGCAGAGTAATTCCTCCTTCCACTACCCAAAGTGAGAATCTCACAAGGCATCAGATGAGTAGTCAGAAGGTTCCTGCCCTCAGTAGCATGGAAAAACTAGTCTCTAAAAGCTGCTGCGACTCTGCTGAACAAAAGCTTAAAAACAAGCCTTGAAAGGATCAAACAGTCTCCAAGTAACTTAGCCTCATCCCAGAACGAAGCTCAAGAATATTTGTAGTACAAAAATATCCAGCAACAAAGTAAAATTTTACAAGGTAAAACTCACAATAGCTGGAAAATTAACCAGGCCAAGAAAGAAGCAGGAAAATATAACCCATGATGAGAAGAAAAACCAGTGCGAGCAACAAACCCAGAAAATGAAAGATGATAGAATTAGTAAACAACATTAAAAATGAAATTTATATTAAGCCAAATGCGGTGGCTCACTCCTGTAACCCCAGCACTTTGGGAGGCCAAGGTAGGAGGAGAAAAATACTTGAGGCCAAGAGTTCAAGACCAGTCTGGGAAACACAGGGAGGCCCCACCTCTATGAAAAATTTTTAAAATGAAAGTTTTGTTTTTTGGTTTTTTTTTGAGACAAGGTCTCACTCTGCCACCCAGGCTGGAGTGCAGTGGCACGACCTCGATCACTGCAACCTCTGCCTCCTGGGCTCAAGCAATCCTCCCACCTCAGCCTCCCAAGGGTCTGTGACTACAGGCACGCACCAACCATGTCCAGCTAATTTTTGTATTTGTTGTAGAGGCAGGGTTTTGCCATGTTGCCCAGGCTAGAAAAATCAAAGTTATTAAAATGGTAGTTATTTTAACTATATTCCATAAGTTCCAAAAGGTTTCATAAACCTACCAACAGAGCTTCAAAATACATGCAGCAAAAACTTATGATAAAACTCTGAAGAGAAACTGAAAACACATATAGTTCAGATTTCAACTCAATAACTGACAAAACTACTAAGAGTCTGTAAGAACAGAGAAAATAATGAACAATACTATCGACTAACCTGTGAAAATGTTTTAACTGACCAGAAATATTGTGAATCAACAACTGTTCTCTAACTGCCAAACAAGATAAAGCAATCCTGACTCTTATCCAGGTAATAAGATTTCACAAAATAATTGAAGATCACATCATTAGAATTCTATGGTCCTGGCCAGGCGTGGTGGCTCATGCCTGTAATCGCAGCACTTTGGGAGGCAAAGGCGGGCGGATCACGAAGTCAGGAGATAGAGACCATCCTGGCTAACACGGTGAAACCCCGTCTCTACTAAAAATACAAAAAATTAGCCGGGCGTTGACGGTGGGCGCCTGTAGTCCCAGCTACTCGGGAGGCTGAGGCAGGAGAATTGCTCGAACCCGGGAGGCGGAGGGTGCAGTGAACCCAGATGGTGCCACTGCACTTTAACCTGAACGACAGAGTGAGACTCCGTCTGAAAAAAAGAATTCTATGGTTCTGGGCTGGGCACAGTAGCTCATGTCTGTAATCCCAGCACTTTGGGAGGCCAAGGCAGGCAGATCACCTGAGGTCAGGAGTTCAAGACCAGCCTGGCCAACATGGTGAAACCCGTCTCTATAAAAACACAAAAAAAAATGAGCTGGGCATGATGGCAGGAGCCTGTAATCCCAGCTACTCCAGAGGCTGAGGTGGGAGAATCCCTTGAACCCAGGAGGCGGAGGTTGCAGCGAGCCGAGATCCCACCATTGCACTCCAGCCTGGACGACAGAGCGAGACTCCGTCTCAAAAAAACAAACAAACAAAAAAAAGAATTCCATGGTTCTGAACAACCTCCAGCGTACAAGAAGGGGCCTGGATAAATCCTTCATTCCTGAGAATTACAAACCCGAATTCTTACAGGAGCAAGTTAGATAAAGGTTAAAAAAAAAAAAAGGGGGGGGGGGGGACAAAGGTCACGTGTGACCAAGGACAAACTGAGGAGGACATACTCCTACCACCAAAGAAAAAAGCCAATCTCTCAAATCTAGCCAATGATGCTAGCCAATAATGGAATGCTTCCAATTCAATGCTTCCACTGTTGCAAAACCTCATACTTTTCCAGGAAGTGCCTAAAAATTTGGATTTTTATGTGAGGTCTAGGTTTGGAAACAGTAACCACCAACTCATTTTTTTTTGAGACTGAGTCTTGCTCTGTAGCCCAGGCTGGAGTACAGTGGCAGGATCTCAGTTCACTGCAACCTCCACCTCCCAGGTTCAGGCAATTCTCCTGCCTCAGCCTCCCAAGTAGCTGTGATTACAGGCATGCGCCACCACACCCGGCTTATTTTTTGTATTTTTAATAGAGACAAGGTTTCACCATGTTGGCTAGGCTGATCTCAAACTCCTGACCTCAAAGGATCCGCCAGCCCTAGCCTCCTGAAGTGCTGGGATTACAGGCATGAGCCACTGTGCTCAGCCCAATTCAGCAAATTTTTAACAAAGCTAAAAAAAAAAAAAAAAAGTCTGGAAATCAAATTCATAGCAAAAGTTATGCTTTAATCCAACAACCTCATCTTACAAATGAAACAGAAAAATCATTCAAGTCATCATAGAAGATAACTTCATCTAACCTTATCTAAAATACTATAGATATGGACACAAAAATCACCCTTTTAGAGGAAACTAAAACAAGGATGCTACCAGAATAACTTGGGACACAACTCTTTTTTTCTTTTTTTTTGGAGGGGGGGGTGGGGGAAGGGACAGAGTCTCACTGTCGCCCAGGCTGGAGTGCAGTGGTGCAATCTTGGCTCAATGCAACCTTCGCCTCCTGGGTTCAAGCAATTCTCCTGTGCGCACCACCACGCCCGGCTAATTTTTGTATTTTTAGTAGAGACAGGGTTTCACCATGTTGGCCAGGCTGGTCTCAAACTCCTGACCTCAGATGATCCACCTGCCTCGGCCTCCCAAAGTGCTGGGATTACAGGCGTGAGCCACCACGCCTGGCCAGGACCCAACTCCTCAGGAATGACAAAGCTGTCTTCCAACGCTGAAGGGCAAAATTTTATCAAAGGCTTTCTGAATTATTCCAGAAGACAAAACTAAAATCAATGGAGACAATTACATACAGACAAGGTAACTTGGGGAAAATGGAAGCCAAAAAAAAAAATTGTTCTAAAAGAGGTTGTCAAAACAACAGCATGGCTGTTTTGCAGAATATTTAGCTCAATTACCACAACCATATCGCTAAAAATCCCTGAAGAATTCTTTAACTAGGCTATCCTTACATTACTTCAAACCTAGACTACCTCAACTCTTCAGGTTCCCCAAAAATCAACATCCTTCCTTACTTCATTTCTGATATGAACTAAGTGACCTTTTGACTCCTTCAATTTTTCCCATATGTCTGTGTCAAACTGCCAGGTTTTGTCAGTTCTTCAACACCATTGTATAACTGTCCCTAGATATCCATGGGTGATTGGTTCAAGCATCTCGCTTGAATACCAAAATCTGCAGATACTGAAGTCCTTGATATAACACAACATAGTATTTGCACATAACCTAAGCATATCCTCCTCTATTCTTCTAATCAGGGGTCCCTAAGCCTCCAGGTTATGGACAGGCTCCGGTCCTTGGCCTGTTAGGAACCAGGCTGCACAGCAGGAAGTGAGCAGGAAGTGAACTGGGTCCAGCAAGCAAAGCTTCACAGCCACTCCCCACTGCTCGCATTACCACCTGAGCTCTGCCTGTCAGATCTGCAGTGGCATTAGACTCTCATAGGAGCACAAACACTATTGTGAATTGTGCAAGCAAGGCATCTAGGCTGCACACTCATTAAGAAATAATGCTTGATGATCTGTCACTGTCTCCCATCACCCCCAGATGGGACCCTTGTGGAAAACACGCTCAGGGCTCCCACTAATCCTACATTATAGTGAACTCTATAATTATTTCATTACATATTACAATGTAATAATAATAGAAATAAAGTGCACAATAAATGTAATGTGCTTGAATCATCCTGAAACCATCCCCTGACCCTGTGGAAAAATAGTCTTCCATGAAACCAGTCCCTAGTGCCAAAAAGGTAGGGAACTGCCGCTTTAAATCATCTGCAGATTACTTATAACACCTAAACAATATAAATACTATGTAAGTAGTTGTTATACTGTAATGCTTAGAGAATCCTGACCAAAAAAAAATGTCCATACATGTTCAGCATAGTTGCAATTTTTTCCCAAATATTTTAGATCCAAGGTTGGCTGAATCCACAAATGCAGAACCCACAGATACGGAGGATTAGCTGTACATTTTATCAAGTACATGTTATGTGAAAGCACTGTGCTAAACATACTCACCAACTTAAGACTAGAAAACATCTCATTTAATCAATTTATAACGAGATAAACCCAACTACGACAAAGATAACACAATACATTTCAAATTAAAATGTTATGATAACCGTAAGAATGATCAAATGTTCCCTTTTCATTTTATGTTGTTCCCTTTCTTTTCACTCCCACCACTCTATTCAAGCCTCATTAAAGAATCCTCTTATTAGAGACTCCAAACAAACCATATTTGGCCAGGCGCAGTGGCTCACGCCTGTAATCCTAGCACTTTGGGAGGTCGAGGTGGGAGGATGACCTGAGGTCAGGAGTTCAAGACCAGCCTGGCCAACATGGTGAAACCCTGTCTCTACTAAAAATACATGAAAAAAAAAATTAGCTGGGTGTGGCGGATGCCTGTAGAGTCCCAGCTACTCTAGGAGGCTAAGGCAGGAGAATAGCTTGAACCAGGAGATGGACGTTGCAGTGAGCCGAGATCACACCACTGCACTCCAGCCTGGGTGACAGGGCAAGACTCCGTCTCAAAAAAAAAAAAAATTTTTTTTGACCCCCAAATTAATATTTTCTAAAACAATTTCAGTTGTATCACTATCCTACTTAAATATTGTTTTTCAAATGCTTATAACACTGATTTGCAAATCCTCTCATCCCAATCAAGATAGGCAGTTAAAATGCAGATTACAAGGGCCTGTCCACAGAGATTCTAATTCAATCAGTCTGGTGTGATGATTAGCAAGCTGGATTTTAATAAGCTTTTAGGTGATTTTGATTCAGGTGGCCTGTAGAACATATTTTTTAAAAAAAAGAAAGAAAGAAACGGGTCTACAGGGTGAATGTCACATTCCTTAGCCTGGGATCAAAACTCTCCACACAAAAGGCCCCTGAATAACCACTATAGGGCAAGGGCTCTCCTACAAGAGCTCTTCATTCCAGGTAAACCCAATTTACTGCTGTTTACACAAGCCAAAGGTTTTCTCCTTCAGGCCTTACTTAAAAATGTCCACTAGGCCAGGCGCAGTGGCTCACACCTGTAATCCCACCACTTTGGGAGGCCAAGCTGGGGGAGTTCACAAGGTACAGAGATCGAGACCATCCTGGCCAACATGGTGAAACTCCGTGTCTACTAAAAATACACTAATTAGCTAGGCGTGGTGGGGCATGCCTATAGTCCCAGTTACTCAGGAGACTGAGGCAGGAGAATCGCTTGAACCCATGAAGCAGAGGTTGCAGTGAGCCGAGATCGCACCACTGCAGTCCAGCCTGACAACAGAGCAAGACTCCATCTGGAAGAAGAAAAAAAAAAAAAAAAAGTCCACTAACAGGCTGGGTTCAGTGGCTCATGCCTATAATCCTAGCATTTTGGGAGGCCAAAGTGGAAGGACTGCCTCAGGCCAGGAATTCAAGACCAGCCTGGACAATACAGCAAAACCCCATCTCTACAAAATATCTGAAATTTAGCAGGGCATTGATGGCGTATGCCTGTAGTGTCAGCTACTCAGGACGATGAGGTGGGAGGACTGCTGGAGCCCACATCGAGCCACTGCACTCCAGCCTGGGGAAGAGAGCAAGACCCTGTCTCAAAAAAAAAAAAAAAAAAAAAGTATCCACTACACCACTTCTCTTGGCCCAGCTCAAGCCCCACACCTACCAGATCTTACCAGACTGAAACAGTCTCATCTGCCTAATTCTACAGTACCATACTGCCTGCCTTGAACCCACATTTAAACTATTATTACCTTTTCAACTTATCATAAGATGAAGGGCTGCAAATCAAACCTCTTTTCATCTCAGCACTGGTAACAATGCATTTAGGGAGTCCTTTCCCTAAAGCAGTATCATCTTGCATAAATATACCCAAGTAGAAGCAAATATTTTAGAACTTTTATAGATTTTTCTTAGGAGATTTTCCTTAGGAAAAGAGATCATACAAGCCTGGGCAACATGGTGAAACCCTGTCTCTACAAAAAAAAAAAAAAAAAAAAAAAAAAAACACACACACAAAAATAAGGCGAGCATGGTACCGCACGCCTACAGTCCCAACTAATTGAAAGGCTGAGGTGGGAGGACAGCTTAAGCCCAAGAGGTTGAGCTGCACTGAGCCGTGATCATGCCACCACATTCCAGCCTAGGCAACAGAACAAGACCCTGTCTCGAGAAAATTAAAAAAAAAAAAAAAAGTTAAGAAAATAGATCTGCTATCTATAGCTGAATTGTATCTACCAAGAAAATTACTAACTAAACACAGTTCTTCCTACCTGCATACTAGATAAATGTGCTCTAAAGAATTCTTCCCAGAGGCTGGGCGCAGTGGCTCACACCTGTAATCTCAGCACTTTGGGAGGCGGAGTCGGGCGGATCACGAGGTCAGGAGATCGAGACCATCCTGGCTAACACAGTGAAACCCCTTGTCTACTAAAAACACAAAAAATTAGCCGGGCGAGGTGGCGGGTGCCTGCAGTCCCAGCTACTCAGGAGGCTGAGGCAGGAGAATGGCGTGTACCCGGGAGGTGGAGCTTGCAGTGAGCCAAGATGGCGCCACTGCACTCCAGCCTGGGCGACAGCGAGACGCCGTCTCAAAAAAAAAAAAAAAAAAGAATTCTTCCCAGATCAGAAAACAGGTAAACTAAGAAAAAACTGTTAAAATAGACCCTGTTTTAACACCAATGTTTAACCTCTGACCAAAGAGCTATTCAAAAACAAACTCTACACAAATAAATGCGCTTTCATGGTTAATTTCTGAAACTTTACATGTACAAAATGTTAATTGGTAAGTTTTCTACAAATATTAACCAGGCGCGGGGGTGCACTTTCGTAGTTCCTGCTACTTGGGAGGCTGAGGTGGGAGGATCACCTGGACCCGGGAGACAAAGGTTGCAGTAAGCCGAGATCATGCCACTGCACTCCAGCCTGGGCAACATAGCAAGACCCTGTCTCAAAAATAAAAAATTACTAATTTTTCTATCGTGACACATGAGGTCTGTTATAGCTTAAGTGCCTCTACTCAGCACTTGGCCAATAATTGTTGGTTTACTTGTCTTCCCAGTAACACTGACCAATATATATGGGCCTGTGCCATGTGTCTTATTCATCTTTCTATCTTAGCATCTAGAACATCACAGGTGACCAATAAAGAAATAGTACAGCTACCGGGGCTCACACCTGTAATCCCAGCATTTTGGGAGACCCAGGCCAGATGAGTTCAAGACCAATCTAGACAACACAGCAAGGCCACATCTCTACAAAAAAAATTTTTAAATTAGCCAACCACGTGTGGTGGCGCACACCTGTAGTGTTAGCTACTCTAGAGGCTAATGCCAGAGGACTGGAGTTGGAGGCTGCAGTGAACTATGACTGCACCACTGCACTCCAGCCTGGGTGACAAAACAAGATTGTCTCAAAAAAAAAAAAAAAGGAAAATATTCATGTTCCCGAGTTTGACCATGATACTTTCCAAGTTATCTCCAAGAATAGTATTTTTCCATTTAACATGACCCTCCAATCCTAACAGGATTTTTGATTGTATACATCAGACTTGTTACATCATTTGAAGAGTTACAAGTTTAATGAAAACATAAAATCCTTAGGCCAAAACTTATCAAGTCTCATCTTATCAAAAGAAAAAAACAATTCTACTTTCTGATAAAGCAAGTCCAACATTTAGAACATGAGCGAGAAATCGACACTTAAAAATAGTACCCATAGTGATTTTTGTCTTGGTCAGTTTCTGTGGCCTAGAAAGTACAGTAATTCTCTACAGCAAGGCTATCCCATTCACTAGAAGCTTCAGAAGGTTTAAATATACAAAGCAATTGAAAAACAAGCAGTGATAATCAGCTAATTAACATATCAAAGAACAGTAATAACAAAACTGTAACTGCAATGAATAATCTAGGTTTGACAATAATTGACCTGATAGTTTAGTCTCTTCCCTCACCTCCACCCACCATTGTCTACTGTGCAAAGGTGGGATATTAAGTACCTAATATGTGCCAGACACTGAATCTGTAGACTTGTTCTCATGGGTTCAAAAACTTTTTTCAGGCTGAGCACGGTGGCTCACACCTGTAATCCCAGCACTTTGGAAGGCCAAGGCGGGCGGATCACAAGGTCAGGAGTTCAAGACCAGCCTGGCCAACATGGTGAAACCCCGTCTCTACAAAAAATACAAAAATTAGCTGGGTGTGGTGGCGTGAGTCTGTAATCCCAAGCTACTCGGGAAGCTGAGGCAGGAGAATCACTTGAACCCAGGAGGTAGAGGTTGCAGTGAGCCGAGATTGCGCCACTGCACTCCAGCCTGGGTGAAAGAACAAGAATCCGTCTCAAAAAAAAAAAAAAAAAAGTCTTTTCAGGCCAGGAGCCACAGTGGCTTACACCTGTAATGCCTGCACTTTGGGAGGCCAAGGCACAAGGATAGTTTGAGCCTAGGAGTTCAAGACCTGCCTGGGCAACACGGTAAGACCCTCTCCCTACAAAAACTTTAGCTGGGCATGATGGTACATGCCTGTAGTTCTAGCTAATTAGGAGGCTGAGGTGGAAGGACTGCATGAATCCAGGAGTTTAAGGCTGCAGTGAGCTAGGATCGCACCACTGCACTCCAACCTGAGCAACATAGCAAGATCCTGTTTCAATAAAAAGTTTTTTCAAACCGCTTAAAAATAAGCCCACACATAACACAAATTTAGAGAAACAAACTTGAAGAAGATAAAGGCAATTGGCAAAAAGTTAAAGCAATGTGCCTACACAGTAAGTAAAAGCCAAATTTCAACCTAATTGCAAAGTTTGAAGGGCTTTTTCCCTCCCTCACCTCTTCCTCTGAGGCTGTCATAAACACCTACATGTAAGTCACCAGGCAGGAAAGAATGTGAAGCAGAAGAAATACAAAACTGTAAAAGAAAAAACAATGTCTTCCCTAAAAAGTTTATTATATGTATCAAGAAAATCAGACTGATACAAAATCTGCACTCAAAGGAGATATAAGTATCTTATGACTGGAACAAAGGTTTACAGAAGGTTTAGACAAGAAAGATAACTTTTTTATTTTTTTGAGCCGGAGTTTCACTCTGTTGCCCAGTCTGGAGTGCAGTGGTGCGATCTCGGCTCACTGCAACCTCTGCCTCCCAGGTTCAAGCAATGTCTGGAGATCGGCCTCAGCCTCCTGAGTAACTGGGATTACAGGCACCTGCCACCACACCCAGCTAATTTGTGTATTTTTAGTAGAGATGGGGTTTCACTATGTTGGCCAGGCTGGTCTCCAACTCCTGACCTCAAGCGATCCGCCCACCTTGGCCTCCCAAAGTGCTGGGATTACAGGCACCTGGCCAGAAGTAACTTTTTGCTGCAGTGAGCAAGGAAGACTTCACCAAGGAGGCAGGGAGTTGAGTTAGGCCTTTAGAAAAAAGTAGTGTTTTAGGCAGAAGAAAATTAAGAAAGCAAAGATAAAAAAAAAAAGAAAAAGATATAAAAAAGCATGTTTGAAAGGACAAAAATATCAATCCAGTTAAAAGAGAATTATGTAAAACCACAGTTGAATAAAAGGATGAAAAGGTAGTAGCGGGTCAAATCTACAGGACGTGTTGAAACAAATTCCCTAATTAAGCATTACAACAGAATTAAACTTCATTTTTACAAATGCATTATCTTCATGAAATAAGACTGCCCATCCACGAATTTGAATGCACTAATGCTTTTCAGCTAAGGAAAAAAGTCTAGTACATACCTGGTACAAAAATATGTCAATGCTGGGCTGAATTCAAATAACTGATTTTTTTTCTATGTCTTTATAATCATAGACTTACGTCCAAAGAGATGGGAGGAAAAAAACCTGAACCTACATCCCTATTACTGAAACCATGCCAGCTACTCAATCATAAGGGAGAAGCAGAACTCACGATCTTTTCCATAGGATGATGTGAAATAAGAAAGCCCTGTCAGAAAAATTCCCCTTGTGTTGCCAAGACTGACAAAAAATAAAAATAAAAAAGGCTCCAGTTGGACTTTTAAATGTAGTGGGTTTTTTTTATCTTTAATTCCATTATTTAAAGTCCAGGTTAGAACTTGGGAAAATGTTCAATTAGACCACCACTACCATCCGAAAGCTATTAATAGGAACTTAAAACCTCTGAGGTTCTTAACAGTTTTAGGATAGTGGTGGTCTGCACAACTCAAAACTACCATTTCCCACTTAAATTAGAGAGCTAAGTTTCACCCATCTAGTAAACAGGGGACCTACCAGATTCTACAAATGTTAACTGATAATGACATCACTCTCAAATGCTGTTTCAGCAGGACAGAGTGGGCCCTTCCTCTTCCCCCTACCTCACCATAGTAGCACCCTACGGCCGGCACCAAAGGAAAAGAAAAAAAAAAGTATATGGAGAAGGAAGTTATGGCAGCTCCATTTCCTCAGTCCTCAAACCATCAAAATATGTGAGGACATTAAAAAAAAAAAGCACTCCATAAAAGTGGGAGTAGAGTGAGAGGTTACCATGAAACCAGGCAAACTCTTGATACACTTACATTTGTAAAACTTAAGCTGAAAGGAAACTGAATCTAGCCGAAAATTATCATTTTACACATCAAGAAACTGAGGCCCAGGGCAGTTAGGTGATTTGCCCTGGGCGACTATTCCTCTAAGGTGTTAAGTGTCTGTCACCAGTCAGAGTAGCACTTAATGACTTACTCAGTTACTTAAATGTTTATGACCTTAAGTACCTGTCTTGCAAAAAACACCACCGCCACCTCTTCTGCACCCATTCAGTGTCTTGCTTCAGGATCTAGATAGAGAATGCTGGATAAACCTCAAATGAATATTATTTCTCCCTTCAGCCACAACTGTCCCAAATTACTCTTCTTCCTTTATCTACTTTTAAATAAAGTGGAAACCTTAACGTGCCTGAATTTCCCAGGTTCTGACTAAACAAGTGGATCATCAAAACTTCAAAATTTAGGATAGAATATTAAGTGGAGCATGCATATTACTGCTTTGGCAGTTGCCCTTTCTTTTGTATTAACGTTTCAGTCCAGGTTTTTCGAAAAGCAAGTAATTATTACACACGCACAGTTAACATTCAAATTATCACTTTTGAGATATTTTCCTTAGACAATTTAGCATATCTCTTCTATCTTAAAAATTAAAGTATCCTACCCACCACGAGTTAATTTTTTTTAACAAAAACATCTAAAATAACCCTCGACAAAGCCAAAGTATATTAAACCACAAAATGAAAAAGTGGTAAGTAAAAGTCTCACCAGCTAAAAAGCACTTCGAGTACCAACAGCCTTCCCCGGCTCGCTGTTAACCGTCAAACCGTCAAAGCATTTGTGGAGGAACCTGGGGCAAAGTTCCGCGCCGGGTTCTCCAGCTGTGGGTTCATCAGCTTAGCCCACCACTCCCACGTAACACCAGTTTGGGGAAATGCAAACACGCCACATGTGCCCACATGTGCATGTTTTGATCATGTTTAACCACTTTTAACCGCCGTAGGTACGTAATCAGCTCCCGCGGCAAAGGTTTAAGAAAAAAAAAAAAAAAGCCTTGTGCATGCATCTTACCCCCACTTAAACCACCACCACCAGATGAACCGAGGCGAATTAAACCATTTTGAACGTTAACGCCGCTGCACAAAGCGGTATGAAAGGGTTCTCTGCCTTTCTGAAACGCCGGGCAAAAGTCCCTCAGCAAGTTTCAAAACTAATGACCGTACAGCGCTGCACAAATAACAAAAGCTTAATACCAACCACCAGGCCGTCAACCCGCTCACGTTACCACTGCCCAGAAGGCTTTTAAAAACAAGCATTGAAAAGGGAACAATAAAAAGCGTCTCACCGCAAACACAGCACGAAAGGGACTGTCGGAAGTAAGGCAAGAGCCTGTTAATCTCAGTAAACGCCTTGGGGTCTCCGGGGTCGTAGTTGAGCACTAGGCGGCTCGCGGAAATGTAGAGAGCAGTAGCATTCACGGGGTTCATTGCAGACACTTCGACACCAATGGCTCCCGGTTGAAAAGAAATTCCGGATCCAACTTAGTAAGCAGCCAGGGAACGATGGCGAATTTGCAACAATTCGGAAGAAATCAGAGCCGAACCATTGGCCAAACAAGTAACCAAAATCCGTGCAAGTTTGTGGAGCTGAAACAATCCTCCCACACATGGGGCCTTGGCGCCCCTCCGTCCCTGAGACTTCCAGACCAAAAATATGAGAGAGAAACCAGCGTTCGAGTTCGTCCGGAGCGACCACAGAGCGCAGAACGCGGCGGCTTGGGCGCTCGGGGCGGGACTCGGAGCTCAGTCTAGCCCCGCGGCTCGGCAGGCGGCCTGCACTCGAGCTCCATCTCCGGACACGGAGGCGCCTCCTCAAGTCGAGCTGGCAGGCGCGGGAGCAGGCCCCGGCCCCGTCTGAGGCGCGGCACGCTTCTCCCGGGCTGCAGGGCCTCTTACTCCATCCCAGTACAGGGCGCGGAGGCGGCGGCGACGGCAAGGACGACGGTCGGGCAGCGGCTTCCCGGATCTAGTGCAAGACGCCGCGGCGGCGACGAAGGTTGATGTTGCGGCTGGCGGACGCCGCCGCCGCGCTCTCCATATCGGACGCGGGGCCCAGACTGCGCCCTGGCTCTCCGCCCCGTGGGTTGCAGCCCGCAGTTCCCCGAGGTGGCGAGGCGGGCGGGAGTCCTCAACCCGGAGGGGAAGGCCGGGGAGGAAGTGCGCGGGCCGCCGCCGGCGGGCGGGAGGGGGCGGGGGGCAAGCCCGGCCGGGCCGCGGCGGCGCCCCTCGCGCCTCAGTCGCACACTCCGGGGTCACCAGACTCAAGCGCCGCCCCCTCACTGCCCGGCCATTTTTTCGGCGCCACACACACAGACGACTCCTCCGCCGAGCACGACGGCCGCCGCCGCCCTCAGCACTCCCCGGCCGCGGAAGGCAAGCGCTCACACCGCCAGGCCCCGCCGCCGCCCAGCGCACACAGCAAGGCCCCGCCGCAGGCCCCTCCCCCGTGCCTCGCCGCCCTCACCCCGACTCCACGCGCCACTCCAGCTCGGTAGGGCCCGGGCTGCTGCGGCCTTAATGGATCCCGCGGGCTGTGTGGCGCCTCAGGCCTCTGCTGGCGGCGACGACGACCGTTACCCCAACGGGCAAAGCCACTGTCATCCCCGAGACTCCCCCGCCGCCGTCGTCGCTAGCGCTCGCACGCATGCGCAGAGCACACTCTCACCCCTCCCCCCTTTCCTCTCCCTTCGCTTCCCTTTTCCCTTGCTTCTCCTCTAACAACCCCCTCCACAGCCTCCCAGAGCTACCGGCTCACTCCACGCATGCGCAAGCTGCTACCTAGCTCCGCCGCCTTTCGCCCTTCCGCGTGCGCTTTGACCGCCCACCCAGAAAACCGGATAAACACATCAGCCTGCTCGCGCCAGTCCCTCACCGCTGCCAACCCACCCTGGGCTCACTGCGCATGCCTGGCTCTCCACTTCGACTCTCAGAATGGAGCATGCTCTCTGCGAGCCGACAGCTCTCTTCGCCCCTCCCCCACGTGCTCTCAAATTCCCTCTCCCAGGCATGTGGGCTGTGGTGAAACATTCGTTAGCTGGCACATCCTTCCCCAGTGTGGGCTGCAGGCTTCCCGCATTACACTGCTTCTGTGCCCGCCAACGCCGGGGCCCGACTTGGTAGCGCCATGTGGCGCTCTGCACTGGCCTGAACGCGGCCTCTCGTCCTGACTGACCGCGGTGTGAGGAAATAGCCGCGCCAGGCCCCAAGCCCCGCCCTCGCGGCCTTTCTCCTGGAACCGCTCATCCCGACCGCGGAAAGGGCGCAGCCTCGGCTGGCTGGCAGGCTCTCGCCGAGCCGGGAAGGCTGCAGTAGTCAACGTGGCTGCGCGCCCAGCAGGCGTGCGGACGGCTTTTGCCGGGTCGGGGCCGCGTTCCGCACCTCTCTGCGGTGGTTCGCAGTCAGAGGGCTCTAAGGCCCTGGCAGGCTGTATGTAAGCGTGGAGGCTCGAACCCACTGCCCCCTCCTACCCGTCGGACCCGCGCTGTTCCCACGGCCTCTGGCCCTTGGACTCGTGCGGCCTCACCTTCATGGGTGCCGATCAGGACTTCACCGAGCTCTCACCGGAACAGAGTCCTGTTTTAAAAACAAAACGAACTCCTTTTTTTTTTTTTTGAAAGACCTAGCTTTTTTAAAAGACCTAGCTCTTCTGTGTGAACAGATGTCTTGAAGAATGCGTGATCTTGCTCTAGAACAAACCCAAATCCTTGCAAATGTTTTGTTTTTTAAAACAAGCTTTTGCCTTTTGTTTTTGCAGGAGATCAAGGGCACTGGGATATAAATAAACAAAAGCCTGACTTAGTAGATGACTTCCCTCCCATCTCAAAGTACAAAACCTTTTTTTGAGTAGCACAAATAGTAACAGGCCATAGGAAGCATTTCTTATCTCTGTACACACCAAAGCTCCTCAGCATAATTTTTCATGCACAGTAGGTACTCTATACGTTTGCAAAGTGAAAATTATGATGCGTGTAAATCTATTGTGGCACATGTTACATATGTACACAGGCACGTATATGGAACATGTAAATGTGGTACGTGTTAGTTACAAGCTGCCACTTGAGGTGAGTAGGAATAGTTAAGATATCAAGGGAACACATATAATCTCGATTTATAATTTCTATTACCATTTGAAGACAGGTTTTTTTTTCACAAGACCTACCATATTATCAACACTTAAATATTAAGCAGTAAGAATATAACTTCCTAATTTTGATTAGCTGTGCAAACTGTATTTGGTTGTCTTATACGTGGAAAATGACAAATATTCTAAAAGCCACTCTCATTTTTAAAAGCTCTCTTTTTTTTTTTTTTTTTGCATAAGAGATCTTTTCTAAGCTCTCCTTCAAATAAAATTGTTACACGGTTCTATTTTTACTCCAGACTCTAAGGTCTTCTCCCACAACACAGAGGTGGTTCTCCCCAAAAGGAGCAACACAGAGTAAAATAATCAGCACTGTTTTCCGTTAAGACAATAAATTAGCAGTCACCCTAAGCAAGTGATTACTTGCAGGGCATTAACCTTGCTAATTTTCTCATAACTGGATTTTTACAAATGTCTTCAGATGTGTACACCCCAAATTAAGATTAATTCTGTTGATCATTCGTGTGCATGGACGTGAGAGAGAAAACGTGTGTTAAGCCAGTTCTTTTTTAGCTTCTGAAATTGGTTGCAACTGGTAATAAGAGTATTGTACTTAGAGGCAAAGAATCTTGAGGTATATTCTCTTCTAATATTTATTGGCTTGCTTGAGCCTTGCCTAAAAGGGAAACAAATGAATTGTTTACAGAAAATGAAGTGCTTCAGCAAAGAAACTATCAACAGGGTAAACAGACAACCTACAGAATAGGAGAAAATGTCTGCAAATTATGCATCCAACAAAGGTCCAACATTCAGAATCTATAAGGAACTTAAAAAAATCAACAAGCAAAAAACAACCCCATTAAAAAATGGGCAATGGACATGAACAGACACTTCTCAAAAGAAGACATAGGCCAGGTGCGGTGGCTTATGCCTGTAATCCCAACACTTTGGGAGGCCTAGGCAGGCAGATCACCTGAGGTCAAGAGGGCGAGACCAACCTGATCAACATGGTGAAACCGCATGTCTACTAAAAATACAAAAAAATTAGCCAGAAGTGGTGGCAGGTGCCTGTAATCCCAGCTACTCCAGAGGCTGAGGCAAGAGAATTGCTTGAACCTGGGAGGCAAAGGTTGCAGCGAGCCGAGATCGAGCCACTGCACTCTAGCATGGGCGACAGAGCAAGTGCCAAAAAAAAAAAAAAAAAAAAAAAAGAGACATACAAGCAGCCAATGAATGTATGAAAAAAATGCTTGGCCGGGCGTGATGGCTCACGCCTGTAATCCCATCACTTTGGGAGGCTGAGGTGGGCAGATCACAAGGTCAGGAGATCCAGACCATCCTGGCTAACAAGGTGAAACCCTTTCTCTACTAAAAAATACAAAAAAAAAAAAAAATAGCCAGGCGTGGTAGCACGTGCCTTCAGCTACTCGGGAGGCTGAAGCAGGAGAATCGCTTGAACCCCAGAGGCGGAGGTTTCAGTGAGCCGAGATCGCACCGCTGCACTCCAGCCTGGTGACAGAGCAAGAATCTGTCTCAAAAAAAAAAAAGAAAGAAAAGAAAAAAGAAAAAAATGCTCAACATCACTAATCATCAGAGAAATCCAAATCCAAACCACAGTGATATACCATCTCACCACACAGTCAGAATGGCAGTTATTAAGTCAAAAAATAACAGATGTTGGGGATGTTCCAGAGACAAGGGAATGTTTATACACTGCTGGTAGCACTGTAAATTAGTTCAGCCACTGTGGAAAGCAGTTTGGAGAATTCTCAAAGAACTTAGAACTACCATTTGACCCAGCAATCTCATTACTGGGTATATACCCAAAGGAATATAAATCGTTCTACCAAAAAGACATGCACTCATTTGCTCATCACAGCACTATTTACATAGCAAAGAAATGGAATCAAACTAAATGCCCACTGACAATGGGCTGAATAAAGAAAATGTGGTACATATACACCATGGAATACTATACAGCCATAAAAAAATTATGTCCTGGCCGGGCACTGTGGCTCACACCTGTAATCCCAGCACTTTGGGAGGCTGAGGTGGGCGGATCACCTGAGGTTGGGAGTTCGAGACCAGCCTGACCAACATGGAGAAACCCCGTCTCTACTAAAAATACAAAATTGGCCGGGCGCCGTGTCTCACACTTATAATCCCAGCACTTTGGGAGGCCGAGGTGGGCGGATTACCTGAGATCGGGAGTTTGACCAGCCTGACCAACATGGAGAAACCCCGTCTCTACTAAAAATACAAAATTAGCCGGGCATGGTGGTGCATGCCTGTAATCCCAGCTACTCGGGAGGCTGAGGCAGGAGAATCGCTTGAACTTGGGAGGCAGAGGTTGCGGTGAGCCGAGATCATGCCATTGCACTCCAGCCTGGGCAACAAGAGCTAAACTCCATCTCAAAAATAATAATAATAATAATAAATAAATAAATAAATAATAAAAATAAATAAAAATACAAAATTAGCTGGACGCAGTGGTGCATGCCTGTAATCCCAGCTACTCGGGAGGCTGAGGGAGGACAATTGCTTGAACATGAGAGGTGGAGGTTGCAGTGAGCCAAGATCACACCATTGCACTCCAGCCTGGGCAACAAGAGGGAAACTCTGTCTCAAAAAAAAAAAATGTCCTTTGCAGCAACATGGATGCAACTGGAGGCCATTATCTGAATTAACACAGGAACAGAAAACCAAATGCTGCATGTTCTCATTTATAAGTGGGAGCTAAACATTGAGTACACATGGACATAAAGATGGGAACAGTAGACACTAGAGCCTACTTTCTGGGGAAGGATGACAGGAGGGTGAAAGTCCAAACCTACCAGGGTTGGGCACGGTGGCTCACACCTGTAATCCCAGAAATTTGGGAGGCAGAGGCAGGGGAATCCCAGCACTTTGGGAGGCAGAGGCGGGGGAATCATTCGAGGTCAGGAGTTCAAAACCAGCCTGGCCAACATGGCGAAACCCCATCTCTAATAGTAATACAAAAAATTAGCAAGGCATGATGGCGCATGCCTGCAGTCCCAGCTACTGGGGAGGCTGAGGCAGGAGAATCACTTGAACCCAAGAGGCAGAGGTTGCAGTGAGCCGAGATTGCAACACTGCACTCCAACCTGGCCAACATAGTGAAACTCCGTCTCTACTAAAAATACAAAAATTAGCCAGGTGTGGCCAGGCGCAGTGGCTCACGCCTGTAATCCCAGCACTTTGGGGGGACGAGGCAGGTGGATCACAAGGTCAGGAGATCAAGACCACGGTGAAACCCCATCTCTACTAAAAATACAAAAAATTAGCCCAGCACGGTGGCGGGTGCCTGTAGTCCCAGCTACTCGGGAGACTGAGGCAGGAGAATGGCGTGAACCCAGGAGGCAGAGCTTGCAGTAAGCAGAGATTGCCCCACTGCACTCCAGCCTGGGCGACAGAGTGAGACTCCGTCTCAAAAAAAAGAAAAAAAAAATTAGCCAGGTGTGATGACACATTCCTGTGATCCCAGCTACTCCAGCCTAGGCTACACAGCCAGACTCCCTCTCAAAAAATAAATAAATAAAAAGTTGAAAACAATGGTAAAGGTGGTAAATTATATATGTATATTTTTCCTAAATAAAAAACCTCTGAAATAAATGCAGTTTGATTCTTTTTAAAAAAAAAACATTAAAAGTGCTTTAATTATTTAGGAAAAATCATATATAACTCAAATTCCTTTTTTTTTTTTTTGAGATAGTCTCACCTAGGCTGGAGTGCAGTGCTTACTGTGTCCTCAGCCTCCTGGGCTCAAGCAATCCTCCCACTTCAGCCTCCTGAGTAGCCGGAACTACAGGCACATACCACCATGCCCGGCTAATTTTTTTTTTTTTTTTGTATTTTTTGTAGAGACGGGAGTCTAACCATGTGGCCTAAGCTAAAGGGATCTGACTCCAGCCTCAGCCCCCCACAGTGCTGGGATTACAGGCATGAGCCACAGTGCCTGGCCTATAACTCAAATTTCTTTTTATTTTTATTCTTTTATGTTTAGTTCTGGGGTACATGTGCAGGATCTGCAGGTTTGTTACGTAGGTAAACGTGTGCCATGGTGGTTTGCTGCACCTATCAACCCATCACCTAGGTCTTAAGCCCAGCATACATTAGCTATTTTTTCCTAATACTCTCCCTTTCCCCACCCCCCCATCCCCGACAGGCTCCATCCAGTGTGTGTTGTTCCCCTCCCTGTGTCCATGTGTTCTCATTGTTCAGCTCCCACTTATAAGTGAGAACATGCAGTGTTTGGTTTTCTGTACCTCCGTTAGTTTGCTGAGGATAATGGCTTCCAGCTTCATCCATGTCCCTGCAAAGGACATGACCTCATTCCTTTTTATGGCTGCCTAGTATTTCATGGTGTATATGTACCACATTTTCTTTGTCCAGTCTGTGGGTATTTGATGGGCATTTGGGTTGATTCCATGTCCTTGCTATTGTGAATAGAGCTGCAATGAACATACACATGCATATATCTTTGTAATAGAATGATTTATATTCCTATGGGTATATACCCAGTAATGAGATTGCTGGGTCAAATGGTATTTCTGGTTCTAGATCTTTGAGGAATTGCCACGCTGTCTTCCACGATGGTTTAACTAATTTACATTCCCACCAACAGTGTAAAAGCACTCCTATTTCTCCGCAACCTCGCCAGCATCTATTGTTTCTTTACTTTTTAATAATGGTGTTCTGACTGGTGTGAGATAGTATCTCATTATGGTTTTGATTTGCATTTCTCTAATCAGCGATGTTGAGCTTTTCTTCATATGCTTGTTGGCTGCATGAATGTCTTCTTTTGAGAAGTGTCTGTTCATATCCTTTGAGCACTTTTTAATGGGGTTGTTTTTTTTTTTTGTAGATTTGTTTGAGTTCCTTGTAGACTCTGGATATTAGAGCTTTGTCAGATGGAAAGATTGTAAAAATATTCTCTCACTCTGTAGGTTGCCTGTAATTTTTTTTTTTTTTTTTTTTTTTGGAGAGATGGGAGTCTAGCCATGTTGTCTAAGCTGAAGCTATCCGCCCCCAGCCTCAGCCTCCCAAAGTGCTGCTGGGATGACAGGCATGAGCCACATATTTCTTAAACTATCAATTTAAGATAATGTCTTCCTTTTTTTTTTTTTCTGGAGACAGGGTCTTGCTCTGTCACCCAAGCGGGAGTGCAGTGGCAAGATCTGGGCTCACTGCAGCCTCTACCTCCTGGGCTCAGGTAGCTCAGCCTCCCAAGTAGCTGGGACTACAGGCACACACCACCACGAATTTTTAGTAGAGACAGGGTTTTGTTATGTTGCCCAGGCTGGTCTGAACTCCTGGTCTCAAGCTGTCTGCCTGCCTCAGCCTCCCAGAGTTCTGGGATTACAGGCGTGAACCACCGCACCCAGCCTGAAATTTAAATTTAACAGCATTCTTATTTTATCTGGTAACCTAAAGTGTGTATGCTTTCACTATAACCTTATGTTGTTTTCAATCTTGCCTTGGAAACTCTTGTGAATGGAGTTCTTTTCATTTCATCAACATGTGTTTACTAAGCCTCTGCTCTAGCAAAGCCCTGTACCAGAGTCTGGGAAGGTAAGACAGGCTCTGCCTTTAAGGTTAGAAGTCCTTTCTTACTCCTTTTTGTATTAACTAGAGAACTCAGCAAAATTTTTCAGTCATGGTTTCTCATTCAAGTCAACTCTTCTGGACTCATTTAGTTCAAGGGTCACCATATGAAGTAAGAGAAAATTAACCTGCTACTGGGTGTATAAATTGATAGAATATTTCTGAAGGACAACAGGCAATATTAAAAGCTTGTGAAGTTTACAGAGCCTCAAAACTAGCAGTTCCACATAAGTCTCTAATTGATCCTAAGTTAGAGATTCCCAAACTTTCTTGGTTCATGGTGCCTTTAGCATCTCAGTAATTTTTCACCACACCCTTAGGCCAAAAGAAATATGAAATAGTTTGTGTTTTGTTTTGTTTTCTTTTTGGGTTTTTTGTTTGTTTGTTTTTGAGATGGAGGCTAGTTCTGTTGCCCAGGCTGGAGTGCAATGGTGCGATCTTGGCTGACTGCAACCTCCACCTCTCGGGTTCAAGTGATTCTCCTGCCTTGGCCTCCCGATAGCTGGGATGACAGGCACCTGCCACCTCGCCCAGCTAATTTTTGTATTTTTAGTGAAGACGGGGTTTCTAGTAGAGACTGTGTTGGCCAGGCTGGTCTCAAACTCCTGACCTCATGTGATCTGCCCGCCTCGGCCTCCCAAAATGCTGGGATTACAACCGTGAGCTACCATACCCGGCCTGAAAGAGTTTTTTAAGTAGTTAGGTCCAAACAACTTAATGAGTATTTATGCCCTAACATGGTAGCTATTTGAAAAAGTAGGCCAGGCACGGTGGCTCAAACCTGTAATTCCAGCACTTTAGGAGGCCGAGGTGGGAGGATTTCTTGAGGTCAGGAGTTCGAGATCAGCCTGGCCAACATGGTGAAACCCCGTCTCTACTAAAAACACAAAAATTAGCTGGGCGTGGTGGCACGCGTCTGTAGTCCCAGCTATTTGGGAGGCTGAGACAGGAGAATCGCTTGAACCCAGGAGGCAAAGGTTGCAGACAGCCGAGATCGTGCCACTGCACTCCAGCCTGGTGACAGAGCAAGACTCTGTCTCAAAAAAAAAAAAAATCAGATTGGACATCACCCTCATTTCCCAGATCACATGGATTTTTGTGCAATGCTTTATTTTTGTCACAGCACCAGCAAAAACCCAGCTTTGCAAAGATATAACCTCATTGAAAGGAATGTAAGGTGATCTAATGTTGAAACTGTAATTTTTACAGTAACCAACAAATGTCAAATATTTTCCTCACAAGGTTGAAATATCCTGCGGCTTCTCTATGAGTTCTCTGTGGCACCTGGGGGTACGTTAGTGCACTCTTTGGGAACCAGAGATCTAAGACAATAGGATAATCTAGGATTATGAAGAGATTTTTACGGTTTTTTTTGTTTGTTTTTTGTTTTTTGTTTTTTCTGAGACGGAGTCTCGCTCTGTTGCCCAGGCTGGAGTGCAGTGGCCCAATCTCGGCTCACTGCAATCTCTGCCTCCCGGGTTAATGCCATTCTCCTACCTCAGCCTCTCAAGTAGCTGGGACTACAGGCGCCTGCCACCACGCCCGTCTAATTTTTTGTATTTTTAGTAGAGACGGGGTTTCACCGTGTTAGCCAGGATAGTCTCAATCTCCTGACCTCGTCATCTGCCCGCCTCAGCCTCCCAAAGTGCTGGGATTACAGGCGTGAGCACAGCGCCTGGCCAGAGATTTTTATATAATAATCATTGCAGTTGTTTATACTATTTTAAAAAGAACCAATCCAAATTTCCAGATTGAAAACAACCTATATTATGGATATATCTACATAGTAGAATATTATATAGCTATTAGGAATGATGTAAAAAATTAAAATGATATAAAAATGTATTTATTGACAGGGGAAGATATTCATAATATATTAATTTTTTTAAACCCTGATTAACAGAACAATTTTGGAAAAACTAAATATCCATGCATGGTAAAAAGATGACTATAAAGACATACACCAAAATATTATTTTTTTCTGGATAGTGGGATTGTGGAAAATACTTGTTTTTCTTATTGTCTGTATACCCATTTTGAATTAAAGCTTCCCTCTTCTATTCTCCAATATTGCCAAGTGCTTACCTCTTTCTTTTCTTTTTTGAAGGCAGTTTTATAATTTTATTCGATGTATTTGACGATCAGCGATTAGTTCTCATCCACGTTGAGTCTACAGATTTTTGAAGGTGGTAACAGGTATATAGGTAACCAAAGTATAGAAATTATTTGGTGAATCTTCATCCTCATTACGTTTTCTGGACAACAGCACACAGATTCAGTATGGAACATTCCTTGTTCCTTTGGCCCAGACAGCTTTGTTGAGCCTGGTATCAATGTGCACATCTGGAGTTCCCATCTCCTTCATGGCACATTTCCGAATCTCTTTGAGTGCCCTAGGGGCACACTTCTGGAAGCCCGCTCCATAGATGTGGTTGTGAATGTTGATGGTGTATGCTCGGGTCACTACCTCGTTGATAGCAGAACGGCCTTTTTTCTTCTCGCCACCCTTCTTTGTGGAAGCCATTCTGCCAGGTCCAAGTTGATAAAAAGCGTGTTTACCTCTTTTGTTGCACTACCACACTATGCTGCAGTTGTTGGTTTAGCCCTGTTTCCTCCCCATTATATTTCTATAACTCTTAGGAGGTCAGTTTTCTCCCTCTTTGCCTCTTATCCTCATTGCTTAGCATAAGGTCTGACATATAATAGGAATTCAATAATTGTTAAAATAATGATTAATGTGACAATATAAGTAAATTCACTAGTATAGTGTGTAGTACCTAATAGGCATGGAAAATTGTTTGCTTTTTCCTTGGGGAGAGATATAAAATGCCTTACAAATTTGAAGCCAGTTCTTGTTTCAGCTTGATCAAATCAATGTTAATTATAAGGTCCTTAATAAAACCAAAAGTGTGAATTGATTTGAAACACTCAGAATATCAATCATCAAGTATTTATTGTATGCACTCTAGCACTTTGGAGACAATGAAGTAAATACAGAAATAGTTGTAGTTATGTTTTCAAAGAACAAAGATCAGGCAAGCAGTCAGAGAGACTTTCTGACGGGTTAGATTGTTTACAAAATAGCTAATTTTTGTCTTCCTTTCCCTTCCTCTTTCACCCTCCTTCCTCTGTCCCCTCCTTTATCTTCCTCCACCAAAAACTCTCTGTAGAGATGATGTTCCCTCTCCCACTTTCTCAAGTTGCATTCTCCCTCATTGCTTATTATTTCTATCCCATCGTTTTCACCATTATACACATCCCTACCAGATTTTAACAAATGCCTGGCCGGGCACCATGGCTTATGCCTGTAATCCTAGCACTTTGGGAGGCCAAGGTGGGTGGATCACCTGAGCTCAGGAGTTCGAGACCAGTCTGGGCAACATGGCAAAACCCCGTCTCCACCAAAAATACAAAAAAATTAGCTGGGTGTGCTGGTGCACACCTGTGGTCCCAGCTACCTAGGAGGCTGAGGTGGGATGATTGCTTGAGCCTGGGAGGAGGAGGTTGCAGTGAGCTGAGATGTCACCACTATACGCCAACCCAGGTGACAGAGTGAGACCCTGTCTCAAAAACAAAAGCCACAAATGCTTAATCTACTGTCATTGTGGAAACCAATAAATCTAATTAAACACAATCTATGGGAAAGTAAAAATAGCATAATCTAAACTCATGAAAAATCTTCAGAGATTGGCCAGGGTAGTACTTCTTTATAGGGAGCAGTAAACCAGATGAAATTAAACTAGGCTGTAATTCAGACTGATACTTCTGTTCTTTCCTGATCATTCCTTTCTGACCATTACCAAACTTCCTCTTCCATCCTCTGCTCTTAGCTGTGGTCATAGCTCTCCCCTCCTCAGTCCTAGAGCTCCCAAGAACCACCTCCCTTCCCCCTCCAAGCAATTCCTGCTGATATTTTTTCCATAACATTTTCCAAATCAATGTATCTCTCCATTGATTTAATCCAAAAACATGTATTTAGCAAGTCAAGCACTCATTTATTTTACACCTCAAATATTAAATTTTTTTTTTATCTTCTTCATCTCTAACTCCAGCCTTAACAAAGCAGCTTGCTTTATTGGTCATCTACCTAAGACAGTGCCAAACGCATTAAGGGATCCACTAAATGTTACTGTTTTTATTCCCCAAGACACTTTCAACAGTATTCAAATGCCTATTAAATTTGTCCATTCATTTATGCAACCAACGTTTATTGCCAGTTATATGCCAGGCATTCAGAATACAAAAATGAATAATTCAACAGTTTCTAGCCCTCAAAGAGTTCACAGTCTAGTTGGGGTGGCAGCTATGTACACGGCTAATTTATAATTCAGAGTAGTAAGGATTTAGGGATCTACTTGACGCAAATCTAAAATGTCTTAGCAGATATGGCTGTTACATTATGAGTTAAACAAGCTTGTGTGGACTTTCCTGAGAAAAATAACTGCAATTATTCATGGCATTGTTTCTAAGGGAAAATGTGTTCTGCATTCCAAACAGTCAATTTAAAATTGAATTTTTGGAATACAGCCCATTTTCCCCTGGGGGCTATTTCTCCATTATCTAAGAATCCCTCTCTGTCTTAGGACAGTTTTCATACACAACTCCCACCTGTTCTACATAGCATATGGTACTACCTGCAGGTTGCATAGTTTCATGGTCATCACCTTCCTCACCTGGGCTCTGCACTACATGTTTAAGATAGTCCTCTGATCAAGCAGGTTGAGTTAAGCAGGTAGGACTGAAGTAGCCCCAAATCTGACTGTTTTAACATTTCACTATTAGAGAAGGTAGTGAGGAAGAGTCCATCAAGTAAGTGATGAAAGTTTGGAATTGCTGCTCTGTGAAAGGGAGAGGGAGTTGATTAAGGACATTAAAAAAGATTACTCATGCGTGTAATCCCAGCATTTTGGGGGCCAAGACGGGCGGATCACGAGGTCAGGAGATTGAAACCATCCTGGCTAACACGGTGAAACCCCATCTCTACTAAAAATACAAAAAAAAAATTAGCCAGGCGTGGTGGCAGGAGCCTGTAGTCCCAGCTACTCGGGAGGCTGAGGCAGGAGAATGGCGTGAACCCGAGAGATGGAGGTTGCAGTGAGCCAAGATCGTGCCACTGTACTCCAGCCTGGGTGACAGAGCGAGACTCTGTCTCAAAAAAAAAAAAAAAAAGATCGCAGGAGTGTTTTAAAAGGGTGCATCTCTTAGATAAAACAGGATTCCCAAAGATATCTAACTATAGAGTCTTAGACAATAAAGGTTTAAAAATGGTCTTTGCAATTCCAAGACAGACTAAGCTAGGAATGAGGTGTTTGTTTGTTTGTTTGTTTGTTTGTTTGTTTGTTTTTGAGACAGGGTCTTGCTCTGTCACCCAAGCTAGAGTGCAGTGGTACGATCAGTCTCACTGCAGCCTCAATCTCCCAGGATCAATGGGTCCTCCCTGCCTCAGCCTCTCAAGTAGCTGAGACTACAGGCGCATGCCACCATGACTAATTTTTGTATTTTTGGTAGACACAGAGTTTTGCCATGTTGCCCAGCCTGGTCTTGAAATCCTGGGCTCAGGCAATCTGCCCACCTTGGGCTCCCAAAGGGCTGGGATTACAGGTGTGAGCCACCATGCCCAGCTGGAATGAAGATTTCTAACCTGAAGTTGAACAAGCTAGACTTTTTGAGCCCTTGTTATTCCTGAGCTTTGAGAGGGAGCATGGGGCAGTGGAATAGCATGAACAAAGCTTTATTTCAATACTTACTGTGTAGATTTGGGAAAAATTATTCAAGTTCTCTGAGCCTTAGTTTTCTTATCTATAAAATGGAGATAATAATAATACCTTGAAGCTGGGCACAGTGGCTCATACCTATAATGCCAGTACTTTGGGAGGCCGAGGTGAGTGGATCACTTGAGTCCAGGAGTTCAAGACCAGCCCAGGCAACATGGTGAAACCCCATTTCTACTAAAAATACAAAAATTGGCCAGGTGTGGTGGCAGGCACCTGTAATCCCAGCTACTTGGGAGGCTGAGGCAGGAAAATCGCTTGAACCTGGGAGGCGGAGGCTGCAGTGAGTCGAGATTGTGCTGTTGTACTCCAGCCTGGGCAACAAGAGCGAAACTCGGTCTCAAAAAAAAAAAAATTATCTGGGCGTGGTGGCACAAACTTAGGAGGCTGAGGTGGGAGGATCATCTGAGCCTGAGAGGTCAAGGCTGCAGTGAGCCATGATCATGCCACTGAGCTGAAGCCTGGGCAACTGAGTGAGATCCTGTCTAAAATAAAAATTAAATATATTAACTCATTTAATATGCTCAACAACACTATGAAGTAAGTACTATTATTATTATCCCCATTTCACACATGAGGAAACTGAGGCACATAGGTCTAATAATTTGTTCAAGGTCACACAGCTAACATAAGGTAAGAATTGAATCCAGGCAGTCTGGTTCCAGAATCGCTACTCTTAACACTATTCTATAAATTCACAAAGGGAGGGAACTCAGTAGGAAAAATAGGTTTGGAGGGAAATTATGAATATAGGTTTTGGACAGGTACAGTGTGAAGTGGCTATGGGACATCCAAATTAAATGTCCAATAGGCAGTTGGATAAATGAATCTGGCATCCTGGGTATAGGGGTGAGGGATTTGATTTGAAGGTATAGACTTGGGAGTCAGCAGCATATGGCAATAGAAACTATGGGAGTGATAGAAATTACCCAGGAGGAGTAAGAAGAGAAGAATGCTAAGAATGAAGTTGTGATGACCACCAATATTTAAACAAAGTGCAGAGGGAAAGGATCCCACAAAAGAGAATCAGAAGGAGAGGTAGGCAGCAAACTGGAAAGATGTTTCATTTTCAGTGAGGTAATGTGTGTAAATAATTTAGCATAATAACCAGCAGACAATAGGCATCCCAAATGGTAACTTCTTTTACCATTAAAGTCTCATTTGAAGGTTATAGTCCTTAACTGTGCTGTGGGGCTTTCCTGAACCTTTTCCACATCCCCACATTGTTTTTTTTTGTTTTTGTTTTTGTTTTTTTAGATGAAGTCTTGCTCTGTCGCCAGGCTGGAGTGCAGGGGCGCAATCTCGGCTCACTCCAACCTCCACATCCCGGGTTCAAGCAATTCTCCTGCCTCAGCCTCCAGAGTAGCTGGGATTACAGGCACATGCCACCATGCCCAGCTAACTTTTGTATTTTTGGTAGAGACAGGGTTTCACCATGTTGGCCAGGCTGGTCTCGAGCTCCTGACCCCAGGTGATCTACCCACCTTGGCCTCCCAAAGTGTTGGGATTACAGGCATGAGCCACCGTGCCCGGCTGCCTTCCAATTCTTAGCAGAGGACTTTACCTCTTTCTTTACCTCCAAGGAGAAAATAAAGATCTCCTTCTTTTCTACATCAAAATATTCCACAATTCCCCTTCCTGTCATTCTTTTCTCTGTTTCTGGTTTCCTCCAGGAATTTGCTCCATGGTTTTCCCAAGTCCTACTTCTTCAGCATCCGGTGGTATAGTGGTGAGCATAGAAACTTTCCAGGTCTTAACGTCTTCAGCCTTCTGTCCCTCACTACTATCTTCCCCAGTTCTGCCCAGCTATGCTGTATGCTCCCAAATCCATCTTTCAGTCCACATCTGTCCTGTTTTGTGATCTGTCAATCTTTTGCAAGAATTAAACCTTATTTTGATTTTTAATTAACTATTTCTTAGTCTCTTAAAATCAGATTTCTCTCCCCACAACTCTACTGAAACGATATTCTTCAAAACTACAGAGGAACTGGGCATAGTGGAGCTTGGCGGTGGGTGGCGCAACCTCCCAGCACTTTGGGAGGTCAAGGTGGGTGGATCCCTTGAGCCCAGGAGTTCGAGACCAGCCTGGGCAACATGGCAAAACCCTGCCTCAGTTTAAAAAAATAAAAATAAACCACAGAAGGCCCCCAGTGTTTGACTTTTTAAAATTATCCAATGACTATTTTGAACATTGCTGTATTAAATTGCCCTTTCTTGTCCCTATGTTATGTCTTGGGCAGATTCCATAACTTTGGTTATTTTTAGTTAATAAAATATAGTCTAATTTAAAACTTTGAATCAGAATTGGATTTAGCCGAAATCAGAGAGAACCTAAAATAACAATGCTAAAGCAAAATAGAAATTGGCTTATTCTATGTAAAAAAGAAAGTCTGGAAGAAAGCCATGCACAGTTAGTATGGCAGTTCCACTGTTATCAGGGATCCAGGCTCTGTCTTCATACTCTACCATCCAAATATATACCTTCTACCTTCAAGGTTATCTAATAGTCCAAGATGGCTCCTGAAGCTTCAGCATTTCACATTTCAACTAACAGCAAGGCAAAACGGGAACACAAGGGCCCACCTCCCAGCTGAGTCAGCACCTTCTAACCAGCCTCCAGTTTTAAGCAGCCCACATAACACTTTTCTTACATTTCTTTGGCCATAATTTAGTCACATTGCCATGCTCAGTTGGAAGGGAATCAGAAAAGTAGTCTTTTAGTGGGTTTGTGAACATGACAAATTCACGTTTTGTTGTTGCTGTTGTTGTTTTCTTTTGTTTTTTTTGAGACAGAGTCTTGCTCTGTCGCCCAGGCTGGAGTGCAGTGGCATGATCTCAGCTCACTGCAAACTCTGCCTCCCAGGTTCAAGCAATTCTCTGCCTCAGCCTCCTGAGTAGCTGGGATTACAGGTGTCCACCGCGACACCCAGCTAATTTTTGTGCTTTTAGTAGAAACGGGGTTTCGCCGTATTGGCCAGGCTGGTCTCGAACTCCTGACCTCGTGATCCACCCACCTCGGCCTCCCAAAGTGCTGGGATTACAGGCGTGAGCCACCGCGCCCAGCCAGAAGTTCTGTTATTAAGGAACAAGGAGGGAATAGACTTTGGGTGGCAACTAGCAATTTCAGCCACAAACTAAACACTTTAAAACATTTAAAAATCTCAACTCTTCCTTTCCCTGTCATTCTTGAAGATCTAGCTTCTCTGGTGTGTTGGTGAAACAGAAGAGAAAACAGGACAAGGGCGGTGGTGCTCTCAGGTCCAGACCAGAAGAGGCAGCTCTGGCCATGCTTCCCTATCTGCCAGGTAGAGGGGTCCACAGAGTAAAGAAAATTTGCCCCAGAGCCTAATAAGTAGCCAAGGGACAGCACTGGTAATAGAGATTATATGTTTGGGTTGGGATGTACATGTTAGGATCCTTAACATATGAGAAAGAGCCAAAGGTAGGAAGAGAAAGGAGGTGGGCCAGCAGCCATGGTTGGGGGACCAATTCTACCTGTGCTGCTGCATTCTGGTATGAAACTCCAAGGATCGGGCTGGGCATGGTGGCTCACACCTGTAATCCCAGCACTTTGGGAGGCCAAAGCTGGTGGATCATCAAGTCAGGAGTTCGAAACCAGCCTGGCCAACATGGTGAAACCTCTACTAAGAATACAAAATACTAAAAATACAAAAATTAGCCAGGCATGGTGGCGTGCACCTGTAGTCCCAGCTACTCAGGAGGCTGAGGCAGGAGAATCGCTTGAACCCAGGAGGCAGAGGTTGCAGTGAGCCGAGACTGTTGCACCATTGTACTCCAGCCTGGGGCAATGGCACTCCAGCCTGGGGCAACAGAGCAAGACACCATCTCAAAAAAAAAAGAAAAAAAGAAAAAGAAAAGAAACTCCAAGGATTTCAAAAATTCTAAATTCAAATCTGGCCTTCCATATTGTTTTGAAACTATATTTGTTCGTTTGTGCTTTTTTGTGTTTGTTTTTGAGGCAGAGTCTTGCTCTGTCACCCTGGCAGGAGTGCAGTGGTGAAATCTCAGCTCACTGAAACCTCCACCTCTGGGGCTCAAGCGAGTCTCCTGCCTCAGCCTCCCGAGTAGCTGGGATTACAGCCATGCACCACCATGCCCAGCTAATTTTTGTATTTTTAGTAGAGAGGAGGGTTTCACCTTATTGGCCAGGCTGGTCTCTAACTCTTGATCTCAAATGATCCATACACCTCAGCCTCCAAAAGTGCTGGGATTACAGGCGTGAGCCACTGTGCCTGGCCTTGAAAATATATTTGTCAAAGCAGAAGGATAAACCTATTTTATTTAAAAGTTTGTTAGTTTGATCAATAATGTGCAAATATTTAGACATATGGTACGTAGGTCACCATTTGTACTTATGCCCTGGGCCCTGCAAATATTCAGAGTGGACCTGGACATGCATCTGTCCAACTGGGAAGGGCCGCAGTTCTGTTTCTGATGGTTGCCACTGTTTCTCTGACCAACTGTCAACTGAAGTTCTGAATAGATGGCAACCAAGTGCAGGGTCTCTCTTGGAGTGCATGTTTGCATTTTTCTAGACCACTTCTGTGTGTCCACTCCACTGCACAGTCCCATGATATGGAAGAATATCTCCGCCTTAACCACTTCCAGAGCCTCTTTCATTCATACTCCCAGCATTCAATCCGCAGCTTCTTGCTGCTAGGACCTCCTTGCCTGGTGATACCTCGCTATAAGGAGTATTGCCAAGATGGCTCACATCCCAGCTATTTTTCTCAGGTCCCCCAGAACAGGACACACTCATCTTTGCTACAGTGGGAGTTTAGTTTTCTCCACAGCCCACCACCAACCCCCATCTGCCATCTCCGGTTCCTTTTCCTTTGCTCAGATCAAGTTCCCAGCCCAATAATACATTCAATCAGAAAACCACTCTTCCCTTCCTGCTCTCCTGCAGCTCCAATCCCACTTGGCACTGGAAATAGAGGAAAAGCACAGCGTCCTTGGGAGGGGAACAAGAAGCCTCTGGCCATAAATGCACAACCAGAAGACTGGACTCTCATGCTCCACTTCTCTGTTTTTCTATGAACTAGGAAGAGTGTTGAGGTGGTGGCAGGTGATGGCAGGGCTGGTTTTGTTGCCTCTTAGTCCTGAAGAAGGTGTTGAGGATACTTAGAGCTTAATTGTCTGCAGTTATAGGCCCAAAGCACCAATTGTGGAACAAAGGAAAGGTATCATTCAACAATATCAACCTACTTTACAAAATCTTAACCCTTATTCTTCTTAACTGTTCTAAAAAAACTTCCTGTTATTCATCACATCTTTCTTTCTAAAACATTCTTCCCTTACAGGGCATGATGGCTCACACCTGTAATCCCAGTACTTTGGGAGGCCAAGATGGGTGGATCACTTGAGGCCAGGAGTTTGAGACCAGCCTGGCCAACGTGGTAAAATACCATATCTATTAAAAATACAAAAATTAGGCCAAGCACGGTGGCTCACGCCTGTAATCCCAACACTTTGGGAGGCCGAGGTAGGGGAATCACTTGAGGTCAGGAGTTCTAGACCAGCCCTGGTGAAACCCCGTCTCTACTAAAAATACAAAAAATTAGCCGGGTGAGGTGGCAGACGCCTGTAGTCCCAGCTACTCGGGAGGCTGAGGCAGGAGAATTGCTTGAACCCTGGAGGTGGAGGTTGCAGTGAACCGAGATCACACCACTGCACTCCAGCCTGGGTGACAGAGTGAGACTGCGTCTCAAAAAAAAAAAAAAAACAAAACAAAAATTAACCAGGCTTGACTGGCATGCGCCTGTAGTCCCAGCTACTTGGGAGGCTGAGTCACGAGAATCACTTGAACCCAGGAGGCAGAGGTTGCAGTGAGCTGAGATCTCACCACTGCACTCCAGCCTGGGCAACAGAGCGATACTCCATCTCAAAAAAAATAAAATTAAAACATTCTTCCTCATTGTTCTGTGATTCTGTAGTGTCCAAGTTATCCTATTTCTGTGTATTCTCTTTCTCTCTTTCATTTGCTGCTGATTCCCTCTCATATCAATTTGATATTATTTTTAGTAGAGAGGGGTCTCCCTATGTTACCCACACTGGTCTCAAACTCCTGGGCTAAAGTGATCCCCCCACCTTGGCCTCCCAAAGTCCTGAGATTACAGGCCTGAATCACCATGCCCAGCCTTCAATTTGATTTTTTTTTTTTTTTTGAGACGGAGTCTCCCTCTGTTGCCCAGGCTGGAATGCAGTGGCAAGATCTCAGCTCACTGCAACCTCTGCCTCCCAGGTTCAAGTGATTCTCCTGCCTCAGCCTCCCGAGTAGCTGGGACTATAGGCAGGCACCACCACGCCCAGCTAATTTTTGTATTTTTAGTAGAAACTGCATTTTGCCATGTTGGCCAGGCTGGTTTCAAACTCCTGACCTCAAGTGATCCATCTGCCTCTGCCTCCCAAAGTGCTGGGATTATAGGCATGAGCCAATGCGCCCAGCCTTCAATTTGATATTAATACTCCTAAATTGAAATCAGCTATTTACATCCGTCTCACTTATTAAACTGTTAGGTTTTTTTGAAGGTCTGATGTATTCATTCATTTAGTTTTGAAGGAATGAATGAATGATTGTATTAATTCAGGCCACAGGGATTTTTTTGTTTGTTTGTTTGTTTGTTTGTTTTTGAGGCAGAGACTAGCTCTATCAGCCAGGCTGGAGTGCAGTGACGCAATCTTGGCTCACTGCAATCTCTGCCTCATGGGTACAAGTGATTCCCCTGCCTCAGCCTCCTGAGTAACTGGGATTACAGGCGCATGCCACCAAGCCAGACTAATTTTTGTATTTTTTTTTTTTTTTTGAGATGGAGTCTCACTCTGTTGCCCCAGGCTGGAGTACAGTGGCGTGATCTCGGCTCACTGCAACCTCCACCTCCAGGGTTCAAGCGATTCTCCTGCCTCAGCCTCCTGAGTAGCTGGGACTACAGGCCTGCGTCACCACACTCAGCTAATTTTGTATTTTTAGTAGAGATGGGGTTTCACCATGTTGGCCAGGCTGGTCTCGAACTCCTGACCTCAAGTGATCCACCCACCTCAGCCACCCAAAGTTCTGGGATTACAGTTGTGAGCCACCCCACCCAGCCCAGGCCACAGTTTTTAGCCTATCTGATTTCATATCTCCATTCTGGTAACTCCTACACTCTCATTAATGGCTTAAATTATCCCTTTTTGAAAAATGATTATATCAACTTCTCTACTTGATGCCTCTTCTGAGCTTCAAATTTGCATCTCAAACTTCTTGCTTCTATCTTCAGCTAGATATCCTTGAGTCACCTTAAAATTTATACATCTAAAGCCAAACTCATCATCTTTTCTCCAATATTCAGATCTCGCTTTCCTATACTCTATTCTATCATTATGTCATCATCTCCCTTTCTGTCAAGTTTATAACCTTAGAGTTACTCTTTGACCATTCCTCCTCAATGTCTTGTCAATTCTTTCTTAAAAAGAACAACAAATCACTTTATTACAAATGTTCATTGTAAATAACTTACAAACACAAACAAAAAGACCACCTATAAATCTACCTGTTAATACAGTTGACCCTTGAACAACATGGGTTTGAACTGTGAGGTTACACATGGATTTTTGCTAATCAAATGAAGATTGAAAATACAGTGTTCTGGCCGGGCGTGGTGGCTCACGCCTGTAATCCCAGCACTTTGGGAGGCCGAGGCGGGTGGATCACGAGGTCAGGAGATTGAGACCATCCTGGCTAACACGGTGAAACCTCATCTCTACCAAAAATACAAAAAATTAGGCAGGCATGGTGGTGGGCACCTGTAGTCCCAGCTGCTAGGGAGGCTGAGGCAGGAGAATGGCGTGAACCCAGGGGCCAGAGCTTGCAGTGAGCTGAGATCGGGCCACTGCATTCCAGCCTGGGCGACAGAGTGAGACTCTGTCTCAGAAAAAAAAAAAAAGAAAATACAGTGTTGCCGGGATGGAAAACCTGCATATACAGAGGAGGGAAGATTTTTGTACATGCAGTTCCACGTGACCAAATGCAGAACTTGAGCTTGCGGGGATTTTGGTATGCTCGGGTGTTCTGGAAGCAACCCCCTGCATATACTGAGAGACGACTGTAATTTGTGGTCTTTACAGACTTTGATTTATGTGTACAGAAATATATGGGTTTTTTTCTATCAAAATGAGATCATGAATATAATTCTATTTTGGAGCTTTTTTTTTTTCACTTGGCAACATGCCATAAACATTTTCCCATGTCATTAAATTTTCTTCTACAACGATAGTGTCACGCGCATCCATGTGAAGAAACTACCAAACAGGCTTTGTGTGAGCAAGAAGGCTGTTTATTTCACCTGGGTGCAGGTGGGCTGAGTGTGAAAAGAGAGTCAGCAAAGGATGGTGGGATTATCATTAGTTCTTATAGGTTTTGGGATAGGTGGTGGAGTTAGGAGCAATGTTTTGTGGGCAGGGGGTGGATCTCACAAAGTACATTCTCAAGGGTGGGGAGAGTTACAAGCAACCTTCTTAAGGGTGGGGGAGATTACAAATAACCTTCTTAAGGGTGGGGGAGATTACAAAGTACATTGATCAGTTAGGGTGGGGCAGAAACAAATCACAGTGGTGGAATGTCATCAGTTAAGGCTATTTTCACTTCTATTGTGGATCTTCAGTTGCTTCAGGCCATCTGGATGTATACGTGCAGGTCACAGGGGATATGATGGCTTAGCTTGGGCTCTGAGGCCTGACATTCCTGTCTTCTTATATTTAAAGAAAAGCAAAACAAAATAGTCGTGAAGTGTTGGAGTGGCGAAAAATTTTGGGGGTGGTATGGAGAGATAATGGGCGATGTTTCTCAGAGCTGCTTTGAGCAGGATTGGGGCAGCATGGGAACCTTCAGTGGGAGAGATTCAACTGAAGAAAGATTTTGGGGTAAGGGGTGATATTGTGGGGTTGTTAGAAGGAGCATTTGTCATATAGAATTATTGGTGATGGCCTGGATGTGGTTTTGTATGAATTGAGAAATTAAACAAAAGACACAAGGTCTGAATAAGAGAAGGAGAAAAACAGGTATTAAAGTACTAAGAATTGGGAGGACCCAGGACATCCAATTAGAAAATGTCCAAGGGGGTTCAGTGTAATTACTTGTTTGGTTGGTGAGTTTTTGGGCTCTATTCTTGACAGAGTCCTTTTTCTTTTTTAAGTTGGAGGCTGAGCTTGGTGAGGTGTGTTTTTAAAAGACCATTAGTCCATTCTACCTTTCCTGAAGATTGAAGACGGTAAGAGGTGTGAAGGTTTCACTGAATACCAAGAGCCTGAGAAACTGCTTGGGTGATTTGACTAGTAAAGGCCAGTCCATTATTGGACCGTATAGCGGTGGGAAGGCCAAACTGAAGAATTACGTCTGACAGAAGGGAAGCAATGACCGTGTCGGCCTTTTCAGATGCTGTGGGAAAGGCCTCTACCCATCCAGTGAAAGTATGTACCCAGACCGAGAGGTATTTTAGTTTCCTGACTTGGGACATGTGAGTAAAGTCAATTTGCCAGTCCTGGGCGGGGGGCAAATCCCCAAGCTTGATGTGTAGGAAGGGAGGGGGCCTGAACAATACCTGAGGAGTAGTAGAATAGCAGATGGAACACTGAGAAGTGATTTCCTTAAGGATAGATTTCCACGATGGAAAGGAAATGAGAGGTTCTAAGAGGTGGGCTAGTGGCTTGTAACCTACATGGAAGAGGTTATGAAATGATGACAGAATAGAATGGGCCTGTGAGGCTAGAAGGAGATACTTTCCTTGGTCCAAGAACCATTTGTCTTGTATGGGAAGAGACTGAAACGTGGAAGTTTCAGTGGGAAAGTAGGTGGGAGTGACCGATGAGAAGGAGAAAAACTGGCCATGAGGTACAGAAGTTGGAATGCTAGCTGCTTCTTTAGGTATCTTATCAGCATAAGCATTGCCCTGAGCGATGGGATCTGATGCCTTTTGGTGGCCCTTGCAGTATGTGACTCCAGCTTCCTTTGGAAGTAAAGCAGCGTTGAGTTTTTATTAAAGAGGCATTAATGATGGAGGACCCTCGCATAGTGAGGAAACCTCTTTCAGCCCATATAACAGCATGGTGGTGCAGGATATGGAAGGCATATTTAGAGTTAGTATAAATATTGATGTGTAATTCCTTTGCAAGAGTGAGGGCTCGAGTTAAGGCAATGAGTTTGGCTTGCTGAGAGGTAGTGGAGGGGGGCAGAGCGGCAGCCTCAATGATAAATGTGGAAGATACTATAGCATAGCCTGCCTTTGCTGGTGTGTGGCAAATAGGCCTGGTGGAACTGCCATCAATAAACCAGGTGTGATCAGGGTGAGGAACAGGAAAGAAGGAAATATGGAGAAATGGAGTGAATGTCAGGTGGATCAGAGAGATACAGTAATGTGGGTCAGGTGTGGTATCAGGAATAATGTGGGAGGCTGGATTGAAGTCCGGGCCAGGAACAATGGTAACTGTGGGAGACTCAACAAAGAGTGAGTACAGCTGAAGGAGCTGGGGAGCAGAAAGTATGTGTCAGGAAAGAAAACAGATTTTTGGAAGTTATGAGAACTGTAGAGAGTGAGTTGAGCATAGTTTGTGATTTTGAGGGCCTCTAAAAATATTAAAGCAGTGGCAGCTGCCGCACGCAGACATGAGGGCTAAGCTAAAACAGTAAGGTCAAGTTGTTTGGACAGAAAGGCTACAGGGCGCAGTCCCGGCTCTTATGTAAGAATTCTGACCGCACAGCCCTGTACTTCGGCTGTGTGTAATGAAAAGGTCTGGGATGAGTTAGGGAGAGTTAGTGTGGGAGCAGCTTTTAGGGCTGTTTTTTAAGGAATGGAAAGGGGAGTGGGGAAAGGATTTAGGATTTATGGGGTCAGCTAGGTTTATCTAGAACAGAATGTGTTGTGGAGGGAGGTATTGAGGATAGGAGAGTATATGGGTTTGGCACCATGGGATGGATAGGCAAGACAATTTGGTTGATAAGGCACAGATCCTGAACTAACCTGTAAGACTTGTCCGGTTTTTGGACAGGTATGGGGGAATCGTAAGGAGAGTTTATAGGCTTTAAAAGGCCATGCTGTAACAGGCAAGTGATAACAGGCTTTAATCCTTTTAAAGCGTGCTGTGGGATGGGATATCAGCGTTGAGCAGGGTAAGGGTGATTAAATTTTAATGGGATGGTAAGGGGTGCATCCTCCATCGCCAAGGAGGGAGTAGAGGTGTCCTATACTTGTGGATTAAGGTGGGGAGATACAAGGAGTGGATGTGAAGGAGGCTTTGAACTGGGAGAAAAGGCGGCAATGAGGTGTGGCTGTAGCCCAGGAATAGTCAGGAAAGCAGATAATTTAGTCAAAATGTCTCAACCTAATAAGGGAGCTGGGCAGGTAGGGATAACTAAAAAGGAGTACACTAAAGAATGTTGTTCAGCCGGGCTCGGTGGCTCACACCTGTAATCCCAGCACTTTGGGAGGCTGAGGCAGGCAGATCACGAGGTCAGGAGATCAAGACTATTCTGGCTAACATGGTGAAACCCCATCTCTACTAAAAATACAAAAAATTAGCCGAGTGCGGTGGCAGCTGCCTGTAGTCCCAGCTGCTTGGGAAGCTGAGGCAGGAGAATGGTGTGAACCTGGGAGGTGGAGCTTGCAGTGAGCCAAGATTGTGCCACTGCACTCCAGCCTGGGTGACAGTGGGAGACTCCGTCTCAAAAAAAAAAAAAGAATATTGTCCAAGTTGGCACCAGAGTTGGGGAGTTTTAAGAGGCTTAGCAGCCTGGCCATCAATACCCACAGTGGTTATGGAGGCAAGGGAAACAGGCCCTTGAAAAGAAGGTAATGTGGAGTGGGTAGCCTCCATACTGATTAAGAAGGGGATGGACTTACCCTCCACCATAAGAGTTACCCGAAGCTTGGCATCCGTGATGGTCCAGGGGGCTTCCGAGGTGATCGGGCAGCATCAGTTTTCAGCTGCTAAGCCAAGGAGATCTGGGAAGGAGTCAGCCAAGGAACATTGGGTTTGGGCTCCAGGGGCTTTAGGAGCAGTGGCGATGTGAGTCGGACAGTCCAACCTCCAGTGGGGACCCACACAGACAGGGCATGGCTTAGGAGGAATCCTGGGCTGCGGGCATTCTGAGGCCCAGTGGCCAGGCTTTTGGCATTTGAAGCAAGGTCCAGGATGATGTTTTGAAGGAGCCCCTGGGAGCTGTGGCTTTGATGTTCTGAAGTTCTTGTATGCTGGAGATGTGGGTTGTCTTACAGTGGGTTGTCTTACAGTGGAGGTAAGTAGCTGTAACTCAGAAATGCATTGCTGTCTGGCTACCTCCTCTCTATTATTGTACACCTTGAAGGTGAGGTTGATTAATTCCTGTTGTGGGGTTTGAGGGTTGGATTCCAATTTTTGAACCTTTTTTCTGATGTCAGGAGCTGACTGGGTGATAAAATGTGTATTAAGAATAAGGCAGCCTTCTCACCTCTCTGGGTCTAAGGCAGTAAAGCGTCTAAGTGTTGCTGCTAAGCGGGCCATGAACTGGGCTGGGTTTTCATCTTTACCTTGGGTAGTTTCTTTAAGTTTGTCTAATTAACAGCTTTGTAAGCTGCCTTTTTAAGCCCTTCAACTAGGCAGGAAACCATGTAATCTCCCCTAGCTATACCTGAGGAATCTGCCTGATAGTTCCATTGGGGATCTTCTCGGGGAACTGCTCTAATGCCTTCCTGGAGGTCTGGCTCATGAAGCCAGAGGTTATCGGCATGAGTTTGGGCTAGAGAAAAAACTCTTTCCTGTTAATCTGGGGAGAGGGTAGAAGTTAGGATGACATTTAAGTCACTCCACGTTAAATTGTAGGACAGAGTTAGATATCGGAATTCCTGTGTATATTTAATGGGGTCTGATGAGAAATAGCCTAAATGCTGGCTGATTTGGGAAAGGTCTGATAGAGAAAAAGGCACGTGTACCCTGACTATGCCTTCAGCTCCAGCCACCTCTCTAAGAGGAAATTGTTGGGCAGGTGGGGGAGAGCTAGTTGCAGAATGAAACCATAAACCAGACCAGGTGTGGGGAGGGGAGGTAATAGAAGGGTTATGGGGGGTGGGGGGAGCAGAGGCTGAAGAAGAGTTGGAGCCTGATTCAGCCTGGTGGGGAGCGACCTGAGGAGAAACAGTCTGGGGAGGAGGTGAGAGGTCAGATGGGTCAGTAGAAAAGGAAGATTCACAAGACTCAGCGACGCTTGGGGTTGGGACTGAAGGGACAGGTGGGAGGGAAAGAAGGAGGATTTGGGATGAGTTGCATTGGGAACAGGGACTAGGGAGGGAATGAAGTGTAAAAAATGCTGGGATGTATGGCACTTCAGACCATTTGCCCATTTTTCAACAAAAATTATCTAGGTCTCGTAGGATGGAGAAACCAAAAGTGCCATTTTCTGGCCATTTAGAACCATTGTCGAGTTTGTATTGGGGCCAAGCGGTGTTGCAGAAGAAAATAAGATGCTTAGATTTTAGGTCAGGTGAGAGTTGAAGAGGTTTTAAGTTCTTGAGAATACAGGCTAAGGGAGAAGAAGGAGGAATGGAGGGTGGAAGGTTACCCATAGTGAAGGAGGCAAGTTTAAAGGGAAGGGTAGAGACATGGAGAAGGGGAGCAGCCCTGGGCTGCAATGTGGGTGAGCAGCCAAAGCAGGTGTCCCCGCAATTGACTTGCCACCAAGGGAATGTGGATGAATGACCAAGGCAGGCATCCCTGCGGTGATCAGACACCAATGGAATGTGGGCGAATAATCAGGCAGGCATCCCCACAGTGATGAAACACCAAGGGAAGACTGTCTTCCCAAGTCTGTGACCAGTGCCGGAGTTTTGGGTCTGCAGATAAAATGTGTCTCCTTTGTCTCTACTAGGGAGGAAAAATAACTGGAATTGGAAGGACAGGGAGATTGAAGGGTAGCAACAGAGGCTGGAGAAGAGAGTGAAAACACTGCTTACCTGATTTGAAATTGGTGAGATGTTCCTTGGGCTGGTTGGTCTGAGGACCTGAGGTCATAGGTGGATCTCTTCATGGAGTGAGGGTGAGGACAGGGGACTGGTCTCCCGAAGGAGTCCTCTTGTCCTGGGTCTTCAGCACCAAATGTCACATGTGTCCGTGTGAAGGGAGTCCACCAACAGGCTTTGTGTGAGCAACAAGGCTGTTTATTTCACCTGGGTGCAGGCGGAGTGAGTCCGAAAAAGGAATCAGCAAAGGGTAGTGGGATTATCATTAGTTCTTACAGGTTTTGGGATAGGCAGTGGAGTTAGGAGCAATGTTTTGCAGGCAGGGGGTGGATCTCACAAAGTACATTCTTAAGGGTGGGGAGAGTTACAACCTTCTTAAGGGTGGGGGAGATTACAAAGTACATCGATCAGTTAGGGTGGAGCAGAAAAAAATCACAATGGTGGAATGTAATCAGTTAAGGCTATTTTCACTTCTTTTGTGGATCTTCAGTTGCTTCAGGCCATCTGGATTTATACGTGCAGATCACAGGGGATATGATGGCTTAACTTGGGCTCAGAGGCCTGACAGTTCTCAAATTGTAGTCCCAGCAGCATCAGCATCACCTAGGAGCTTGTAAATGCAAATTTCTGGACATCACCCAGACCCACTGAATCAGAAACTGTGGGAGTGAGCCCAGCAAATTGTGCTTTAACAAGCCCTCTATGTAATTCTGATGTACACAGCAGTTTGAGAACCACTGTTCTACCACAAGATTTTTTTTTTTTTTTTGAGACGGAGTCTCACCCTGTCGCCCAGGCTGGGGTGCAGTGGCGCTATCTCAGCTCACTACAGGCTCCGCCTCCCAGGCTCACGCCATTCTCCTGCCTCAACCTCCCAAGTAGCTGGGACTACAGGCGCCCCCCACCACGCCTGGCTAATTTTTTTGTATTTTTAGTAGAGACGGGGTTTCACTGTGTTAGCCAGGATGGTCTCAATCTCCTGACCTCGTGGTCTGCCTGCCTTGGCCTCCCAAAGTGCTGGGATTACAGGCGTGAGCCACTGCACCCAGCCTACCATATGACTTTTTAACAGCTGATGCTATTCCATTGAATAGCAGTATAACAATCTACTTAACTACACTGCTATTGTTGGACATTGAGGCTATTACTTTCCACACTTTAGATGGCTGAATAGGAACAGCTCCAGTCTACAGCTCCCAGCGTGAGTGACGCAGAAGACGGGTGATTTCTGCATTTCCATCTGAGGTACTGGGTTCATCTCACTAGGGAGTGCCAGACAGTGGGCGCAAGACAGTGGATGCAGCACACCGTGCACGAGCTGAAGCAGGGCGAGGCATTGCCTCACTCAGGAAGCACAAGGGGTCAGGGAGTTCCCTTTCCGAGTCAAAGAAAGGGGTGACAGACGGCACCTGGAAAATCGGGTCACTCCCACCCTAATACTGTGCTTTTCTGACGGGCTTAAAAAACGGTGCACCAGGAGATTATATCCCGCACCTGGCTCGGAGGGTCCTACGCCCACGGAGTCTCGCTGATTGCTAGCACAGCAGTCTGAGATCAAACTGCAAGGCAGCAGCGAGGCTGGGGGAGGGGTGCCCACCATTGCCCAGGCTTGCTTAGGTAAACAAAGCAGCCGGGAAGCTCGAATTGGGTGGAGCCCACCACAGCTCAAGGAGGGCTGTCTGCCTCTGTAGGCTCCACCTCTGGGGGCAGGGCACAGACAAACAAAAAGACAGCAGTAACCTCTGCAGACTTAAATGTCCCTATCTGACAGCTTTGAAGAGAGCAGTGGTTATCCCAGCATGCAGCTGGAGATCTGAGAAAGGGCAGACTGCCTCCTCAAGTGGGTCCCTAACCCCTGACCCCCGAGCAGCCTAACTGGGAGGCACCCCCCAGTAGGGGCAGACTGACACCTCACACGGCCAGGTACTCCTCTGAGACAAAACTTTCAGAGGAATGATCAGACAGCAGCATTCGCAGTTCACGAAAATCCGCTTTTCTGCAGACACCGCTGCTGATACCCAGGCAAACAGGGTCTGGAGTGGACCTCTAGCAAACTCCAACAGACCTGCAGCTGAGAGTCCTGTCTGTTAGAAGGAAAACTAACAAACAGACAGGACATCCACACCAAAAACCCATCTGTACATCACCATCATCAAAGACCAAAAGTAGATAAAACCACAAAGATGGGGAAAAAACAGAGCAGAAAAACTGGAAACTCTAAAAAGCAGAGCGCCTCTCCTCCAAAGGAACGCAGTTCCTCACCAGCAACAGAACAAAGCTGGATAGAGAATGACTTTGACGAGTTGAGAGAAGAAGGCTTCAGACGATCAAACTACTCTGAGCTACAGGAGGAAATTCAAACCAAAGGCAAAGAAGTTAAAAACTTTGAAAAAAATTTAGACGCATGTATAGCTAGAATAACCAATACAGAGAAGTGCTTAAAGGAGCTGATGGAGCTGAAAGCCAAGGCTCCAGAACTACGTGAAGAATGCAGAAGCCTCAGGAGCCGATGCGATCAACTGGAAGAAAGGATATCAGAGATGGAAGATGAAATGAATGAAATGAAGCGAGAAGGGAAGTTTAGAGAAAAAAGAATAAAAAGAAACAAACAAAGTCTCCAAGAAATATGGGACTATTGGAAAAGACCAAATCTACGTCTGATTGGTGTACCTGAAAGTGACGGGGAGAATGGAACCAAGTTGGAAAACACTCTTCAGGATATTATCCAGGAGAACTTCCCCAATCTAGCAAGGCAGGCCAACATTCAGATTCAGGAAATACAGAGAACACCACAAAGATACTCCTCGAGAATAGCAACCCAAGACACATAATTGTCAGATTCAACAAAGTTGAAATGAAGGAAAAAATGTTAAGGGCAGCCAGAGAGAAAGGTCGGGTTACCCACAAAGGGAAGCCCATCAGACTAAGAGCCGATCTCTCGGCAGAAACTCTACAAGCCAGAAGAGAGTGGGGGCCAATATTCAACATTCTTAAAGACAAGAATTTTCAACCCAGAATTTCATATCCAGCCAAACTAAGCTTCATAAGTGAAGGAGAAATAAAATACTTTACAGACAAGCAAATGCTGAGAGATTTTGTCACCACCAGGCCTGCCCTAAAAGAGCTCCTGAAGGAAGCACTAAACATGGAAAGGAACAACCAGTACCAGCCACTGCAAAATCATGCCAAATTGTAAAGACCATCAAGGCTGGGAAGAAACTGTATCAACTAATGAGCAAAATAACCAGCTAACATCATAATGACAGGATCAAATTCACACATAACAATATTAACTTTAAATGGAAATGGACTAAATGCTCCAATTAAAAGACACAGACTGGCAAATTGGATAAAGAGTCAAGACCCATCAGTGTGCTGTATTCAGGAAACCCATCTCACGTGCAAAGACACACATAAGCTCAAAATAAAAGGATGGAGGAAGATCTACCAAGCAAACGGAAAGCAAAAAAAGGCAGGGGTTGCAATCCTAGTCTCTGATAAAACAGACTTTAAACCAACAAAGATCAAAAGAGACAAAGAAGGCCATTACATAATGGTAAAGGGATCAATTCAACAAGAAGAGCTAACTATCCTAAATATATATTCACTCAATACAGGAGCACCCAGATTCATAAAGCAAGTCCTGAGTGACCTACAAAGAGACTTAGACTCCCACACAATAATAATGGGAGACTTTAACACCCCACTCTCAATATTAGACAGATCAATGAGACAGAAAGTCAACAAGGATACCCAGGAATTGAACTCAGCTCTGCACCAAGCGGACCTAATAGACATCTACAGAACTCTCCACCCCAAATCAACAGAATATACATTTTTTTCAGCACCACGTCGCACCTATTCCAAAATTGACCACATAGTTGGAAGTAAAGCAATCCTCAGCAAATGTAAAAGAATAGAAATTATAACAAACTGTCTCTCAGACCACAGTGCAATCAAACTAGAACTCAGGATTAAGAAACTCACTCAAAACCGCTCAACTACATGGAAACTGAACAACCTGCTCCTGAATGACTACCGGGTACATAACAAAATGAAGGCAGAAATAAAGATGTTCTTTGAAACCAACGAGAACAAAGACACAACATACCAGAATCTCTGGGACACATTCAAAGCAGTGTGTAGAGGGAAATTTATAGCACTAAATGCCCACAAGAGAAAGCAGGAAAGATCCAAAATTGACACCCTAACATCACAATTAAAAGAACTAGAAAAGCAAGAGCAAACACATTCAAAAGCTAGCAGAAGGCAAGAAATAACTAAAATCAGAGCAGAACTGAAGGAAATAGAGACACAAAAAACCCTTCAAAAAATTAATGAATCCAGGAGCTGGTTTTTTGAAAAGATCAACAAAATTGATAGACCGCTAGCAAGACTAATAAAGAAGAAAAGAGAGAAGAATCAAATAGACACAATAAAAAATGATAAAGGAGATATCACCACTGATCCCACAGAAATACAAACTACCATCAGAGAATACTACAAACACCTCTATGCAAATAAACTAGAAAATCTAGAAGAAATGGATAAATTCCTCGACACATACACCCTCCCAACACTAAACCAGGAAGAAGTTGAATAGTCTTGAATTGGTCTCTGAATAGACCAATAACAGGCTCTGAAATTGTGGCAATAATCAATAGCTTACCAACCAAAAAGAGTCCAGGACCAGATGGATTCACAGCCAAATTCTACCAGAGGTACAAGGAGGAACTGGTACCATTCCTTCTGAAACTATTCCAATCAACAGAAAAAGAGGGAATCCTCCCTAACTCTCCCTGTTATGTCCCTGGCAGAGACATAACAAAAAAAGAGAATTTTAGACCAATATCCCTGATGAACATTCACGCAAATATCCTCAATAAAATACTGGCAAACCGAATCCAGCAGCACATCAAAAAGCTTAGCCACCATGATCAAGTTGGCTTCATCCCTGGGAGGCAAGGCTGGTTCAATATACACAAATCAATAAATGTAATCCAGCATATGAACAGAACCAAAGACAAAAACGACATGATTATCTCAATACATGCAGAAAAGGCCTTTGACAAAATTCAACAACGCTTCATGCTAAAAACTCTCAATACATTAGGTATTGATGGGACGTATCTCAAAATAATAAGAGCTATTTATTACAAACCCACAGCCAATATCATACTGAATGGGCAAAAACTGGAAGCATTCCCTTTGAAAACTGGCACAAGACAGGGATGTCCTCTCTCACCACTCCTATTCAACATAGTGTTGGAAGTTCTGGCCAGGGCAATCAGGCAGGAGAAGGAAATAAAGGGTATTCAATTAGGAAAAGAGGAAGTCAAATTTTCCCTGTTTGCAGACGACATGATTGTATATCTAGAAAACCCCATTGTCTCAGCCCAAAATCTTCTTAAGCTGATAAGCAACTTCAGCAAAGTCTCAGGATACAAAATCAATGTGGAAAAATCACAAGCATTCTTATACACCAGTAACAGACAAACAGAGAGCCAAATCATGAGTGAACTCCCATTCACAATTGCTTCAAAGAGAATAAAATACCTAGGAATCCAACCTACAAGGGATGTGAAGGACCTCTTCAAGGAGAACTACAAACCACTGCTCAATGAAATAAAAGACGACACAAACAAATGGAAGAACATTCCATGCTCATGGATAGGAAGAATCAATATCGTGAAAATGGCCATACTGCCCAAGGTAATTTATAGATTCAATGCCATCCCCATCAAGCTACCAATGACTTTCTTCACAGAATTGGAAAAAACTACCTTAAAGTTCATATGGAACCAAAAAAGAGCCCGCATCACCAAGTCAATCCTAAGCCAAAAGAACAAAGCTGGAGGCATCATGCTACCTGACTTCAAACTATACTACAAGGCTACAGTAACCAAAACAGCATGGTACTGGTACCAAAACAGAGATATAGATCAATGGAACAGAACAGAGCCCTCAGAAATAACGCCGCATATCTACAACTATCTGATCTTTGACAAACCTGAGAAAAGCAATGGGGAAAGGGTTCCCTATTTAATAAATGGTGCTGGGAAAACTGGCTAGCCATATGTAGAAAGCTGAAACTGGATCCCTTCCTTACACCTTATACAAAAATTAATTCAAGATGGATTAAAGACTTAAATGTTAGACCTAAAACCATAAAAACCCTAGAAGAAAACCTAGGCATTACCATTCAGGACATAGGCATGGGCAAGGACTTCATGTCTAAAACACCAAAAGCAATGGCAACAAAAGCCAAAATTGACAAATGGGATCTAATTAAACTAAAGAGCTTCTGCACAGCAAAAGAAACTACCATCAGAGTGAACAGGCAACCCACAAAATGGGAGAAAATTTTCACAACCTACTCATCTGATAAAGGGCTAATATCCAGAATTTACAAAGAACTCAAACAAATTTACAAAAAAAAAAAAACAACCCCATCAAAAAGTGGGCAAAGGACATGAACAGACACTTCTCAAAAGAAGACATTTATGCAGCCAAAAAACACATGAAAAAATGCTCACCATCACTGGCCATCAGAGAAATGCAAATCAAAACCACAATGAGAGACCATCTCACACCAGTTAGCATGGCAATCATTAAAAAGTCAGGAAACAACAGGTGCTGGAGAGGATGTGGAGAAATAGGAACACTTTTACACTGCTGGTGGGAATGTAAACTAGTTCAACCATTGTGGAAGTCAGTGTGGCGATTCCTCAGGGATGTAGAACTGGAAATACCATTTGACCCAGCCATCCCATTACTGGGTATATACCCAAAGGACTATAAATCATGCTGCTATAAAGACACATGCACACGTATGTTTATTGCGGCACTATTCACAATAGCAAAGGCTTGGAACCAACCCAAATATCCAACAATGATAGACTGGATTAAGAAAATGTGGCACATATACACCATGGAATACTATGCAGCCATAAAAAATGATGAGTTCATGTCCTTTGTAGGGACATGGATGAAATTGGAAATCATCATTCTCATTAAACTATCGCAAGGACAAAAAACCAAACACCGCATGTTCTCACTCATAGGTGGGAACTGAACAATGAGAACACATGGACACAGGAAGGGGAACATCATACTTTGGGGACTGTTGTGGGGTGGGGGGAGCGGGGAGGGATAGCATTAGGAGATATACCTAATGCTAAATGACGAGTTAATGGGTGCAGCACACCAGCATGGCATATGTATACATATGTAACTAACCTGCACATTGTGCACATGTACCCTAAAACTTAAAGTATAATAATAATAAAAGAAAAAGAAAAAAAAACCACTACAGTGAAGCCGGGAGCGGTGGCTCATGCCTGTAATCCCAGCACTTTAGGAGGTCAAGGCAGGCTTATCACCTGAGGTTGGGAGTTCAAGACCACCCTGACCAACATGGAGAAACCCTGTCTCTACTAATAATACAAAAAAATTAGTTGGGCATGGTGGTGCATGCCTGTAATCCCAGCTACTTGGGAGGCTGAGGCAGGAGAATCACTTAAATCCAGGAGGCGGAGGTTGCAGTGAGCCAAGATCGCACCATTGCACTCCAGCCTGGGCAACAAGAGCAAAAGTTCGTTTCCAAAAAAAACCCCAAAAAACAAAAAACAAAAAACAAAAAACAGTACAGTGAATACTGTTGCACTTAAACTTTGATGATGTCCGTGGGAGGAAATAAACTACTGTTTTATTTAGACCACTGTATTTACGTATTTTTATTATTTTTTTTTTGAGACAGAGTCTTTTTCTGTCACCCAGGCTGGAGAGCAGTGGTGTGATCTTGCCTCACTCCAACCTCTGCCACCTGGGTTCAAGTGATTCTTGTGCCTCAGCCTCCCAAGTAGCTGGGATTACAGGTGTGTGCCACCATGCCCAGCTAATTTTTGTATTTTTAGTAGATATGGTGTTTTGCCATGTTGGTCAGACTGGTCTTGAACTCCTGGCCTCAAGTGATCTGCCTGCCTTTGCCTCCCAAAATGCTGGGATTACAGGTGTGAGCCATCATGCCTGGCCAGGCCATTGTATTTAGCAGTTCTTTTATACAGCAACTTAGTTTTTTTCCTAATATACCTTCTTCACTTCAGACCTACAGTAGGCTTTTTGTTTTGTTTTGTTTTTTCCCTAGACTAAATGCTGCAGTAGACTTTTAAAGCAGATCTCCTAATATATCTACCAGACCTTTAATTCATCTTACTCAGTATTGACTTGTTAAACTAAGAATCACTTTGCACAGACTTCACCACTATCCTCTGCTCAAGAGCTACAGTTCATTCATTCATTCATGCAGTAGTTATTTCAGCTACCATGGTAAGTATGTTTCAGTCACTGCCCTAAGTGCTAGAAGCTAGAGATGCAACGTGACACAAGAAAAATGAAGATAATACTTATCTTGGAGTCCTTGCCATCATGTACCTTACAGTCTAACTGAAGAGAATGACAAGATTGACCATCAAATATTCACACAAATAAATATAAAATTACAATTTTGATAACTGTTACTAATAAAAGGAGCATGGTGCTAGGACACATAGAAAGGTTTGATTTAGTTGAAGAAATCAGGGACGGCTTCTCTATGAAAGTGTAAGGCTGAGATATGAAGGATGAGTAGACATTTTGAAGAGCAGACATTACTGAGAGATGAACCTTCCACCCAATGAAGGCAAAGACCCTGCAGAAGTAGAGAACGTGCATTTCAGGAGTTGACAGGAGACAGAAGACCAGTGTGGCTGGAGCAGAGAGACTGAGGGATAATACTGGATGAATTATAGATATAGGTAGGGTCTAGGCCATGTAGGCTCTTATAGGCTATGTTAAGAATCTTAGCTGGGCGTGGTGGCTCAGGCCTATAATCCCAGCACTTTGGGAGGCTGAGGTGGGTGGATTACCTGAAGTCAGGAGTTTGAGACCTGCATGACCAATATAGTGAAACCCCATCTCTACTAAAAATACAAAGATTAGCCGGACATGGTGGCTTGCACCTGTAGTCCCAGCTACTCACAAGGCTGAGATGGGAGGATTGCTTGAACCCGGGTGGTGGAGGTTGCAGTGAGCTGAGATTGCGCCGCTGCAGTCCAGCCTGAGAGACAGAGCGAGACTCCATCTCAAAAAAAAAAAATCTTTGTCATTGTCATATGAACATTGAGAAGTCACTGAAGAGTTTCTATTTGAAAATCAGAGAAATTAGCTGGGCATGGTGTTGCACGCCTGTGGTCCTAGCTACTCCAGAGGTTGAGGCAGGAAGATCCCTTAAACCCAGTAGGTCGAGACTGCAGTGAGCCATGTTCATGCCACTGTACTCCAGCCTGGGGGACAGAGGGAGAAGTTGTCTCAAGGAAAGTTTTAAAAAGGGATTTAGGTTTGTGAGTGACATAATCATGAAATATTTGCCTGGATGGATTAATTAGTTCATTATTTATTTTTGTTCTTCTTTGTTTATATTCTCCCCTGGGCAGGTCATCCACTTTCAAGTCATGAGGAACTGAACAAAGGAGACTAAGAATGAGTAGCCAAAGACATAGGAGGAAAAGCTGGAGTGTGAAAAGTTGGAGTGTGTTATGTCAAAAAAGCCAAAATAATGTTTTATGAAGGAGGAACTGAAAAAGAAGCCAGGCGTGGGGGCTCACATCTATAATCCCAGCACTTTGGGAGGCCAAGGTGGCAGGATTGCTTGAGCCCATAAGTTTGAGACTAGCCTGGGCAACATGGCGAGACCCTGTCTCTACCAAAAAAAAAAAAAAAAAAAAAAAACAATTAGCGGGCATGGTGGCACAAACCTGTGGTCCCAGATACTTGGGAGGCTGAAGTGGGAGGATCACTTGAGCCTGGGAGGTCGAGGCTGCAGTAGGCCATGATCATGCCACTACACTCCAGCCTGGGCAACACAGCAAGACCCTGTCTCTAAAAATAAAAATAAAAATAGAAAAGGAAAGAGTAGTCAATAGTATTCAATGCCACTGAGAGATTAGGTAAAATGTAGACTTGATATGTCCATGGCTTCCCAATGCCTACAGGATAGAGTCTAAATTTCTCATACTGGCATTCAAGTCCCACAACAATTCTATCTTTACCTACTTTTCTAACATTTTTTCCCATATCACCTCTAAAGTAAGCCCTTTAATAAGGTGCCCTTCAGATAAGGTGCCCTGTTTATTTTACCTAGAACACATATTACACTCTGCCTACATATCATCATTGGATATATTTTCTGTCCATCACCACTTGTCTAAATTCTACTGATTTTCTAGGTCCTGTCCCTCTTTCACTTCCTCCATGCCTCATCCATGAAGATTTCTGTGGTGGCCTTGAGAATGCACCTCTCAGATCTCTAATTATAGAGAACATTACTGAATGACAGCCCCAGCTACTGGCTTCTGAAATTGATCACTGTGTTTGCACCAAGGCTCTGCTTCCCACAGGATGCTTCCAGCCAATGACTGCACATGGCAGACATGCTAAGGCACCCATTCCAGAGAGATGCCAGGTTCCTCTGACAGGCAACTGACTTGAGAAATCCCAAACTGCCTTGTCAAACTTCCCTTAGAAATGCAATGGGGTATAAAATTCTTCAATCCAATCTTTTTTCCTTCACTCTGGGTCAGACTTGTATTGCAGTCTGATGGCTTTCCCCGCCTCCCCTATTTGCCTATTTGCCCCTCCATTTTATCTTTTTTTTTTTTTTCTGCGACAGAGTCTTGCTCCGTCACCCAGGCTGGAGTGCAGTGGCGCAATCTGGGCTCACTGCAACCTCCACCTCCCAGGTTCAAGCGATTCTCCCTGCTGCAGCCTCCTGAGTAGCTGGGATTACAGGTGCCCGCCACCACACCCGGCTAATTTTTGCATTTTTTAGTAGAGATGGGGTTTCACCATGTTGGCCAGGCTGGTCTTGAACTCCTGACCTCAGGTGATCCACCTGCCTCGGCCTCCCAAAGTGCTGGGATTACAGGCATGAACCACCACGCCTGGCCACCTCCCCCCATTTTATCTTACAGGCATTTCCTCTAATAAATTTCTTACGCAGTTAATCCTCAGGGTCCTAGACTAACATAAGTAGTACCAGGAGTGGTCCAAGAAAATAGGTGGTAGGATGGGAATTTGGATTGGCTCATCCACTGCCCAGCAGCAAAAAGGATGCCATGCTAGTTAGTAGGTGGAGTACGGACAGTCCCTGCCATAAGGTGGTAGCTCAACTGCCAAAACTTCACTAGTGTTTACCTGGGAAAACGTTTCAGTGGAGGGTAATGCCCTGGCAGATGTGATGATGTAGTTATTCGAAAACAAGGGAGACAGGGGGGACAATTTCTACAGAGAGAGTAAAGTTGGGTGGTTACTACTAAGTTGTATTGATGGCCTGTTGAGAAATAATGAGACTAAGGGCAGTTAACAAGCAGTTTTTAGTTAAGTGAGAAAGCCATAGGGCCTTTGGGATAGCCTATAAAGAGACCCTTATCTCTGGCACAGGAAGGGTACGCAGTGCTGAGCGGCAGGCTGAATACCTAATTGTTAGAGTAGCAGAGCTGCTGAGACATGAGAATGCTCAGTCAAAGCAGGTCTGGAATTGCCTTCTAACAGTGCTGAAGTATCAGTAGGGAGGCAGCAGTCTGGATGGATGGGGTGCCATCCTTCAGGACACAGTGTATGTATTAAATCAGAGCCCTCTCTATGGTGCTATGTCCTCAGTAGGAAGAATACATGGGTCTGGAAAGCAAAGGATAGAAGCAGGGGTGACCCCACTTACACTCAATGTCCCACCGGGGACAAGGACATGATTAGGTGCTTCTTGTCCCCACAACTCTTGATCCTGCAGGGTTAGAGGTCCTGGTCCCCAAATAGGGTATACTCTTACCAAGGATACATCAAAAGTCCCATTGAGGCCATGCATGGTGGCTCACGCCTATAGTCCCAGCACTTTGGAAGGCTGAGGTGGGCCGATGGCTTGAGGTCAGGAGTTTGACACCAGCCTGGGCAACATGGCGAAACCCTGTCTCTACAAAAAATACAAAAATTGGCCATGCGTGGTGCCTCATGCCTGTAATCCCAGCACTTTGGAAGGCTGAGGTGGGTGGATTACGAGATCAGGAGTTTGAAACCAGCCTGACCAACATGGTGAAACCCATCTCTACTAAAAATACAAAAATTAGCCAGGCATGGTGGCGTGCACCTGCAGTCCCAGCTACTAAGGATGCTGAGGCAGGAGAATCGCTTGAACTTGGGAGGTGGAGGTTGCAGTGAGCTGTGATCGTGCCACTGCACTCCAGCCTGGGCGACAGAGTAAGACTCTGTCTCAAAAAAAAACAAAAAAACAAAAAAGCAAAAATTAGCCAGGTGTGGTGGTATGTGCCTGTAGTCCCAGCAACTTTGGAGGCTGAGGTGGAGGACCACTTGAACCCAGGAGGTTGAGGCTGTGGCGAGCTGTGATTGCACCACTGCACTCCAGCCTGGGTGACAGAGTGTCTCAAAAAAAAAAAAAAAAAAAAAGAAAAGAAAAAAAAAAAGAAAAAAGGTCCTATTGAACCACAATCTACAGCTGCTGCCAGGGCACTTTGGACTCCTTGTGTCTAGTAAGCAGTGGGCAAAAACAGGAATCACCATTCTGGCAGGAGTCATTGACCCTGCTTGGTAGAGGGCTGCTTTTACACAACAGGGACAAAGAAGAATACATGTGGAAGCTAGGTGACCCACTTAAGTGCCTCCTGGTACTCTCTTGCTCTGTTGTAAACTGAATATGAAGTAACACAGGCTTGAGAAAGGTATAGATATCTTTCTGGTTCAGATACTTCCAGAATGAAAGTTTGAGTCCCATCACTAGGTAAGTCACCAAGATCTGCCAAGTTGAGGGGATTGGAGGATGGATAGTGCAGGAAGGAGAGAATGAGATCGATTGCAGCGACAGAGGTTGCAGTTCTTTCCACTACCTTCCCTTGTCTGAGTTTCCCCTGTGAAAGGAAAATAAAATCTTTGGACGCCAAATTCACTATGCCAAAGGGAAAAGCTTGGGAACTGAGTCATGCAAAAACTACCTTCCTTTTGTTCCTAGAGAGATGTAACTTCACAGACTTACTTTATCTTATGTCAAATGTAGATCTACTGAGCCCTGCATAATGGACTTTTCCCTTCAGCCTTCTCTTTTCACATGTAAAATGTGGATTTGGTGAGCCTCACAAGAATGTGACCCCTTACCTCACTACCTACACTCCCTTTTTTTTTCTTATCCTTCCCCTCCTGCCGTTCTTTCCCCTTTAAATATTGAAGCCCTTCAAAACACTCTTTGGAAAAAGCACAGGCCACAGACCTGTGTCTCTTTTTCCTTGTCTCTTGTGACTTGTGTCTCTTTTTCCTTGGTGAATCCTTGGCAAAATAAACCTCTAAATAGATCAAGACTTGTTTCAGATGCTTTTTGAGTTATAACTCTCAGGAAGAAAGGTCTACAGAAACCGTAAAGGAGCTAGCTGCTCCCCAAACCTGAGGGAAAAAGTAGATCTGTGTGGTGCAAATGGTAGACTGTGGTGGCCATAAGAATTCACCTCTCGGCCAGGCGTGGTGGCTCACGCCTGTAATCCCAGCACTTTGGGAGGCTGAGGCAGGTGCATCACAAGGCCAGGAGATCGAGACCATCCTGGCTAACACGGTGAAACCCCGTCTCTACTAAAAATACAAAAAATTAGCCAGGTGTGGTGGCGGGCGCCTGTAGTCCCAGCTACTCAGGAGGCTGTGGCAGGAGAATGGTGTGAACCTGGCGGGCGGATCTTGCAGTGAGCCGAGATCACGCCACTGCAGTCCAGCCTGGGCGACAGAATGAGACTCTGTCTCAAAAAAAAAAAAAAATAAAAAGAATTCACCCTCAGGTCTTTGAATGCAAGGAGTCTAATTGACCAAGAGCCCCAGCTGGGACCCTCCGCAATCTGTGGCTGAATGTACTGTGAGGCCATGCTTCTTGAAGACTGCTCCCAGCTGATGACTGTGTGGCAGGTCCATTCCTGGGAGATGGGGCTCATCTGGTAGGTGACTTTGCTCAAAGACTTCCTGATGCTCAACTTTCCTTGGTCTGCTCTGCAGTCTAAGAGGCCTCCATTCAGCCTGCCTTCCATCTTTCCCTCTCTCTCTCTCACTCAGGGTCAGATTTACTTTACACTATTTACATAGTCCAAGGCTCTCCCAGACTTCCCTGGCTCCCTCACCATTTTTTCTCACAGGCATTTCCCTAATAAATTTCTTCCACATGTGATCCTGTCTTGGCATCAGCTTCTTGGCAGACCTGGACTAAGCACCTACTCTAAGCCCCAACATGTCAGTGATAAACTCCTACTTTGAACTCTTAGAGCACTTCCCCCGACCACTTACTTGACACTTCCCAAATGCTACCTAGAAAATAAAATTTATCTTTCTATGTATACATCTTTCCCATTTGTTTAGAAGGCTCCTGGAGATAGTCACCATTATATCATCCTGGCCAACCCCTACATGTCACGCAGTGCTATACATAAAAGGAGCTTAGTTCAACCATCCTAGGAAAGAAGTCGTCACAAACGCTGTGCTGTTTAGACAATCCTGTGGCCCAGAATTGATATTTTCCACTTAAACTTCCCAGTGTACTATCTCTTTTCCCATTCCCCAAATCAACTACTCAAAACCGTTCTCCACTTTCCCAGGGTCCTTTAATCCTCAGTACCTTGCCCCACTTCATACTTTTTCCCATATACATTGGCCCAGTAGAGGGTGTGGCATACATAGATAACTGTCAACTAAAAATTTGTAATCCTTCTTCTGCTGTGTGGAGTTGCTACTGGAAAGTGGCTGGCCAGCCAGGGAGTACATTGTCATCCTTGCCCTTGCGTCCAGGTGGAGGTGGGGTCTTTAATAAACAGGGCTTCCCTTCCACTTGTCTTCTTCCCCATTCTCCAGTTGAATACAGACAAATCTAGGGATGATGAACCCACAAGACAGAAGAAGCCTGGGTCCTTAAATCACCGCAAGGGGGAAAGCTGCCCACCGTGTGGAAGAATAGCTACACTAGAATGTCAGGGTAAACAACAAGCTTCTATTATGTTAAGTAACTTAAACCTTGGGGTTTGTTACAGTTGCTAGCATTATTTTAAGCAATATAGAGATCATTTGTCCTTTTCTAAGATCTTTCTCATGCTGGGGTGTGAGCATGTTACTCAGTCTCTGCCAATTTGATGTTCCCACTCAATATTATAAGTGGGGGAGCCCACTATGCAAAGATACGCAATAGTATGAAAACTATTCACAGTGGCCTTGCAAATCCAGAAGCAGTCACAGCAAGGTCTGTCAATAGTGGTATCTAGGTCAATGTCCACTGTTCTTGTGGCATGAGCTTAGCTGTGTTTTTCTGCTTCTAGATTATCTTGCTTTTTGACTCTTTTCTATCCCCCTTGATAATTCCTTCCTTCCAATAATTCATTTTCTTCTTTAGGTATCCAGGATCAGTTCTCATGTACATTGTCTTTCCCATCTATTCTGGATTCTCTTTCCAAACTAGAGTGGGATTATCACTTTTTTTTTTTTTTTTTTGAGACGGAGTCTTGTTCTGTTGCCAGGCTGGAGTGCAGTGGCACCATCTCAGCCCACTGCAACCTCCGCCTCCCGGGTTCAAGCAATTCTCCTGCCTCAGCCTCCCGAGTAGCTGGGACTACAGGCATATGCCACCACTCCCAGCTAGTTTTTTATTTTTATTTTTATTTTTATTTTAGTAGAGATAGGGTTTCACCATATTGCCCAGGCTGGTCTCGAACTCCTGAGCTCAGGCAATCCACCCGCCTTGGCCTCCCAAAGTGCTAGGATTACAGGCGTGAGCCACTGCGCCCTGCCGGGATTTTTACTTATTAAACATCTATTGCATACCGTGTACTCTACATATGTTTTCTCACTTAATTTAATCCCTCCAACTATTCTATAGGGTCAATATTATTATCATGATTTTATAAGTGAAAAAACTGTAGCTGAAAGAGATGAACTGATTTGCCTAGTTACACTGCTTGTTAGTATCATTTGGAATCCAGTTTTACAGCACCAAAGCATGCTTTCCATCCTACCAGAAACCCTTCACTAGCTCATAATGAGGGCAATCCTCTCCAGCGCCCTTTCTAGCCTATAAATTGTTCTGGAAGTGAGGAATGCATCAATATTTACTTAATCCTTTCTTACATACAAAAGGGGTTATAAGGAAAGTTCTGTTGTTGCAGCTGTTTTCTAAGCCTTCAAACAATATTGTTTTTCTTTTCACTTTTTCTTTTCCTTCCCTCCCCTGCTTCTGTCTGTCTTTCCAAAACAACAAACTAAGGGTAACTGCAGAAGGTACAGTGGTGGCACCGCTTCATTTAGTTCTCTTGCTGACTTTCCTTAGACTGCACTGCAGTCTAAGAATGCTTCTTCCCAACCTTCCCTCTTTCTCTCATTCACTCAGGATCACACTTACATCAATCATAGGGTTGAAATTTTGAGCGAGTTGGATGGGAAGAACCATATCCTAATAAAAAGTAATGATCTTTATTACTTTTTTTTTTTTTTTTGAGACGGAGTCTTGCTCTGTCTCCCAGGTTGGAGTGCAGTGGCGTAATCTTGGCTCACTGCAATCTCTACCTCCCAGCTCAAGCCATTCTGCCTCAGCCTTCTGAGTAGCTGGGATTACAGGCGCGTACCACCATGCCCAGTTAATTTTTGTACTTTTAGTAGAGACGGAGTTTCACCGTGTTGGCTAGGCTGGTCTTGAACACCTGATCTCAAATGATCCGTCTGCCTCCGAAAGTGCTGGAATAACAGGCATGAGCCACCGCACCCAGCCTTGAAAATACATATGTCAGGTAGGAAGATAAAACCTATTTTATTTAAAAGTTTGTGTATTAAAAGACATGGTCAAAAGAATGCAAAGGGCTGGGTGTGGTGGCAATCTTTATTACTTTTGATGTTCCCCAGTGAGTATATCTTAAATGTCAACACCACCCGTAGGAAACTAGATAGGTTTCCCATGGTTCATGGGAAAGAAGCTGGCTCTAGTAATGGAGCTGAGCGTCAGATAATCCCCTCTTCACAGAGAAACTAGAGTAGCAAGAGAGAAAGTTCTTTCAATGACTGAATACCCCATGTATCTGGAACCACTGGGTACTGGAAACACAGAAATAAAAATGATAGAGTCCTTATCCAAAATAAGCTTATAATCTCATGGGGAGTCATATATGAATAGCTAATTTGTTTCCAGTTTCTAGATGTTAACCTCAATTGCTTTAGAACAGCATAATTCATACCAAAAGCTCAAAATCACCCATTATAATAAAAATAATTGTGAAAGTATCATAACTCATATAGTCTTTTAGAAATGCAGGAGGAATTATAAAAGAAAAAGAAGAAGAGAGGCCACTAATTAAAACAAACATTTCTTAATCTAGTGCCATGACTCTTGCCTTAGAATTTTCTAAGCAGCTGGAAGAGGGATAGGAAAAGCGAGGATGGAGAATAAAGGAAAAAGAAAGAGTATTTCTTGTATCCTGGCTGCACTTTGACTTACCTGTAACCCAGTATCAGTATCCAGAAGGGAGAGAATCACTAAGGCTGTTTTGGTTGAAATAGGAAAGGGCATCCTCACGGTGTTAGAGTCAGTATATTCAGAAGACAAGACTGGAGCTGTTCTTGTGAGTTCAGGGGCTCTTTGAATTTATATCCCTTTTCGTATCTTCCACCGTTCCAGCCAGGTGAACCTAGCATACCACAATTCTCAAAATGTACATCCCAATTCTATTACCAGGGATAAATTTTTTGTTTTGTGTTGTTTTGTTTTTGTTTTTGTTTTGAGACAAGGTCTCTCTAAGTTGCTCAGGCTGGAGTTCATAGGCATAATCATAACACACTGCAGCCTCAAACTCCTGGGCTCACACGACCCTCGGCCTCTCCAGTAGCTGGGACTAGAGGTGTGTGCCACTGCCTGTGGCTAATGTATAAATCTAAGTGGAATTGGAGCATATTGTAGGTAGGAAGGGTGAGGTCATCAGCAAAATCTGAAGAAGTGGGCTGGGTACAGTGGCTCACACCTGTCATCCCAGCACTCTGGGAGTCCAAAGTAAGTGGATCGCTTAAGCTCAGGCATTTGAGACCAGCCTGAGTAACACAGCAAACCCCCATCTCTACAAAAAATACAAAATTTAGCCAGGTGTGGTGGTGCGTACCTGTAGTCCCAGCTACTTGGGGGCTGAGGTGGGAGGATTGCTTGAGCCTGGGAGGTTGGGGCTTCAGTGAGCTGTCTTTGTGCCATTGTACTCTAGTCTGGGTGACAAAGTGAGACCCTGTCTCAAAAAAAAAAATCTGAAGAAGTAATTTTTTTTCTTTTCAAGATGAGGGTCTTGCTATTCTGCAACAGATTCTCGAGGCCAGGAGTTATAGCACTATAATCCCAAAATGCTGGGATTGCAGGCATGAGCCACCATGCCCCACCATGAAGTAATTTTAAAGCAACATATCAAGGTGGTACTGTCACAGAGACAGGAACAAACTACGGGAATACAAAAGAAGAATGCAGTAATTTTGTGGGATGGAAGGCACGTTAGGTATTAGAAGGAAGGGAAGTCATGCCATCAGGAAAAGCAAGACAGTGAGGGGAGTGTTCTCAGAGAAAGATACCTAGTGGGCGGGAGGGAAGGTAGGAGAAAGCCTCAAGCAAAGGACTTAACTGGGTGGAGAAGAAAATAAGGAGACAGTGGTGGCCTGAGGGGCTCGTGTGCATGGGGCAGACTTGTGCTTCACAGGGCTCACCTTGCTGGGAGACTGAGGGGCGGAAGTAGAGAAGGGGCAGATTGTTAAGTTGAGGACAGAGGAAAAGGAGAGGCTAAGAGACAGAAAGACAGACAACTGGTTAGGGAAGAAGAGAGAGACAGGAACCATACAGTACAGAGCCCAGGGCTGCATATTCAGTGTCAGCAGGAACAACATAAATGATTCTAGCCAGACCAAAGATTTCCACATGAAGTTTGGTGACCAGACACCTGGGGAGCACTCAGGTAACCAGAGAAAGTGGAATTCTCTCTCACATAGACAGCACTGTTAAAATGTAGAACTTGATAAAAGCTACAAATGAGAAACAAAAAGCAGATGAGAGTTTAGAGGAAGAAGAGGTGCTTATAACTGAGAAATTGTGGACATGCTTTGTGGAAGAAATGGTGTTTGGGACAGGATACATGGGCTTTGGACATGCAGAAATGGGGTTGGGGAGAACAGCAAGGAACAGCAAGAATCTGTGGTGACCTAGTATAGTGGGTTGAATTGTGCCCCCCTAAAAGATATGTCCAGGTCCTAAGACCTGGTATCTGTGGGTGTGACCTTATTTGGGAATAGGGTCTTTGCAGATATAATTAAGTTAAGGATTTCTAAATGAGGTCATCTTAAATTTAGGATGGGCCCTAAATTCAATGACTGGTGACTCATAAGAAAAAGGGGAGGCTGGGCACAGTGGCTCACGCTTGTAATCCCAGCACTTTGGGAGGCCAAGGCAGGCGGATCACGAGGTCAAGAGTTCAAGACCATCCTGGCCAACATGGTGAAACCCCATCTCTACTAAGAATACAAAAACTAGCTGGGCGTGGTGGCACATGCCTGTAGTCCCAGCTACTCGGGAGGCCAAGGCAGGAGAATCACTTGAACCCAGGAGGCAGAGGTTGGAATTAACTGAGATCATGCCACTGCACTCCAGCCTGGTGACAGAGCGAGACTCCATCTCAAAAAAAAAAGAAAAAAGAACAAAAGAAAAAGGGGAGAGAGGTCACAGATACCAGGATACTGGGAAGAAGGCCACACAAAGATGGAGGTAGAGATGGCTGTCATGATGCCACAAAACAAGGAACACCAGAGCTTCCAGAAGCTGGAAGAGGCAAGAAAGGATTCTGCCCTGGAGCCTTTGGAGAGAGCATAGCCCTCAAGACATCTTGATTTTGGACTCCTGGTTCCCCAAACCATGAGAGAACGCATTTCTGTTGTTTTACCACTAACTTTGCGGTAATTTGCTACAGCAGCCCAAGGAAATTAAAATACCTAGCATAATTTCTGTGAGTTCTGCCAGCTACCATGGGCAGTCTGTTAGCAGAATCAGAGTGATCCAAAAGAAGGCTTGGGCCAAGGCATGGTGATCTAAATGGAAATTCAAGGGCTTGAGGGAGGCCAGTAGGCAGAATGAGGGAATTAAAAGGTTACACGGAAAGGATGGACCAGATTCAGTGTGAAGGGCGTGGGAAAGGTAGCAGAAAAGGAGGTGGTAGAGAGAACTGCCAGGTTCCACTCCTAGACGTGAAGCAATTCTCAGTAATTACAAAGCCCAGTGTGTGGGTGGCTGGAGTGGAACAGAGTTGAAGTCCCTTCATGTTGAGGAGGCTAAGGAATTCCTAGGCCATAGAATCAGAGGGTATCAGCATGAAGACTCTGAATGGAGTCTGAGAATGGCAGTGGAAGACAGGGAAGGGGAAAAGTGAGCCTGATGTGGAAATCACAGGACAAGGGAGAGGAGGGCATGTGGTGGAGGTCAGGGGAATGCTGAAAGGGTGGTACCAACAGAGGGTAAAAACGGCAAGTGAAAAGCAGCTCAGCAAGAATAGAAACTGTGGCCGGGCACGGCCTGGCGTGGTGGCTCACGCCTGTAATCCTAGCACTTTGGGAGGCCGAGGTGGGCAGATCACGAGGTCAGGAGATCGAGACCATCCTGTCTAATATGGTGAAACCCCATCTCTAATAAAAATACAAAAAAAATTAGCTGGATGTGGTGGCGGGCGCCTGTAGTCCCAGCTACTCGGGAAGCTGAGGCAGGAGAATGGCATGAACCCGGGAGGCGGAGTTTGCAGTGAACCGAGGTGGTGCCACTGCATTCGAACCTGGGTGACAGAGCGAGACTCCGTCTCAAAAAAAAAAAAAAAAAAAATAGAAACAGCTAGAAGCAGCTCTGGAAAAAGGAACAAACCAGCTCTGCTCTTTCTTTTTTTTTGAGATGGAGCCTGGCTCTGTGGCCCAGGCTGAAGTGCAGTGGCACAATCTTGGCTCACTGCAAGCTGCGCCTCCTGGGTTCACGCCATTCTCCTGCCTCAGCCTCCTGAGTAGCTGGGACTACAGGCATCTGCCACCACGCGTGGCTAATTTTTTTTTTATTTTTAGTCGAGACAGGGTTTCACCATGTTAGCCAGGATGGTCTCGATCTCCTGACCTTGTGATCCGCCTGCCTCGGCCTCCCAAAGTGCTGGGATTACAGGCGTGATCCACTGCTACCGGCCTGCGCTTTCCCAGAGAGCCCAGGGAGTCAGAAAAGATAAGGATTTCTCAAGGTGGCTTGGAAAATGTGTGTAGTCTGGGGACAATGAGGTTCCATGTCTTTTAAAATTTTTTAAATTTTATTTCTTTTTAGAGACAGTCTTGCTCTGTCACCCAGGCTGGAATGCAGTGGTGCCATCATAGCTCACTGCAGCCTCAAACTCCTAGGCTCAAGGGATCCTCCTCCCCAAGCCTCTGGAATAGCTGGGACTACAAGTGTGCACCACCATGCCTGGCTAACATTTTAATTTTTTGTAGAGATAATGTCTTGCCATGTTGCCCAGGCTGGTCTCAAACTCTTGGCCTCAAGCAGTCCTCCTACTTTAGCCTCCCCAAGTGCTGGGATTACAGATGTGAGCCACTGCGCATGGCCTAGGCTCCAGGTCTTAATAAGAATTTTAAGTAGAATTTAAGCTAGGACTCTTGGGTTCTAATCTCGGCATCAAAGAAACACAGTTCAGCAATAACAATGTGAATTTTCAACCTGGACAACATAGAGAAACCATTGTCTCTACAAAAAATTAGAAAATTAGGGCCAGGTGTGGTGGCTCACACCTGTAATCTCAGCACTTCAGGAGGCCAAAGCGGGAGGATCTCTTGAGGTCAGGAGTTCAAGGCCAGCCTGGCCAACACGGTGAAACCCCGTCTCTACTAACAATACAAAAAAATTAGGCACAGTGGCACATACCTGTAGTCCTAGCTACTTGGGAGGCTGAGGCAGGAGAATCTCTTGGACCCAGGAGGCAGAGGTTGCAGTGAGCCAAGATGTGCACTCTAGCATTACAGCCTGGGTGACAGAAGGAGACTCTGTCTTAAAAAAAAAAAAAAAAAAAAATTAGCCAGGCTTGGTGGCATCTGCCTGCGGTCCCAGCTATGGGGGAGGCTTAGGTGAAGGATTGCTTGAGCCCAGGAGGTCAAGGCTATAGTGAGCCATGATCACAATGCTGCACTCTAGCCTGGGGAACAGAACAAGACCCTATCTCAAAAAAAGAAAAAATAAAGGTAAACGTAAATTTTAAGCACTTCATTTTTTATTCAGTTAAAACACACACACACATACACACACACACACACCAAGGAGAGAAGTACATAATTAATGCAAAACAAAAATCTTAAAAATCTAGCTGGTATGGTAGCATGTACCTGTAGTCCCAGCTACTCAGGAGGCTGAGTGGGGAGGATCACCTGAGCCCAGGAGTTCAAGGCTGCAGTGAGCTGTGATCCTGCCAATCCGCTCCAGCCTGGGTGACAGAGTGAGACCCTGTCTCAAAAAATAAAAAAAAATCTTTAAAATCTCTTCTCTCCACATGGATGACAGCTATTCTCACAAATTTCCTCTCTCTCACTCCCTTTACTCCTAACCACCCCAAACTCTATTGTGAGAAGACACCTGGACTGTACTGAACATAGTAACTGAGAGCCCCAGCTGTTGCTCTGAAATTCACTGCTGAAATTTGCACTGAGGTTACACCTTCCACGGGCTGCTCCCAGCATAGCTGCGGCAAAAATACTTTGGCTCCTGTACTCCCCAACAACCTTGCTGAACTTTCCTTAAAACTGCACGGTATTCTGAGAAGCTCCCACCCACCTTCCTTCCTTCCCTCTCTTCCTGACTGGAGGTCAGATTTGCATTGCAATCTCATGGGCCTCCCAGCTTCTCCCACTGTCTCCCCACTTTTTCTCACAGGTGGTTCCTCTAACTGATTTCTTTCTTTCTTTCTTTCTTTTGAGATGGAGTCTTGCTCTGTCGCCCAGGCTGGAGTGCAGTGGCGTGATCTCGGTTCACTGCAAACTCCACCTCTCAGGTTCAAGTGATTGTCCTGCCTCAGTCTCCCGAGTAGCTGGGATTATAGGCGTGCGCCACCATGCCTGGCTAATTTTTCTTTTTAGTAGAGATGGGGTTTCACCATCTTGGCCAGGCTGGTCTTGAACTCCTGACCTCAGGTGATCCCCCTGCCTTGGCCTCTCAAAGTGCTGGGATTACAGGAGTGAACCACTGCACCTGGCCCCCTTAATTGATTTCTTGCATGTTAATTCCCCTCTTGGCAATTGCTTCTCTGAAGACCCAGACTAAATTGTGACCTCTTCCATTTCCTCCTTCCTACCATTGCACTCATCTTTGCTGAAAGTTGTAACTGACTGGCCTAGAATGGCCAGAAAATGTTGGCACCTCACTGTCCCCCATCCATCCTCACTCCTTGTGGAAGGAAGTGAACAAATACTCTGAAATGTATCACTGTCCTTCACTTTAAGGAGAACTCATGAAAATTTCTGGTAAATAAGACTATCTCAGGATACTACTGGTAATCTATTAGGTAACACTTAAAGAGTACTTCACATTTGCTAGGCATTATGTTAGCTGCTTACATTTAAACCTTATAACTTGGCCAGGTATGGTGGCTCACATCTGTAATCCCAGCACTTTGGGAGGCTGAGGCAGGCGGATCACTTGAGATCAGGAGTTCAAGGCAAGCCTGGCCAACATGGTAAAACTCCATCTCTACCAAAAAATACAAAAAAATTAGCCGGGCGTGGTGGCACACGCCTGTAATCCCAGCTACTTGGGAGGCTGAGGCAGGAGAATCGCTTTAACCTGGGATGGGGAGGTTGCAGTGAGCCAAGATTGAGCCACTGCACTCCAGCCTGAGTGACAGAGCAAGACCCTGTCTCAAAAATAAATAAATAAATAAATAAAAATAAACCTTACAACTCTGAGGTAGAACTATTATTATTCCAATTTTACAGAAGAGGAAACTGAGGCCAAGTTGTCCAAGTCACACAGAGGTAACTGGCAGAGTTGGAACTAACCTCAGGACAGTCTAACACCAATGACTGGGCTCTTGTTATTATGTCATGGGTAACAAACTCAGAACACAAGGGTTTCACAGATCACCCCCTCTCCACTTTTACAGAGGAAACTGAGATCCTTAGGTGAATGACCCTGTGTTATCCAGGAAGTCAGGGCAGAAGCAAGATTTGTACCCAGGTGTTGACTCCAAATTTTCAGCTCTACTGTCTCAGAAAGTGAGAAAACTAAAAGATCAGGGTGACTCCTGTCTCACAATGGAGAAAAAAACTCAAACACAGCCACCAGCGGGGGGACTAAGGACAGGAAAGCAGCCTGGAGCATAGTGGTATTAAAGGGCAATTACTGGATAATTGCCTCCTACCTCCAACTTCCTCCTACCCCCACCCACCTGCCCCAAGCTGGAGCTTGCATGTGAGGTCTGAGGAATAACATTACAGATCTATAGAACTATGGAGTGCCCATAGGCAGGGCATTAGGACAGTGAGAAAGAAGTGGAGGGAGAGAGGACTAGCTGGAGGAAGCAGTTAGGTTCAGTGAGCCTCCCTGTGTTGGGTTTTCTACTAAGCACTGGTTATCTAAAGTTAAATAAGAAAAACTTCCTTGCTTCTGAGGATCAGGATAGACTGCATGGAGGAGATGATACCTGAGCAGGTTTCAGAGCCTGAAAAGACATAGAGGAGGGGGCGAAAACCTCTGGACTCACATGCAATTGCCTATTTGCTAGCTCGATTCAATTTCACAAATACATTCTAAAGGCCTTCTCTGCGTTGGGCCTTGTTCCAGGTGCTGGGACCACAGTGGTGAGCAAATCAGCTGCAGTCCCTGACCTTTGGCTGGAGAGTCTGTCTAGGAAGACAGCTAAACAATCTTAACACAGTGTGAGATGTGCTTTATGTAAGGAACCTACAAGGCACTGTGGGACAAGGGAGTCCAACTGCCCCCAGGCCAAAAGCAAGTCCCAATTTCTGAACATGAAAAAACTCTTCACAATCTAATGCCATTCTCACTTTCCAGTCTCATTTACCACCATTTCCCCAAAAGCTGGGAACACAACAAAGTATGTGTGTGTGTCTGTGTATGTGAATCTGAACATGCCAGGCCTTTGCTCACACTGCTTCTGTTCCCTGGCATATGGATGCTTTCTTGGAGAAACTCTCCTCAACACACTCAGCCTTACTCAAATTCTCTCTTGTGCTCCCAAGGCAATCTGCCTCTCTAGGTTGTCCATCTGCCTCTCTAGGTTGGTAAAGTCTTTAAAGCAAGGACCCAAATGCAAGGTCAAGAGTACCCATTACGGAGTTATACAGATACAGGTGGGCTTTGCCTAGCCAAGAGGCTTTGGCCTCTAAGCTGCCCTCTCTATCTAGATGAACTGTTACTACTCCAGGAAATGCAATCAGTACTGATGTTTAGTTCTTGGCACATGGTAGGTGCTCAAAAATGTTTTCTGAGTTGAATTGCATTAACATTAAGGTCATAGGTCAGAATTTGTACTTTATGAAGGCCCTGGCTATGAGCTGGATCTGGGAAGGGCTCATGATCAACTTTAGCAGTTTTCTGTGGCTAAAAATGAGAAATATAAACCATGTTCTTTGTCTTGAAGACCTGCCTGTTAGTGGGAGAAACAGATGGTCAAGCTCTCAACAGTACAATTCCAAATTCCTAGAGCAGTGGTTCTTAAACTTTAGCAAGCAGATCAGAATCACCTAAAGGTCATCTGCTAAAACAGATGGCTGGCCCCAGCCCCAGAGTTTCTGATTTAAAGGTCTGGAGTAAGTTCTGAGAATTCGAGCTTGCATTTCCAACTCACTCCCAGGTGATACTGAAGTTGCTGGATTGACAAGATTCCCTCCTTGATCAAACATTGGTCAGGCTCTTCTGAGCTCTCTCTTTGACTAGGCCTGAGTGTGGGCTCCCATGTCATTCCTTGTGGAATTCCATTTTAGCAAGAAACTTGCCAAGTCAGTTTAGCCAGAATCCTCCATTCTTGATATCTGATTACTCTCCATATCTGGTTTTGACCCATACCGCCACCATCCCCCAGGTGATGTTCAGTTACCCTGACCTGCCTTGGGCAGGAATCCTGTTAGGTCAATTTAGCCAGATTCCCCGCCAATGTTTCCTCTTAGTAATTTTCCATCCACTGACTTCCACACACTGCCCCTTAGCTATAAATTACCACTTTGCTATATTCAGCCCAATCGCTCTGACTTATGGCAAAACTCTATCCCTACCTCTGTCAGATTGGGCCTGAATAAAGTTTGCCTTACCATTCTTAAACATGAATAATTAAGTGTCATGAATAGTTTTTTCTTTAATGGGATCCATACTTTGAGAACTACTGATTAGAGGTTAAGGGTCCTGTGCTCATTATCTGGCACATATTAATGATAGGTCTCTGAGTTTGAATCCTGGCCAACCACATTGTCAGTCTTGGCTTTTTTTTTTTTTTTTTTTTGAGACAGGGTTTTGCCCAGGCTGGAGTGCAGTGATGCAATCACGGCTCACTGCAGCCTCGACTTCCTGGGCCAAGCCATCCTGCCGCCTTAGCCTCCCGAGTAGCTGGGGTCACAGGTGCAAGCCGCCATGCCCAGCTAATTTTTAATTTTTTTGTAGAGGTGGGGTCTTACTATATTGCTCAGGCTGGTCTTGGGCTCCTGGGCTCACCTACCTCGGCCTCAGTCTTGCCTCTTGATCAAATCACTCATCTCTCTGTGCTTGATTTACCTCATCTGTGAAATCCAGATAGTAAGCTAGTGCATGGTAAGTGCAAAAAGCAACACCTGGCACAATGCTTAATAAATGTTGGTTAAATCTTATAATCATTTTCTGTAGGAAGTGGGACGACAAAGTTAAGGGTCTAGGTGGTCAGAGAAGAGCAAGGACTATGTCCCTTTTTTGTGCAGCCAGGCAGGCCCTGTACTTTTTCTCTGCGCGACCCTCCTCGGGCAGCACCGGGTCTCGAACTCTCACGCCTTACTCCCAAGCAGGTTCTGTAGTCCAGCCCCCGCGGCTCCCTACAGCCAGCCGATGCTGCGCAAGCGCCGTACCCACGCTTTAGCACATGCGTACTCAGGTGCGCCGGTAGGGGACGCGCCGGCACAGCAAAAATGGCGGCGGCATTACGGGTGGCGGCGGTCGGGGCAAGGCTCAGCGTTCTGGCGAGCGGTCTCCGCGCCGCGGTCCGCAGCCTTTGCAGCCAGGCCACCTCTGTTAACGAACGCATCGAAAACAAGCGCCGGACCGCGCTGCTGGGAGGGGGCCAACGCCGTATTGACGCGCAGCACAAGCGAGTGAGTCCTGAGGGGCCTAAGTGAGTCCCGCCCCTGGCGTCCGCGACCTATCACTGCGTGCCCGGCTTGCGGCGTCCGAGGCCTCCCTGCCAATCCGCACGGTGCCTGGAGGGGCCGGAGCAAGGGTGTTCACCTTGAAAACCTGTAGCGTTTCTCGTGGAGGCGGGTATAACCAGCAGAAGCACCTGTGTGCTTTTTCATACTGTTTAACCCTTGGGATTTAGACGGATCTGGCTCGTCTCTAGCCAGCTCAACACTTAACATAAGCTTTTGGGCAACTTATTAAATCTCTGTGGGTCATTTTAATAATAATTCTTCCTTCACAAGTGTATCGTTAGACCATAGATAGCAAAATGATAGGCGCTCAGTAAAAACCATGTGCTTATTCTCGTGCCCCATGAAAGAGTGATGGTAGGTTCTTTCTCCTTTGTGGAAGCAGGAAAACTGAACTTGGGCATACTCCACTAACATGAAATGGGGGATGTGCGCGTGCAGGAACTTGTGGAACTTCTGCCCGCAGAATGCCTGGTCGAGCTCTTTAGGGCCTTAGCATGCCTCGCCTTGATGGGTAGCAAAGGCACGTGTCGGAAGCAGGTGGCCTTTCTGGGAGTGCGCAGGCTACTCTCGATGTTTGGCTGGACTGAGCAGTTGAAACACTGCCACCCACCGCCTGGGTTTTGAGGCGAGAATCCAGCTGGCCTTCAGAGATAAGCTGGGCGGCCCATTTTGGAGAGGTGATCCCTGACTTGAAACCAGGCTTGCCCAGTGTGTCCGTGACTGGTGGGTGAGTCTGGACCGTTGTGCTGAACGAATTAACCAACGGGAAGGTGCAGAAGTGAAACTCTTACAGATGAAGAGTATTCAGGCACAACTCACAACCATGAGGGAGGCACTGGGGGAGGGATGGGGTCTTAAAGTGAGGAGATTTGAACAGCTCTATATTTGTCTAATATTGATTCAGATGTCATAAATTCGCATTTGACAAGGGTCCAAAGGTAACAGTTCCTTTTGACACTTGAGAGTGAAATGTAAATTTAGTGATGGTTTGTGGTGCTAGGAGTGCTTTCTCTCCCCTGGGGCTACTTCTAACCTACTCTGTTAGGGCTGAGGGAGATGTTAGATCATCCTCTGGAAAGGCCTGTCAGTGCTCCTGTACACTCTTTCTGTTGGGGCCTATTGCTCAATTCTTCCCTGGAACATCGCCTAGCCCTTTCCCAGGTAGATCCTACTAGGTTTAGATGAAGCCTCCAGAAGCTGTTTTTCTTTTGCCAAAGTTAACTTAGGAGGCTGATTTAATATGAACCCCCTCCTGCACCCCTTTTTATTTTTATGTTTTGATACGGAGTTTTGCTCTTGTTGCCCAGGCTGGAGTGCCATGGTGCGATCTTGGCTCATTGCAACCTCTGCCTCCCAGGTTCAAGCTATTCTCCTGCCTCAGCCTCCCAAGTAGCTGGGATTACAGGTGCCCACGACCATGCCTGGCAACTTTTTTTTTGTATTTTTAGCAGAGACAGGGTTTCACCATGTTGGCCAGGCCGGTCTTGTACGCCTGACCTCAAGTGATTCACCCACCTTGGCGTCCCAAAGTGTTGGGATTATGGGTGTGAGCCACTGCACCCGGCCCTGCACCCCTTTTAAAACAATTTTTGACCATTTCCGTAGATTTTCCCAGAAGAGGAATTAGTGGGTCAAAGGGTGTAAGTTTATTTATTTTTTTTGAGACAGAGTTCACTCTGTTGCCCAGGCTAGAGTGCAGCAGCTCACTGCAACTTCTGCTTCCCAGCTTCAAGCAATTCTCCTGCCTCAGCCTCCAGAGTACCTGGGGTTACAGGTATGTGTCACCACATCTGGCTAATTTTTGTATTTTTAGTAGAGATGGAGTTTCACCATGTTGGCCAGGCTGGTCTTGAACTCCTGACCTCAGGTGATCCACCCGCGTCTGCCTCCCAAAGTGCTGGGATGACAGAATTTTTTTTTTTTTTTCCTTGAGACAGGGTCTTACTCTGTCACCCAGGCTGGAGGGCAGTGGTGTAATCATGGCTCACTGCATCCTTGACCTTCTGGGCTCCAGTGATCCTTCCACTTCAGCCTCCTACCCAGCTAATTTTTTTTTTTTTTTTTTTTTGGTAGAGACAGGGTCTCGCTTTGTTGCCCAGGCTGGTCTCAACTCCTGGGCTCAAGCAGTCCTCCCACCTTGGCCTTCCAAAGTGCTGGGATTACAGGTGTGAGCCGCAGTGCCTGGTCAGTATAAATATATTTTAAAAATCTGTATATATGTTGCCAAATTGGTTTCCTGAAAACTTACTCTACTTTACATGACAGTGTATAGGATTGCCTGTTTTTTGTTTTGTTTTTTTTTTTTTAAATGCAACCTCACCAGCTTTGGCTACTTTCCTAAGGGGAAAATAATAGCCAATTTGAGGTATTTTTTGTTTGTTTTTGTTTTTTTCGGGGAGGGGGGGATAGGACAGTAGGCTAGGGTATTTGCCTCGGGTTGAGAGCTTGGGAGTCCAAGCAATGGAGGTTTTTTTTTTTTTTTTTTTTTTTTTAAGATAGAGTCTTGCTCTGTCACCCAGGCTGGAGTGCAGTGGCGCGGTCTTGGCTCACTGCAAGCTCCGCCTCCCGGGTTCATGCCGTTCTCCTGCCTCAGCCTCCTGAGTAGCTGGGACTACGGGTGCCCACCACCACACCTGGCTATAATTTTGGAGTTTTAGTATAGACGGGGTTTCACCATGTTAGCCAGGATGGTCTCGATCTCCTGACCTCGTGATCCGTCTGCCTCGGCCTCCCAAAGTGTTGGGATTACAGGCGTGAGCCACTGCACATGGCCTCTTTTTTTTTCTTAAGACAGGGTCTCACCTTGTTGCTCAGGCTGGAGTGCGGTGGAGTGATCGTGGCTCACTACAACCTCTGCTTCCCAGGTTCAAGTGATTCTCCTGCGTTAGCCTCTTGAGTAGCTGGGATTTAAGGCACGTGCCACCACACCTGGCTAATTTTTGTATTTTTAGTAGAGACGGGGTTTCACCATGTTGAGCAGGCTGGTCTCTAACTTTTGACCTCAGGTGATCCTCCCATCTCGGCCTCCCAAAGTGCTGGGATGACAGAATTTTTTTTTTTTTTTTTTTTTCTTGAGACAGGGTCTTACTCTGTCACCCAGGCTGGAGGGCAGTGGTGTAATCATGGCTTAGTGCATCCTCGACCTCTGGGCTCCAGTGATCCTCCCACTTCAGCCTCCTACCCTGCTAGTTATTTTATTTTATTTTATTTTTTGGTAGAGACAGAGTCTCGCTTTGTTGCCCAGGCTGGTCTCAACTCCTGGGCTCAAGCAGTCCTCCCACCTTGGCCTTCCAAAGTGCTGGGATTACAGGTGTGAGCTGCAGTGCCTGGTCAGTATAAATATATTTTAAAAATCTGTATATATGTTGCCAAGTTGGTTTCCTAAAAACTTATTCTACTTTACGTGACAGTGTATAGGATTGCCTGATTTTTGTTTGTTATTTTAAACACAACCTCACCAGCTTTGGCTACTTTCCTAAGGGGGAAATAATAGCCAATTTGAGGTATGTGGTTTTTTTTGTTGTTGTTGGGGAAGGGGACGGTAGGCTAGGGTATTTGCTTGGGGCTGAGAGCTTGGGAGCCCAAGCAATGGCGGCTTTTTTTTGTTTGTTTTTGTTTTTTGAGACAGTGTCTCACCCTGTCACCCAGGCTGGAGTACAGTGGTGCGATCTTGGCTCACTGCAACCCCTGCCCCCTGGGTTCAAGCGATTCTCTTGCCTCAGCCTCCCGAGTAGCTGGGACTACAGGTGGGTGCTACCAAGCCCAGCTAATTTTTTTTGTATTTTTAGTAGAGATAGGGTTTCGCCGTGTTAGCCAGGATGGTCTCGATCTCCTGACCTCATGATCCGCCTGCCTTGGCCTCCCAAAGTGCTGGGATTACAGGTGTGAGCCACTGCGGCTAGCTTTTTTTTTTTTTTTTTTTTTTTTTTTTTTAAAAGACAGGTTCTCGCTTTGTTGCTCAGGCTGGAGCACGGTGGAGTGATCACAGCTCACCACAACCTCCGCTTCCCAGGTTCAAGTGATTCTCCTGCCTCAGCCTCTTGAGTAGCTGGGATTACAGGCACGTGCCACCACTCCCAGCTAATTTTTGTATTTTTCAGTAGAGACCAGGTTTTGCCATGTTGTCCAGCTGGTCTCAAACTCCTGGGCTCAAGCGATGCTCGTCTCAGCCTCCCAAAGTGCTGGGATTACAGGTGTGAGCCACTGTGCCCAGCCGAGGCTCCTGGTAGATTGAGAGCTCTGACCTCATCTCCTCAAAGAAGCTTTTTTTTTTTTTTGGGACGGAGTTTCACTTTGTTGCCCAGGCTGGAGTGCAATGGTGCACAATCTCGGCTCACTGCAAGCTCTGCCTCCTGGGTTCAAGCGATTCTTCTGCCTCAGCCTCCTGAGTAGCTGGGAAGACAGGCGCATGCCACCACACCCGGCTTATTTTGTATCTTTAATAGAGATGGGGTTTCTCCATGTTGGTCAGGCTGGTCTCGATCTCCTGACCTTGTGATCCACCCGCCTCTGCCTCTCAAAGTGCTGGGATTACAGGCGTGAACCACCGTGCCCGGCCCAAAGAAGCATTTTTAAACTCTTCTCAAGTGAGCTCTTTAGCATTTTGTGTCCCACTCCCCTTCTACTCAGCCACTCCCTGCTGTGGGGTCATCTCTGTGTCACAGTGTCACTGTCAGGTGTGGGGTCCCTAAACAGGGGATAGGATAGTAGGAGAAGGAGAAGCCCACAGAGGAGGCAGGAGAAGAACCAGGAAGTAGCGTGTCCTTGAGGTGGGAGCTGGGAGCAGTAGGGACCCTCGTGAGGTGAGGTGTGCTTCTGTAGGTCTCCCTAGAAAAAACCTGTGTCAGATCCTTCACTAAGCCTGCTTTAGTTTCCACCACCTGCTTCTGCATTCTTTTTATGGCTCCTTAGGTCTCCAGTAAGTATTTGTGGAACTAATTAATTGTGTTCCAGGGTCAGGTTCTCCTTATCCCCACTTCTCTCTACCTTTTCCTCGTCCTATTTCCTTATTCATCTTCCACAGTTGGGTGGCTTCTGGCGCACACTGTCTGTCCTGATTTCCATGTCATCTAAAGTCTACTAATAACACCTATCTGCCTTGGGCAGGTTGGATAGAATGAAAGTACTTGCATTGAGATCAACGGGCAAATCTGCCCTTCAAGCCCTCCCATGAACAGCCCTTGCTTTGCTTACTAAATTGTCTGTGATGACATCACTGAGTGATCTTTGTTCCATTGTAGGGAAAGCTAACAGCCAGGGAGAGGATCAGTCTCTTGCTGGACCCTGGCAGCTTTGTTGAGAGCGACATGTTTGTGGAACACAGATGTGCAGATTTTGGAATGGCTGCTGATAAGAATAAGGTATTTGTTCAAATGGTGGTGTGAACACTTTTTAGGTGTGGCTCAGCTGGCCTACCCACTAGAATAATAATAAATCTATAAGGCTTTTATCTGAAGTCCTCTGCAGAGGCACTGCAGACATCAAGCCCAGATAATTTTTGTATTTTTAGTAGAGATGGGCTTTCGCCATGTTGGTCAGGCTGGCCTTGAACTCCTGGCTTCAAGCAATCCACCCACCTCGGACTCCCAAAGTGTTGGGACTACAGGCGTGAGCGACCGTACCCTGCCTTGTGTTTCTTTATACGTCCTCCTTCATGTAAGCATAGAGAAGTGGTGGCCCTGGGTCTTGATTGTTTTGCTTTTAGGAGGGTACATAAGGCCTAAGATGACAGTGCCATTCACTCCTATTGATGAAGTAGTAGCCCTGTGCTTGCTGTTGTAGAGCTGGGAAAGTGGGGTGGGATTCCTTCATGTTCCTTGTTCATATTGACGTTTTAGGAATTTGGGTTTTGTTTTTGTCTTTCATTGAGGCATAGTGGCCAAACTCATTAGAAGAAGTATTTGGATTTTTTAACCTTTATTTTTGCATTTTTCTGGTAGTTTCCTGGAGACAGCGTGGTCACTGGACGAGGCCGAATCAATGGAAGATTGGTTTATGTCTTCAGTCAGGTATTTCATAACTCCAATAGTCTGAACTTTTCTTGGAGGGCAGAGCCAAGAGGAAAATATGTGAAAGAAGCCAATCTTGGGGAATGAAAACTTGCTTGTAGTTTGGGGAAAATGAGGGATTTGCTTTGCTTTTCAGTGCGTGTTTCCAGAATATTGTGTGTTTTTTACTTAGGAAGAGTCCTTAGTCTGTTTTGGGGGGGATCACAGGGCACTAGCCTTGTACAAAGGTATCCCAAGAACCAGGAATTTATTCCAAGTGAATGAGATTCCTCTTAGCTGGGTTGGGTGTGTGCCTGTAGGGCATCTGTGTCCTGGGCAGTGTATGTGGACTAGAGAGAGTGCAGTGGGTGCAGCCTCGCAAAGGGGACTTGACTCTCAGAACCAGAGTCCCCCTGAGCTTTGGGCTTTCATGAATATGTTCAGAAAATTTTATCAGGGTGCATCAAGACAGATACAGTTTGTTCACACACATAGCCAAAGCTATCAATATGTTATTTTACACGCAAAAGGGAATGAAGGTTGTTAATCAGCTGGCCTTGCAATAGGGAGAGTAGCCTGATTTATCCAGGTGGGCCCAATATAATCACAGGGTCCTTAAAAGTGGAAGAGGGAGGTAGAAGAGGAGCTTATAAGGATGTGATATGAGAAGGACATGATCTGCAGTACCTGGCTTTGAAGATGGGAGAAGGGGACCATCAGCAAAGGAGTGCCCATGGTCTCTAGGAGCTGGTAAAGGCAAGAAAACACATTTTCCCCTGGAGCCTCCAGAAGGGAGCACAGTCCTGCCAACCTTAATTTTAGCCCAGTCAATCCTGTGTAGCGCTTCTAAATTATAGAACTATAAGATAATACATTTGTGTTGTTTCAAGGCACTGAATTTATATTAATTTGTTATAGCGGTAATAGAAAACTAACACAGAATATGTTGTGTACTATTTTGGATTTGACTTTTTTCTCTCCAGAGGTGGAAATATGTATATAATTTAAAATGCTTAGGTCTTTTTACAGACCTAAAGTTTGATATTAAAATTGGCTAGGCGTGGTGGCTCATGCCTGTAGTCCCAGTACTTTGGGAGGCTGAGATGGGTGGATCACCTGAGGTCAGGAGTTTGAGACCAGCTGGCCAACATGGCGAAACTCCATCTCTACTAAAAACACAAAAATTAGCTGGGTGTTGTGGGTGCCTGTAATCCCAGCTACTTGGGAGGCTGAGGCAGGAGAATCGCTTGAACCTGGGAGGCGGAGGTTGCAGTGAGCCGAGTTTGCGCCACTGCACTCGAGCCTGGGTGGCAGAGTGAGACTCCATCTCAAACAAAAAAATAATAAAATAGTTATACTTGGTTAATTTAAAATCTGTCGTAGTTAGTATGCATTTACCAATTAAATTACCTTTGAAATGTTTTAAAACTGTTATAAATTGGTCTACCAAATGCCGAAATAGAAGGAATCACATTTGTTTTGTGCAATTTATGAGAGCTGAGAAAAACTTGTACAGAAGGAACCATTGAAAAGAGAGATAGAACAAAGATGTTTTCTGGACATGATGTTCACTCACCACTATTAAGCAGATGGAAGAATTCACTGAATTGATACTTTTGACCACCTCTTATGCTCATGTGGTAGGGTGGGAGTGAGGAGAAGGTGGAGATGACTGAGACAAGAGTTCCCACCCTGAAGAAGCGAATCATTTTATAGGCAGAATGGCACAGAACGGATGTAACTACAGAGCACATGGAGTGAGAGGTTCCAGGCAAATGCTGTAGACCCAAGACAAGGGAAAATCACATCCAGGGTTGAGGAAAGCTTTAGGAACAATGGGGCAATTGAGACAGGCCCTGAAGGATACTGAGGGTAGGGAGTGATGAGCTAGTGTTTTTTAATAGTGATCTCCAAGATGTTAATATCTTAGGTGCTTTTTCTGGGGAGCTTCTGTTCTTCTGGGGAGCCTCCTCAGTCCCTTGCCTGATAATTGGCTGTTGGTGTATTCTGAGGGGGAGAGAAAAAAAGGGGCCAGCACTCATTCAGTGTATAGGCTCCTAATCTTGCATGTTTTCAGCCTCACCTTTTCCTCTTTTAGGCTAGCGATTGTGAGTTTAGAACCCTTCTGGTTAATTTCCTTTAGAGAACAAACATTCTCTGTCCTCTCAAGGTGAAGGAGAGGCCCTGTGGGGTCTGACTGCTTCTAACAGAGACTTCTGTTAGTCTCTGTTTTCAGCCTCCTTCTCACCTCCACTTTCCATGGTTCCTGGGTTGTCTTCTCCTTGATTACCCCCACTGCAGGTGTGTAAGCTTCCATTCTCTCCCTCTAAATCAGGTATTTTCTTGTGCTTTCAGTTCCCCCCAAATTTGTTTAATCCTTCCTATGCTATTGTCTCCTTGTTCTTATTCTCACAGCTGATTCTGTTCTTAATTCCTAACTGTCTTTTTGAGGGGGTTTTAGGAGAGGTTATGCCCACAATAAGCCCTTTACATCTGAACATAATGAAGATCCATAAGCAGAAGAAGCAGTGAGAGCTCTGATTCTTGTTTTTTAACCTTTCTTTTTAAAACAGCAAATAATAGGCTGGGCACAGTGGCTCCCGCTTGTCATCTCAGCACTTTGGGAGGCCGAGGTGGGTAGATCACTTGAGGCCAGGAGTTTGAAACTGGCCTAGCCAACATGGCAAAACTGTCTCTAATAAAAATACAAAAATTAGCTGGGCCTGGTGGCACGTGCCTGTAATCCCAGCTACTCGGGAGGCTGAGGCAGGAGAATCACTTGAACCTGGGAGGCGGAGGATACAGTGAGCCAAGATTACGCCACTGCACTCCAGCCTGGGTGACAGAGCAAGACTTGGTCTCAAAATGATAAGTAAAATAAAACAGTAAATATTTCTTAAAAACAGAAGTGCTTGACTGTTTGATATCCATAGAATCTGATATTAGAGTTAATTCTGTGTGATAGGTTTTCCTTCAGAACTGCAAATCATTTCTTTTTTTTCCTTTCAAATCATTTTTGTAGAGCAAAGACTAGCTCTTTTGCTCTTGACAATTCATGAACTTCCTTTAAGATATTTTATTCTATGGAATAATCTATAAATCAGACTTCTTTTCTAATTTTTTAAACTTCTGAAAATGCTTTAAAAACTATATGTATGTATTTTTTTAAATACAGAGTCTCGCTCTGTCGCCCAGGCTGGAGTGCACTGGAGCAATCTCTGCCCACTGCAGCCTCCGCCTCTTGGATTCAAGTGATTCTCCTGCCTCAGCCTCCCGAGTAGCTGGGATTACAGGCACACACCACCACGCCCAGCTAATTTTTATATTTTAGTAGAGATGGGGTTTCACCATGTTGGCCAGGGTGGTCTGGAACTCTTGACCTCAAGTGATCCTCCTGCCTTGGCCTCTCAAAGTCTTGGGATTACAGGTGCGAGCCACCATGCCCGGGCAACTTTTTTTGTTTTGTTTTGTTTTGTTTTGTTTTGTTTTGAGACAGGGTCTTGCTCTGTTGCATAGGCTGGAATACAGTGGTGCTGTCTCAACTCACTGAAGCCTCTGTCTCCAGGGCTCAAGCAATCCTCCTGCCTCAGCCTCCCGAGTAGCTGGGATTCCAGGCATGTGCCACCATGCGCAGCTAACTTTTTTCTATATTTTTTGCAGATACGGGCTTCTGCCATGTCGCCCAGGCTGGTCTCAGACTCCTGGACTCAAGCCATCCACCTGCCTTGGCCTCCCAAAGTGTTGGGATTACAGGCATGAGCCACCACGCCTGGCCTAAAAACTTTTATCTGTGAATTTTCTATTTCTTCCTCCCACTGGGTTTTCATCTCTAGCCAGTCACTATATTTGACTTGCTGATTTGTATTTTCTTTTTAGGATTTTACAGTTTTTGGAGGCAGTCTGTCAGGAGCACATGCCCAAAAGATCTGCAAAGTAAGTGTTTAATACTCAAATTCAATCCATTGCTTTCCTCAGTTACATAGTGCTTATTGAGTATCTTTGGGGTACAAGACACTGAGCTAGGTACTTGGGGTAGGGCAGAGGTATGCAAGATGTGCTACCAACCCGAAGGGGTGCATAACAATTTTCGTACCATGGATCTCTTCCATGGGCTGGCAAAGCCTGAACCCTCCTGTTTTTACATGCCTAAAATAAAATTTGTAGGATTTTAAAGGATTAAAAATGTTTTTAAAAACCACATTTAGAATATACGTGCTCCCTTGTTAATGCATTTAATAACAAGATTTAGCAGTAGATCTAGTAACTACCGTAATTTCAAAGTAGTCAAAGGTGAAATATTTCAGGGTATCTGCAACAACTTTAATAGGACGTAAAAATATCTGTGGCTTCTAATAATGGCAAATCACAGATATTTCTAATACTGAGGCTCATTGCCTATATCAATAATGAAGAGAAATGTTAACGATCAGCTAGCGTTAGTAAAGATAAAGATGTAAATTTTTTCCTGTTCAAGTTCATGGACTCCCGTTCACAGATCTCTTGGGGTTCTGAGGATTTCAAGTGAAGAACCTCTTGTCTAGGTGGAAGGGCCAGGTGCTAGAAGGTAAAGAACAGTGCGAGCATTGTATGCTGATATTTAAAAACTACTGCTAGAGATTAGATGCTCTGGAGAGGAATAAAACTATAAATAATAGAGAATTTTGGAATTAAAGTTGGAGCTACTAGTAACTGGAACATCTGGATTATAGACATGGTCCTGTCATGTATTACTCCTGAGACCTTGGGCCAGTCACTTAACTTTTAAACCTTAATTTTTCTCATTTTACTCCCTCTGTTATGATGGGTAAATGAGGTAATGGAAGTGAAAGTACTTTTTAAACTGTCAAGGACTGTAGGAATATTGCTTATTATGCTGTCGGAATTACTAACCCATGAGGAAAATCTGTCACATTAGAAGTAAAAGCAGGCCCGGGCCTGCCCTCAGATTAACAGATGGGTCAACATCTGCTTTCATGAAAGTACTACTTTGCCATTCTGTCTACTGTAAGTTCTGTCAAAGCAGTACCTGGGAACAAAACTGGCTGCTGGAAGACGTTACAACGTGAGCCTGTGGTTCTAGAAATGGTTGCCATGAGTTGTTTTATCCCCTGCTAATGGGAAGTGCTTTGGCTCTTGGGTGTTTGGGGGCTTTAATCAGCCTATTAAATATCTGGTCCTTTGTCTTCCATGAAGGTACCCAATCGTGATGGGGAGTGAAACCAGTGTTACTGCCTCCTGTTTTGAAAAGTGCACTCAGAACGTTTTCCAGAAAACACTGTGGTATTTTGTGAATGTCGTTTTTTATATCAAGAACATTTGTCTCAATAAAAGATTTCTCTGCTGTCTCAGATCATGGACCAGGCCATAACGGTGGGGGCTCCAGTGATTGGGCTGAATGACTCTGGGGGAGCACGGATCCAAGAAGGAGTGGAGTCTTTGGCTGGCTATGCAGACATCTTTCTGGTGAGAAACCTGTTAATAGAGAATAAAAAAATACAGGGCTTAAGTTCTCTAAGCCATGGCCTGGCCAGAGCTTCTCCAACTCTCCTCATTGTTCTCTGCCGCATTGTGTCTGTTCTGTGGGTCCTTTCTGTGTCACTGGGGGTGGGATGAAGGGTAGATGAAAAGCAAGAGAGAGTGGGAAGAGAGGGTTTTCATTTTTTCTAACAGAGGGCCACTCACAGGGGAAATTACAGTTAAAGATCGTTCATAAGGGAAAAGCACTTGAAAATGTTTTTCTTTTTTTGAAAGCAAGGGAGAGGAAATATGAAAAGTTAAAATGAACTGATGTGCTTGAATTAGAAGTTTTAAAAAATGTAGCACCTTTTTTATTTTTTAGTTAAAACACTACAGGATTATTAAATAAAGTCCAAGCCACAGTGCAAAGAAGAATGAAATCACCCCAGATCCTACCATTCAGAAACATTTGGCGAACCTCATTACTGATATCTCTTTGCTTATTTACAGACTGAAATTATGAGAGAAAGAAATGAAAAGAAACATAAAATAATGTGTTATGTGAAGTATAAAGTATATTTGTGAGAGATACAGTAAGAGGCTGGGATGAGGGAGAGAGATACTGCAGACAGAAACTGGCAACATTTCCAGGGAGAAGAAAGGAAGGAGACAGGCAGACATTGTTTTTAATCAGGCCAGCCACTCTTATCATCCCTGCTCTGCAGGCTTACTTCTGTGGATGGCTTGGCCTAAGCAGTTTAGGCCTGGAAGTCATTCCTGTTTAGAAACAAAAGAGCGGCCCTCAGAGACGTGGTGATAAACCACCACATTTTAGAGCTTGACTGGATTTTAGAATATCATCTAGTTGAATACATCTTTATGGGTCTGGAGGAGGTTTTTTTTTTTTTTTTTTGAGACAGAGTCTGGCTCTGTCTCCCAGGTTGGAGTGCAGTGGCCCGATCTCGGCTCACTTCAACCTCTGCCTCCTGGGCTCAAGTGATTCTCCTGCCTCAGCCTCCCGAGTGGCTGGGACTATAGGCGTCTGCCACCACGCCCAGCTAATTTTTGTATTTTTAGTAGAGACGGGGTTTCACCATATTAGCCAGGTTGGTCTCGAACTCCTGACCTTGTGATCCGCCCACCTCGGCCTCCTAAAGTGCTGGGATTACAGGTGTGAGCCACCGCGCCCAGCTGGTTTTTTTTTTTTTTTTTAATATTTATTTATTTAGAGACAGTGTCTTGGTTGGCCAGGCTGGAATGCAGTGGCATGATCTCTGCTCACTGCAACCTCAGCCTCCTGGGCTCAAGCGATCATCCCACCTCAGTCTCCTGAATAGCTGGCACCACAGGCATGCACCACCACATCCGGTGAATTTTTTTTTGTATTTTTTTTATAGAGGCGGGGTTTTGCCATGCTGCGCAGGCTTATCTTGAACTTCTGGACTCAAGCGATTGGCCTGCGTTTGCCTCCCAAAGTGCTGGGATTACAGGAGTGAGTCACCACGCCTGGCTTTTAATTTTTGTTTTCAAGGGCTAGTCTTTACTTTCAGATCTTCATTGCTTAATTAATTGCTTACTAATGCTGCTTGTCATATTGATACCTCCACTCACTTATTCCTGCCTGTGTTATTTTTTGGTAACTTTTTATTTTGATAAAATTTCAAACTTCAGCCTGGGCACGGTGGCTCACACCTGCAGTCTCAGCACTTTGGGAGGCCAAGGCAGGTAGATCTCTTGACGTCAGGAGTTCAAGACCAGCCTGGCCAACATGGTGAAATCCTGTCTCTATTAAAAATACAAAAATTAGCTGGGCATGGTGGCACATGCCTGTAATCCCAACTACTCAGGAGGCTGAGGTGGGACAACTGCTTGAACCTGGGAGACAGAGGTTACAGTGAGCCAAGATTGTGCCATTGCACTCCAACCTGGGTGACAGAGCAAGACTCTGTCTCAAAAAAAAAAAAAAAATTCAAACTTCACAGAAAAATGACAAGAATAGTATGGGAACTCCTATATGTCCTTTTCCCAGATTCACCAGTTGTTTACATTTTCTCCATTTGTTCTGTTATTCTCTCTCCATATATACATATTTGCATGTTACATTTTTCTGAAATATTTGAGAATAAATTGGAGATACTATGTCTTCTTTACCTCCTAAGTTCTTCATTGGGTATTTCTAAAGAATAAAGATATTCTCTTAAATAACCAGAATACAGTAATAAAAATCAGGAAATTTAACATCGATTCATCGATGTTATTCTAATTCATTATCCTTATTCAGGACTTAAGTCCTTTATAGTGTGTGCTCTGGGCATGTGTGCACTTTCTATGTGCGCGCTCTCGCTCTTTCTGTCTCTGTCTCTCATATATATGTGTGTGTGTATATATGTATATATATATATGTTCCTCCTGGCCAGGATCCAATCCAGAATAAAGCATTGACTTTAGATGTTATCTCTTTTTAATCTTTTTTGATCTGGAGCAGTTCCTGTCTTTGTTCTCCATGATCTTGATATTTTAAAAAATAGCTTTGGCCAGGTGTGGTGGCTCACACCTATGATCCCAGCACTTTGGGAGGCCGAGGCAGGTGGATCACGAGGTCAGGAGATCAAGACCGTCCTGGCTAACACGGTGAAACCCCATCTCTACTAAAAAAAAACAAAAAATTAGCCAGGTGTGGTGGCGGGCGCCTGTAGTCCCAGCTACTTGGGAGGCTGAGGCAGGAGAACGGCATGAACCCGGGAGGCAGAGCTTGCAGTCAGCCAAGATTGCGCCACCGCGCTCTAGCCTGGGCGACAGAGCAAGACTCCGTCTCAAAAAAAAAAAAAAAAAAAAAGAGCTTAATGCTTAATAGGGCCGGGCACGGTGGCTCATGCCTGTGATCCCAGCACTTTGGGAGGCCGAGGTGGGTGGATCACTAGGTCAGGAGTTCAAGACCAGCCTGGCCAAGATGGTGAAACCCTGTCTCTACTAAAAATACAAAAATTAGGCGGGCGTGATGGCGAGCGCCTGTAATCCCAGCTACTCGGGAGGCTGAGGCAGGGAATTGCTCGAACCTGAGAGGTGGAGGTTGCAGTGAACTGAGATCATGCCACTGCACTCCAGCCTGGGTGACAGAGCGAGACTCCATCTCAAAAAAGAAAAGTAGCTTTATTGAGATATAATTTACAAACCATAAAATCCACCCATTGTGAAAATATAATTCAGTAATTTTAAATTAATTTTTAGAGTTGTACAGCCATAATCTAGTTTTCAAACCTGCCACTCACTCCAAAAATACCTTCTTGCCTGTTTGCAGTCAGTTCCCACCTAACCACAGTCAATTCCTCACCCAACTTTCTTATTTTACAAATTTTTCCATCTGACTCCTTTCACTAAGCACCATGTTTTTTGAGGTTCATTTATATTGTAATATGTATCAGTTTGTTCCTTTTTATTGGTGAATAATATCTATTGAATATTTTATGTATTTTCATCATTTACCAGTTGAAGGATATTTGGATTGTTTCTGGTTCCTGGCTATCATGAGTAAATGCTACTGTGAACATTTGTGTATTACTTTGTGTGGATATATGTTTTCATAACCCTTGGATAGATAGGTACCTAAGAGTGGGATTGTAGGTTTTATGATAAGCTTGTTTATAACTTTTTAAGAAATTGCCAGATGGTTTTCCAAAACAACTAAACCATTTACATTACCATGAGCAATGTGTTCAGGGTTGCAGGTTCTCCATATCTTTGTTGATACTTGGTATTGTCAGTCTTTTTTTGTTTTTTTTTTTTTGAGACAGAGTCTTGCCCTGTCGCCCAGGCTGGAGTGCAGTGGTGCGATCTCGGCTCACTGCAAGCTCCACCTCCTGGGTTCACGCCATTCTCCTGCCTGAGCCTCCCGAGTAGCTGGGACTACAGGCACCTGCCATCACGCCCGGCTAATTTTTTGTATTTTTAGTAGAGACTGGGTTTCACCATGTTAGCTAGGATGGTCTCGATCTCCTGACCTCGTGATCTGCCCACCTCAGCCTCCCAAAGTGCTGGGATTACAGGTGTGAGCCACCACCATGCCCAGCCTTGGTTTTTTTTTTTTTTTGAGATGGAGTCTCACTCTGTGGCCCAGGCTGGAGTGCTATGGTGCAGTCTGGGCTCACTGTAACCTCTGCCTCCCAGGTTCAAGTGATTGCCCTGCCTCTGCCTCCCGAGCAGCTGGGATTACAGGCATGTGCCACCATGGCTGGCTAATTTTGGTATTTTTAGTGGAGACAGGGTTTCACCATGTTGGCCAGGCTGGTCTTGAACTCCTGACTTCAAACGATCCATCTGCCTTGGCCTCCCAAAGTGCTGGGATTACAGGCGTGAGCCACCGCACCCAGCCAGTCTTTTTTTGAGACAGGGTCTCACTCTGTTGTTCAGGCTGGAGTACAGTGGCATGATCACAGCTCACTGCAGCCTCGACCTCCTGGGGTCAAGCGATCCTCCTGCCTCAACCTCCCAAAGTGTTGGAATTACAGGCGTGAGCCACTGTGCCTGGTCCAGTCTTTTTGACTATAGCCATTTTAGTGGTGTGTAATGGTATCTCACTGTAGTTCTAGTTTGCATTTCTCAGATGACTAATCATGTTGAGCATCTTTATGTACATATTAGTCATTTGTAAACCTTCTTTGCTGAAATGTCTATTCAGATCTTTTGTCCATCTCGTAATTGGGTTTTTGAGTTGTAAGAGTTCTTCATATATTCTGGATACAAGTCCTTTATCATATATATGATTTGTAAGTATTTTCTCCCAGTCTGTGGCTTGTCTTTTCTTTCTTAGTGGTAGCTTTATTTTTATTTTTATTTTTTATTTTTTGAGACAGCCTCACCCTGTCCTCCAGGCTGGAGTTCAGTGGTGTGATCTTAGCTCACTGCAACCTCCACTTCCTGGGTTCAAGTGATTCTCGTGCCTCAGTCACCCAAGTAGCTGGGATTACAGGTGCATGCCACCACGTCCAGCTAATTTCTTTGTATTTTTAGTAGAGATAGGGTTTCACCATGTTGCCCAGGCTGGTCTTGAACTCCTGAGCTCAGGTGATCTGCCTCCCTTGGCCTCTAAAAGTGCTGGGGTTACAGGCGTGAGCCAGCACACTCAGCCTATTTTTATTTTATTTTTTAGAGACAGGGTCTTGCTCTGTTGCCTGGGCTAGAGTGCGTTAGTGCAATCACAGCTCACTGCAGCCTTGAACTCTGGGCTCAAGCAATCCTCCTGCCTTAGCCTACGGAGTAGCTAGGACTATAGGCACACACTAGTACACCCAGCTAATTTTTGAAAAATTTCTTTTGTGTGTAGAGATGGGGTCTTACTACATTGCCCAGCCTGGTCTTGAACTCCTGGTCTCAAGCGATCTGCCTCGGCATCCCGAAGTGCAGGGATTACAAGCCACTGCCCCAAGCCTGTGGTGGCTTTTTTTTTGAGCTAGGGTCTCACTCTGTCACCCAGGCTGAAGTGTAGTGGTGTAATCATGGCTCACTGCAGCCTGGACTTCCCGGGGTCAGGCAGTCCTCCTGCCTCATCCTCCTGAGTAGCTGAGACCACAGGCACATGCTACCACATCTGGCAATTTTTTTTCATTATTTGTAGAGGTGAGGGTCCCACTATGTTGCCCAGGCTGTTCTCAAACTTCTGGACTTAAACTGTCCTCCTACCTCGGCTTCCTAGAGTGCTGGTGTTACTGGCATGAGCCGATGTGCCCAGCCTCTGGTGGCTTTTGAGGTGGAGAAGTTTTTAATTTTGAAGTCCAGTTTATCAAGTTTTCTTTTGTGGGTCATGCTTCTATTGTCATATGTAAAAACTTGTAATACAAAGTCATGAAGATTTTGTTTTCTTCATGGAGTTTTTTTTGTAGGTTTGGCTCTTTTTTTTTTTTTTTTTTTGAGATGGAGTTTCACTCTTGTCGCCCAGGATGGAGTGCAATGGCGCTATCTCAGGGATTATGGGTGCCTGCCACCAAACCTGGCTAGTGTGTGTGTGTGTGCGTGTGTGTGTGTGTGTGTGTAGATATATATATATATATATATATATATATATATATGTATATATATATATATATATCTACATACACAAGTACATATAAGAGAGCCCAGCCAGCTTTCTTATAGTAGGTCTGTGATCCATTTTGAGTTAATTTTTGTATATGGTGTGACAGAAGAGTCTAACATCACTCTTGTCTCCCACCATTAATTGACATAACTATTCTTTCCCCATTGAATTGTCTTGACACATTGATAAAAATATCAGTTGATCATAAATGTAAGGGTTTGTTTCTGAACTCTCAGTTCTTCCATTGTTCTATGTCTGTCCTTAAAATAGAACCACACTGTCTTGATTACTGTAGTTTATAGGAGTTTTGAAGTTGTGTAAAATCCTCCAACTTGGTTTTTTTTTTTTTTTTTAGATGTAGTCTCGCTTTGTAGCCCAGGCTGGAGCACAGTGGCATGATCTCAGCTCACTGCAACCTCCACCTCCTGGGTTCAAGCGATTCTCCTGCCTCAGCCTCCCGAGTAGCTGGGATTACAGTCACGTGCCAGCACACCTAGCTAATTTTTGTATTTTTAGTGGAGATAGGGTTTCACCATGTTAGTCAGGCTGGTCTTGAACACCTGATCTCAGGTGATCCACCCGCCTCGGCCTCTGAAAATGCTGGGATTACAAGCGTGAGCCACCGCACCCAGCCCGATCAGCTCTTAACTCTACAAAAATGCCTGCTGAGATTTGATAGGAACTGCATTGAGTCTGTAGATGAATTTGGTGAGAATTTACATCCTAACATATTGAGTCTTCCACTCCACGTAGATGGAATGTTTCTCTGTTTATGTAGCTCTATACTTTGTCTCAGCAATATTTTGTAATTTGCAGCATACCTGTCTTGCACTTCTTTTGTTAAACTTATACCTAAAATATTTCACTCTGGCCAGGTGCAGTGGCTCACGCCTGTAATCCTAGCACTTGGGGAGGCCAAGGCAGGGGGATCACCTGAGGTCACAAGTTCGAGACTAGCCTGGCTAACATAGTGAAACCCTGTCTCTACTAAAAATACAAAAATTAGCCAGGTGTTGTGGTGCATGCCTGTAATCCCAGCTACTCAGAAGGCTGAGGCAGGAGAATCGCTTGAATCCAGGAGGCGGAGGTTGCAGACTCCAGCCTGGGTGACAGAGCAAGACTCCGTCTCAAAACAAAACAAAATATTTTACTCTTTGTGATGCTATTTAGAATGGAATTATCTTGTTAATTTCCTATTTGGATTCTTTGCAAATGTATAGAGATACAATTGATTTTCATATGTTGATCTTGTATACTGCTTTGCTGAGGTTGTGTATTAGCTTGAATAGGGGGTGTGTGTGTATGTGTGTATTTCTTTGGATTTTCTATATACACAATCATGTCTTCTGCAAATAGAGGCAGTTTTACTTATTCCTTTCTAATCTGGATGCCTTTTATTTCTTTTTCTTGCTAATTGCTCTGCTTAGAACCTGTAGTACAGTGTTAAGTAGAAGTGGTAAGAGTGGACATCCTTGGCCGGGTGCGGTGGCTCACGCCTGTGATCCCAGCACTTTGGGAGGCCGAGGTGGGCATATCACGAGGTCAGGAGATAGAGACCATCCTGGCTAACACGGTGAAACCCTGTCTTTACTAAAAATACAAAAAAATTAGCCGGGTGTGGTGGCGGGTGCCTGTAGTCCCAGCTACTCGGGAGGCTGAGGCAGGAGAATGCCGTGAACCCGGGAGGCGGAGCCTGTAGTGAGCCGAGATCGTGCTACTGCACTCCAGCCTGGGTGACAGAGTGAGACTCTGTCTCAAAAAAAAAAAAAAAAAAAAAATAAGAGTGGACATCCTTGTCTTGTTCCTAATCTTAAGGAGAAAGCATTCATTCTTCACCATTAAGCATGATGTTAACTGGTGTGTGTTTTTTTTTTTTTTTTGGACATTCTCTTGAAGGTTGAGGAAGTTCCTTTCTACTTCTAATTTTTTGAGTGTTTTTATCATGAAGGGTATTTAATATTGTCAAATGCTTTTTTCTGCATCTGTGAGATAATCATGTGTTTTTTGTTCTTTATTCTAATGATATGGTATGTAACATTACTGGTTTTTAGAATGTTAAACCAACCTTGTATTTCTGTGATAAATCCTACTTGGTCATGGTATATCATCCTTTTTTGGAAGGTGCTGGGCTCTGCCAGTATTTCCTTGAGTACTTTTGAATCAATATTAGTAAGAAACATTGACCTACAGTTACCTTGTGATTTTTTCTTTTGGTTTTGGTATTACAGTAATTCTCACCTCATAGAATGAGTTGGAAGGGTTGCCTCTGTGAGGTAGGTTCCCTATGCACTGGTTATGAACTTTTCTGATTTCAGTAAGACAGAACACTCACACAAGTTACATGAAGTGCCCGGCCACATCTGTTGTTTTTTGACATTTTTTTTTTTCCCGCTGTAGGCAGAGTCTTGCTCTGTTTCTCAGGCTGGAGTACAATGGCGCGATCTCGGCTCACTGCAGTCTCCACCTTGTGGGTTAAAGCAGTTCTCCTGTCTCAGCCTCCCGAGTAGCTGGGACTACAGGCACACGCCACTACACCCATCTAATTTTTGTATTTGTAGTAGAGACAGGGTTTCACCATATTGGTCAGGCTGGTCTCAAACTCCTGGCCTCAGGTGATCCACCTGCCTTGGCCTCCCAAATTACTGGGATTACAGGCATGAGCCCCTGCGCCCGGCTGTTTTTTGACTTTTTAATTATGGCCGTTTTTGTAGGAGTAAGGTGGTATCTCATTGTGGTTTTCATTTGCATTTTCCTGATAGTGATGTGAGCATTTTGTTTCATGTTTGTTGGCCATTTGTATATCTTCTTTTGAGAAATGTCTATTCATGTCCTTTGCCTACTTTTTGATGGGATTATTTTTTCTTGCTGATTTGAGTTCCTTGTAGATTCTGCATACTGGTCCTTTGTCAGGTGCATAGTTTGCAAATATTTTCTCCAGCTCTGTGAGTTGGCTCTTTGCTGATTACTTCTTTTGCTGTGCAGAAGCTTTTTAGTTTAATTAGGTCCCATTTATTTTTGTTTTTGTTGCATTAGCTTTTGGGGTCTTAGTCATGGATTTTTTGCCTGGGCCAGTGTTCAGAAGAGTTTTTCCAATGTTGCAGAATTTTTATGGTTTCAGGTCTTAGATTTAAGTCTTGGAAGTCTGGTAATGTGATGCCTTCAGATTTGTTCTTTTTGCTTAGTATTGCTTTGGCTATCTGGACTCTTTTTTGGTTCCATATAAATTTTAGGATTGTATTTTCTAGTTCTGTGAAAAATGATGATGGTAATGGTAGTGTTTTGATGGGAATTGCATTGAATCTGTAGATTGCTTTGGGCCATATGATCGTTTTCACAATATTGATTCTTACCTCCATGAGCATGAGATGTGTTTTCATTTGTTTGTGTCATGTATAGTTTCTTTCAGCAGCGTTTTGTAGTTTCACTTGTAGAGATCTTCACCTCCTTGGTTAGGTATATTCCTAGGTATTTTATTTTATTTTTTGCAGCTGTTGTAAAAGGAATTGAGTTCTTGATTTGATTGTCACTTTGGTTATTGTTGGTGTATAGCAGAGCTATTTATTTGTCTATATTAATTTTGTAACCTAAGACTTTACTGAATTCCTTTATCAGATCTAGGAGTCTTTTGGATGAGTCGCTAGAGTTTTCCAAGTATATATGATCATATCACTGATAAACAGTACTTGTTTGACTTCCTCTTTTCCAATTTGGATGCCCTTTATTTCTTTCTCTTGCCCAATTGCTCTGGATAGGACTTCCAGTACTATGTTGAATAGAAGTGGTGAAAGTGGGCATCCTTGTCTTGTTCCAGTTTTCAGGGGGAATGCTTTCAACTTTTCCCCATTCATTACGATGTTGGCTGTGGGTTTATCATATATTGCTTTTACTATTTTGAAGTATATCCCTCCTATGCCTAGTTTGAGAGTTTTTTGTCATAAAGAGATGCTGGATTTTATTGCATGCTTTTTCTGCATGCAATTGAGATGATCATATGGTTTTTGTTTTAAATTCTGTTTACGGGATTTATCACATTTATTGACTTGCATATGTTAAACCATCCCTGCATCTCTGGGATGAAACTCACTTGATCATGTTGTATTATCTTTTTGATGTGCTGTGGGATTTGGTTAGCTAGTATTTTGTTGAGGATTTTTGCATCCATGTTTATCAGAGACACTGGTCTGTAGTTTTCTTTTTTTAATGTCATTTCCTGGCTTTGGTATTAGGGTGATACTGGCTTCATAGAATGATTTAGGAAGGATTCCCTCTTTCTCAATCTTTTGGAATAGTTTCAGTAGGATTGGTACCAATTCTTTGAATATCTAGTGGAATTCAACTGTGATCCATCTGGTCCTGGGCTTTTTTGTTGTTGGCAGTTTAAAATTACTGATTCAGTCTCACTGCTTGTTTTTGGTCTGTTCAGGGTTTCTGTTTCTTCCTGATTTAGAGGATTGTATGTTTCCACGAGTTTATCCATTTCCTCTAGATTTTTCAGTTTGTGTGTGTAAAGATGTTCATGTTAGTCTTGAGTGATCTTTTGTATTTCTATGATATTGGTTATAATATTTCCAGTTTCATTTTTCATTGAGCTTATTTGGATCTATTCTCTTCTTGGTTAGTCTAATGGTCGACCAATTTTGTTTATTTTTTCAAGGAACCAAGTTTTTGTTTTATTTTTTGCTTCAATTTCCTTTAGTTCTGCTCTGATCTTTGTTATTTCTTCTGCTGGCATTGGGTTTAGTTCGTACCTGTTTCTCTGGTTCATTGAGGTGAGACAGTAGATTGTCAGTTTGTGTTCTTTCAGACTTTTTGATGTATGTACTTAAAACTATGAACTTTCCTCTTAGCACTACTTTTGCTGTATCCCCAGAGGTTTTTATAACTGTGTCACTACTATCATTCATTTCAAATTTTTAAATTTTTATCTTGATTTATTGTTAACCCAGAAATTATTCAGGAGCAGATTATTTAATTTCCATGTATTTGTATAGTTTTGAGCATTTCTTTTGGAGTTGTTTCTAGTTTTGTTCCACTGTAGTCTGAGAAGATACTTGATATGATTTCAATTTTCTTAAATTTGTTGAGACTTGTTTTGTGGCCTGTCATACAGTCTATCTTGGAGAATGTTCCATGTGTTGAGGAGAAGAATGTATATTCTGCAGTTGTTTGGTAGAATGTTCTGTAAATATCTGTTAAGTCCATTTGTTCTAGGGTATACTTTAAGTCCATTGCTTCTTTGTTGAGTTTCTGTCTCAACAAAAAGAGTCTAGTGCTGTCAGTGGAGTATCGAGGTCCCCCATTTCACTTTGTTGCTATTTCATTTCCTAGGTCTAGTAGTAATTGTTTTATAAATCTGGGAGCTCCAGTATTAGGTGAATATGAATTCAGGATTATAATATCTTTTTGTTGGATTGTTCCTTTTATTATATAATGACCTTCTTTTTCTTTCTTTTTTTTTTTCTTTTTTCTTTTTTTTTTTTTTTTTTTTTTACTGTTGTTGCTTTAAAGGTCTATTTTGTCTGATATAAGAATAGCTACTTTGCGAGGCCAAGACGGGCGGATCGCGAGGTCAGGAGATCGAGACCATCCTGGCTAACACGGTGAAACCCTGTCTCTACTGAAAATACAAAAAATTAGCCGGGCGTGGTGGCGGGTGCCTGTAGTCCCAGCTACTTGTGAGGCTGAGGCAGGAGAATGGCGTGAACCCAGGAGGCGGAGTTTGCAGTGAGCCGAGGTTGCACCACTGCACTCCAGTCTGGGTGACAGAGGGAGACTCTGTCTCAAAAAAAAAAAAAAAAAAAAAAAAAGAATAGCTCATTCTGCTTGCTTTTGGTTCCCATTTGCATGGGATATCTCTTTCCCCCCCTTTACCTTGAGGTTATATGAATCCTTATGTGTTAGATGACTCTCTTGAAGACAGCAGATATTTGGTTTGTGATTTTTTAAAAATCCATTCTGCCATTCTGTATCTAAGTGGATCATTTAGGCCATTTACGTTCAACATTAATATTGAGATGTGAGATACTGATCTGTTTATCATTTTAGTTGTTACTTACTTTGTTTTTTTTTCATTGTGTTATTGTTTTATAGGCCTTGTGGGTTTTATCTTTCAAGAGGTTTTATTTTGGTGCATATTGAGCTTTTGTTTCAAGATGTAGAACTCTTCTGAAGAGTAATGCTGGTTTGGTAGTGGCAGATTCCCTCGGCATTTGTTTATCTGAAAATGGCTTTATCTCTCCTTCATTTAGGAAACTTAGTTTTGCTGGATGCAAAATTCTTGGGTGGCAGTTATTCTGTTTAAGGAGGCTAAAGATAGAACCCCAATCCCTTCTAGCTTGTAAGGTTTCTGCTGAGAAATCTGCTGTTAGTCTGATTGGTTTTCCTTTATAGGTTACCTGATGCTTTTGTCTCATAGCTCTTAGGATTCTTTCCTTCATGTTGACTTTAGATAGCCCGATGACTATGTGCCTTGGTGATAATCTTTTTGCAATGAATTTCCCAGGAGTTCTTTGAGCTTCTTGCATTTGGATATTGAAATCTCAGGCAAGGCCAGGGAAGTTTTCCTCAATGATTCTCTCAAATAAGTTTTCTAAACTTTTAGCCTTCTCTTCTCCCTCAGGACCACCAAGTATTTTTAGGTTTGGTTGTTTTACATAATCCCATATTTCTTGGAAGCTTTGTTCATTTCTTCTTTCTTTTTTTTTTTTTCTTTCTTGAGATAGGGTCTTACTCTGTTGCCCAGGCTGTAGTACAGTGTTGTGACCTTTGTCTCCTGGGCTCAGGCAATCCTCACACCTCTGCCTCCTGAGTATCTGGGACTACAGGCACATGCCACCACTCCCGGCTAATTTTTATGTTTTTTTTGTAGAGATGGAAATTTGCTATGTTGCTCAGGCTGGTCTCAAAGTCTGGGCTCAAGCAGTCCACCTGCCTTGCCCTCCCAAAGTGCTAGGATTATAGGCATGAGACACTGACCCCAGCCTATTTATTTCTTTTGATTCTTTTTTCTTTATTTTTGTCTGATTGGGTTAATTTGAAAGCCTTGTCTTGGAGCTCTGAAATTCATTCTTTGACTTGTTCTGGTCTATTGTTGAAACTTTCCATTGCATTTTGTATTTCCCTAAGTGTGTTTCATTTCCGGAAATTCTGATTGTTTTTTCTTTATGATATCTATGTAGAAAATTTTTCCTTCATATTCTGAATTGTTTTTTAAGTTTTTTTTTTATGTTGGTTTTCACCTTTCTATGGTGTCTCCTTGAGTAGCTTAATAATCAACCTACTGAATTATTTATCTGATTATTTCAAATATTTCGTTTTAGTTTGGATCCATTGCTGGGGAGCTAGTGTGATCTTTCGGGGGTATGATAGAACCCTGTTTTGTCTTATACCAAAATTACTTTTCTGGTTCTTTCTCGTTTGTGTAGAGTATTTCTTCTAATTGTTCTTGAATTTATTTTTGATTTGGCTGTGGTTTTTTTAAGTTTCTTTTTCCTCTTCACTAAGGATGTGACTTTAGTGTTTATAGTTTATTATAGCCTAATGTGATTCTTAATGCTTTTAGGGGGAAGACTGTATGAGTTCCTTGGCTATAGAGAGTCTTTGTATGATGGCTTCTTTAGATGCTGGTTGTATTTATTTATTTATTTATTTATTTTTGTTGAGATGGCGTCTCGCTCTGTCACTCAGGCTGGAGTGCAGTGGCACAATCTTGGCTCACTGCAACCTCCACTTCCCGGGTTCAAGTGATTCTCCTGCCTCAGCTTCCCGAGTAGCTGGGACTACAGGTGTGCACCACTACGCCTGGCTAATTTTTGTATTTTTAGTAGAGACGGGGTTTCAGGATGTTGGCCAGGCTGGTCACAAACTCCTGACCTCAGGTGATCCACCTGCCTTGGCCTCCCAAAGTGTTGGGATTACAGGCGTGAGCCACTGCCCCTGGCCTGTATTTAATAGATATGTACTTGATGTGTGGGCAAGTTCACTGTCTCCTATGGGGTTGAGATGGAAAGGTCTCTTGAAGCTCATCTCATTCCCCTGTGGTGTGTGCTTTTTTATTTATTTAATTTTTCCCCTGTATTTTATTTACTAAGTTGATGGTTAAGGCTTCAGGCCAGTAGGGGAGCTGTCCCTGGGTAGGAACCAGTTGTGGCTAAAGCAAATGGGTAAATGCAATACTCAGTAAGGCAGAGAGGTTCCACCCTTGATGAAAGTGGCTGGGGGAACTCTCAATTAGATGCACTGAGGTCTTATCAAGGGGAAGGGTGGGAGCCACCTCAGCTCCTTTGCCAGGCCAGTAGGAAAGCTATTCACCTCCCAGACTCGCTCCTGCCCTAGTGTTCCAGCTATTCGGATCAGACAGGCATCTCTTTTCATCTGTAGGACTGTTGTTGTTCCACACAGAGAGGAATTTGTGACTCTGCCTCTCTTGCAAGCCTGAACTTGGGCCAGGGCGGGGGTGGGGGTTGGGGGATTCCTCCTGTGGAGATGCAGTCACTCTGTAGTGTTCCAGGAAGGCTGTCTATAGGTTCACCTTTGCCAAGCTCCTGTGGAGAAGCCCCAACTGTGTCTGTGTAGTGGTGGACAAGGTGGGAGAGAAGATACCTTCTCCAGGACCCTTCATGAGCAGCAAAGCTGCCTGATTGTTGGGGTAGAGCTGCAGACTTTCCCTTCTGAGCCCAGCACTGCAATTGTGTCTCTGCTGAAAGGAACTTCCCATCAGTGGAAAGATCTGGAACTCAAGGCCTGCCATCTGAATTCTTTTGTCCCATGGGGTATTCCCTTGGTGTGGTGGTCTCCTCCTTCCCTTAGGAGTAAGAATTCCTGAGAGCCAGGATAAGTTGATTGCTATTCTTCTGGGTCTAGCCACCCAGTGGGGCTGCCCAACTCCAGGCTGGTGCTGGGGAATGTCTGCAAGGGATCCGGTAATGGGACCTGTCCTCAAGTCTCCCAGCAAGGGATATACCAACACTAGTGCTGATGGGAGTGTCAGGTGAGTGAGGTAGACTCTTTGAGGTTCCTTGGTTACAGAAAGCCTTAGTGTGCTGGCTTTCTCGAATGCTGGTTATAATAGTAGTGAACTGGTCACGTGGACAGATGCAGGACCTCCTGGTTAGCCAGGGTTTTGCAGGCAATGATGATAGCTTAGGTCATGCACTGGTTTTCTCCTTTCTGTTCACAGTGTTATTCTACCTAGAGATGCTGTAGTGGACTGTGTTGGTTGGCATCCAGCCTGGAGGTAGCGTTTACAAAAGGGCACCAGCTGCAGTAGTAGCAGTGGGATTCGAGCTTGTCCTGTGTTGCCCAGGAGGTATTCTGGTTTCTCAGGTGACAACGGGGTCCATAAAGCTGCCAAAAGTTTCTGTCCTTTGTATTAAGTAACCAGGGTGGGTGGAGGGGTACAGCCAGGTGGGGGCTGGGTCAGGTGGGTCTACACTCTGTCTCTCCATGTGTGGGGAAAGCCGTGGCTCCTATGAGGGTTGGGGGGGCGGTTCTCAGGTCATTAGGGTAATGTTCCAGAGAGGAATATAACTGCCTCTACTGCACAGAAGAGATCGCACAGTGTGTGGGGAGTAACAGGTGGCACTAAGCCTCACCCAGATCCCACACGGTCGGAAAGGCAGATCTCACTCCCTCTGTGCTCTGCTAGCTGCACTGGGCTAAGTTCCAGGCAGCCTAGGCTCAGAACTCAAACCTGCCCCAGGCCATAAGCTTTCCCTGTGGGAAAGCAGCTGTGGCTTTCAGGCCATGCTCCTCCCAGGCCACCTGCAGGGCCAGGCACCTGGCTCCTGCACTTGTGGCTGCAGTGCACTTCCCCCTGCCCCTGGGAGGTATGGGTTCTGGACAAAGGAGTTCATCCTCACTCAGTGTTATATCTTGAAATGGGGAGATTCTTTCAACCTGCGACCACTACCTGAGCTTGTTGGCTGACTTCCCCAAGGTCCCCTGTGAGGTACAATAAAGAATGGCTTACCTTGGTCTGCACTGGAGACTGGGAATGCCTGCAAAGCACTTCCCGCCACTGTTTCTACTTTTATATTTCTTACTGCTCCCTAAATCAGTCCCAGCCCTGGGTAAGGTTAAGGCCTTCCCCCATGGCCTGGATTTTCAGGTTCCCCAGTGGGAACCTGAAAGCAGCTTCTCTCTATCTCACACTCTGGAGACTTACAGTTTTTCCCTTGTCTTATGGTTTAGGCTGCAGACTGCCACTTCTTTAAAAGGTCTGTGGATTCTTTCAGTTTTCCTGTTAAGTTCCTGCGTGGCTTCTTGGAAAAAGAGTCACCATGTGATTCTCAATACACTATTCTGTTCTTCTAAGTGGGAGAGGCATGCTAACACTGCTTCTTATCTGCCATCTTGGTGGGGGTGGAAAAACCAAAACCTCTCAAAGTATTTTCTAACTTCTCTTGTAGATTCTTCTTTTGCCTATTGCTTATTTAGAAGTGTTTTGATTAATTTTTACGTGTTTGTGAATTTTTCAGTTTTCCTATTGTTATTGAATTATAGTTTTATTCCATTGTGATCAGAAAAGATGTTTTTTATGATTCCAATCATTTTAAATTTAAGATTTGTTTTGTGGATTAATGTATGGTCTCTCCTGGAGAATGTTGCATATGCACTTGACAAGAATATATACTCTGTTGTTGGGTGGAGTGTTCTCTATAGGTCTTTTATATGTATTAGTTCATAGTGTTGTTCAAGTGTACTGTTAACTTACCGATCTTCTGTCTAGTTGTTCTGTCTGTTATTAGAAGTGAGGTGTTAAGTCTGCAACTATTATTGTGCACCTATTTCTCCCCACAATTCTGTTAACTTTTGCTTTGTGTATTTTAGGGCTCTTGTTGCTTCATAGATTTTGGGGCTCTGTTAGGTGTGTATATTTTTTTAACTGGTATATTTTCTAGATGTGAACCTTTTATCAATATGTCTCTCTAGTAAGTTTTTGATTTAAAGTCTCTTTAGTCTGATAGTAATATAGCCACCTAGGGTCTATTTTGGTTACCCTTTGCATGGAATATTTTTTTCCATCCTTTAGTTTACCTCTTCATGTCTTTGTATCTAAAGTGAAGCTCCTGTAAATAGCATACAGATAGATTCTGTCTGTATGCAATCTGTCAATCCCTGTCTTTTAATAGAAGAGTTTAATCCATTTATACTTAGCATGATTGCTGAAAAAGAAGGATTTACTTCTGCCATTTAGTTATTTCTGTATGTGTTTTGGTTTTTTATGCCTCAGTTCCTCCATTATGGCCTTGGGGTGGTGATATTTAGTTGAGTTGTTTGCCTTTTTGATTCACTTCTTTCATTTTAATCATATTTTAAAGTTTGTTTTCTTAGTGGTTACCTTGGGGATTATAATTAATATCTTGAACTAGTTGGAAGAATACCAGGTTAGCTTTAGTAGTACATAGACATACTGCTTCTGTAACTCTCCATCCTTCCTTTTTTATGTTGTTATTGTCATAGATTATATCTTTATACATGTTATACTCATTAACAACAGATTTATTGTTTCATGCATTTGCATTTTATTTTTATTTATTTATTTATTTATTTTTTGAGACGGAGTTTCGCTCTGTCGCCCAGGCTGGAGTGCAGTGGCGTGATCTCGACTCACTGCAAGCTCCGCCTCCCAGGTTCACGCCATTCTCCTGCCTCAGCCTCCCGTGTAGCTGGGACTACAGGCGCGCACCACCATGCCTGGCTAATTTTTGTATTTTTAGTAGAGACGGGGTTTCACCGTGTTAGCCAGGATGGTCTCGATCTCCTGACCTCGTGATCTGCCCGTCTCGGCCTCCCAAAGTGCTGGGATTACAGGCGTGAGCCACCGCGCCCGGCCTTTTTATTTATTTTTGTAAATTTTATTTTTTGTGCAGACTCCTCTGCTGGGGCCGCAACTGCTGAGAGGAGCAGCACATTTGCCTTTTAAATCACATAGGAAAAAGACATTACAAACCAAAGTACAACACTACTTTTATATTTACCTAGGAAGTTACATTTATTAGTGTTCTTTATTTTTTCTCATGACCTCATGTTACTGTCTAATATCCTTTTGTTTCAGACTAAAGGACTCCCTGTAGAATTTCTTGTATGGCGTGTCTATTGCAAATGAATGCTCTCAGCTTTTGTTGACTTGGAAATGTCTTAATTTTCCCTTCTTTCTTGAAGGATAGTTTTGCTGGATATAAAGTTATTGGTTGACCAGTTATTTTGTTTCAATACTTCTTTTTTTCTTTTTGAGACAGAGTTTTGCTCTGTTGCCCAGGATGGAGTGCAGTGGTGCGATCTTGGCGCACAGCAACTCTGCCTGCCAGGCTCAAATGATTCTCCCTCCTCAGCCTCCTGAGTAGCTGGGGCCATAGGCATGCACCACCATGCCTAGCTAATTTTTGTATATTTTGTAAAGGCAGGGTTTCACCATGTTGCCCAGGTGGGTCTCAAACTCGTAGACTCAAGCAGTTCACCTGCCTTGGTCTCCCAAAGAGCTGCAATTACAGGCATGAGCCATTGTGCCCAGCCTTCTTTCAATATTTTGTTTTTATTTTTATTTTAGACACAGGGTCTTGCTGTGTCACGCAGAATAGAGTGCAGTGGCATGATCATGGCTCATTGCAGCATTGACCTTATAGGATCAAGCAGTCTTCCTACCTTGGCCTTCTGAGTAGCTAGTAGAACACCACTATGCCCGACCAACCAAAAAAACTTTCTGTAGAGATCAGGGCTCACTATATCGTCCAGGCTGGTCTCAAACTCTTGGCCTCAAGTGGTCCTCCTGCCTCATTCTCCCAAAGTGCTGGGATTACAGGTGTGAGCCAGCGCACCTGACTTTTCAGTACTTTAAATATGTCCCACTGCCTTCCGGCCTCCATGGTTAATCTTGCTGAGGATCAGTTGCATGGGATCAGTTGCTTCTATCTTGCTGCTTTCAAGTTTCTCTTATTGTGTTTTGACAGTTTGACTATAATATGTCTCCGTGTAGATCTCTTTGAGTTCATACTGCTTGGAGTTTGTTGAGCTTCTTGGGTATGTATACTTATGTCTTTCATCAAATGTGGGAAGTTTTCAGTCATTATTTCTTCAAATCTTTGACCCTTTCTTTCTGTTCTTCTGAGATTCCTATAATGTGTATATTGGTATGTTTGGTTTCCCACAGGTCCCTCAGGCTCTATTAATTTCTCCTTTTCTTTTTTCTGGTTCCTTATACTAGATTATTTTGTTTTGTATTCCAGTTTCCTGATCCTTTTTTCTGCTTGCTTAAGTCTGCTGTTGAACCCCTGAAATGAATTTTTCATTTCAGTTATTGTCAACTCCAGGCTTTCTGCTTGGTTCCTTTTCATAATTTCTGTCTCTTTGTGGTGTTCTCATTTTGTTCAGACATTGATTTCCTGATTTCCTGTAGTTTTTTCCCCCCACAGCTTTCTTTAGCTCATTGAACATATTTAAGACAGTTCATGTGCCATCTTTGACTATTAAGTCCAATATCTGGGTTTCTTCAGAGATGATTTTTGTTAAATTATTTTTTTCTTGTGAATGGGCCATACTTGCTTATTTCTTTGTATGATTTGTGATTTTTGTTGAGGATGAGAAATTCTGAATATTATGTTTGGAAGTTTGGAAGTCTAGTTCTCCTACTTTTCAGGAATAGCCGATTTTTGCTTGTCAACTGCTGGGTCCATCTGTTTGAACTTTTGCAAGCTGTTTTTGCAAAGAGTATGTTCCTTTTTTAATATGGACATTGAAATTTTAGTTCTCTTATCACTGTGTTTAACCAGCAATCTGACAGTAATTTCCTTAAATGTCTGTCTCCCAGAAGTGTGGAGGGGTGTGGAACAAACTACCTTTTTAAATCCCTTGTGGCTGGGAAGCTGCTTGAGCCAATCAGGGTTGAAACAATGCCAGCCTCTATGCTTAGCCCCTCAGCCATCAAAAGCAGTGGTCAGTAATCAGAACATACAACCTTGATTTTTCAAGGTTGAAAAACCAAGATGCAAAGGTTCTAATTTCCCAATCTGGCACCAACTAGCTACACTAGGAACATCCTCGTGGCTACCTGCCATGGGTTGTTGGCTGGGGGATTATAGCAGCCATGTTATTAATAAATGTGAAGTTTACTGAAATTTACTTGCTGTTTTATCAAATTCTCCTCTGGGCCCTGAAGTGTTTGAGTAGACTCCAGAGTTCAAAAATAGTTGCTTTAGACAGCTGAATAGTTGTTTTGATCTCAGATATTCTTGGAGCTTCCTGTTCTCTCTTCTGTGATGTCACTCAGTTTTTTTATGGTAAGCATATAGTTTTAGTGTACCATTTTAATTTCTAGTGTTTTTTAGCTGTATTTTTTGAGTTATTTTTAGTAGTTGCTCTAAGGGTTACTATATATCTCTTAATTTATCACAGTCTGCTTCAAATTAATACTGACTTAATTCTGGTAAGACAGGAACTTTGCTCCAATGTAGCTCCATTTTCTCCCCCTTCATTTGTGCTTTTATTGTTATGTAATACTCAAAACAGTGTTAATTATTGCTTTATACAGTCTTGTTTTTCAAAGTATTAAGAAAAGAGAACTATACTTATGCAGTGTTTATAATCACATATTTATCATTTTCAGCACTCTTAATTGGTTCTTGTGGATTTGAATTATAGTCTGGTGTTATTTTCTTTCATCCAGTAGGACATTTTGAGCTGGTATGGGCAATGGTGGCAGCCTTGGTTAAGAATGCCACAGGCTTTCACTGTTCTTATCTCAAGTTTAGTAGTTTTTCATGAATAAACACTTCTCAATTTGTTACATTTGGCTCATTTTTAGAACCCCAAAATACTCGTTTTTGACAATGCTGTCCAGTTGTTTTTGGGGAGAGAATTTTCTGAACTCTTCACTCTGCCACAGCTGGAAGTCTCCCCTACTACCTTGATATCTTTGCAGAAAGCATAGATTACATTTTGCACTGTCCTTAGCTGTGTATAGATTGGGCTTAGAGCCAAGGCAGGCTGAAAAGTGAACCTACTTTTCCTAAGCTGATGGGACTTAGGAGAAGGAAAGAATTTGGAAGTAGGGCAAAGAATAATTGGGCCTTTTATCATCTTGCCTGGGTCTTTTGAGCCCCCACATCCTATCTTTCCTGAGGCTTAGTCCTTCACAACACAGTGTCCTTATGGAGGCTTTCTGGCTCCTTCTACCGCCTTCTCTCCTGCATTCCTTGTCTGGGGATGGGCAGAGTAGACACTGGGTACTCAGTGTCAAGAAGCACCTGCTTGTACCCTTGCGTGCCTTCTGTGGAGGGTGTGGAGGGACTCAAAATAGAGGTCAGGGTGCCAAGATAAGTGTTGGCTCTGCAAACTCTGCATGAGGTTTTCAGTCTTCTTTCAGGCAGCTTTGCACAGATGGGGGGCTTTGCATTTGGAGCTGTGGTGAGGATGGTGGGATACACTCTGTACCTCATGCCCTTAGTGAAGGTTTTAGGGAACTGCTGCCCAGGAGGGGAGGGGAGAGAAAATACTTGCCTCAGAAAGTAATATGCTGACCATCCTACCAGTTACGGGGAGAAAATGCACATATAATTCTTAAAGAACTTCACTGATTAGGTCTGTTGCCTCCTGTATAGAATTTCTGTGGGAAAAAAGCCAAATGTTATCTTATTGTTGTCTTTATCTTTCCACAGATAATGCCTCAAACATCTCTGTAACCAGATGCTTTTGCTTTTCTGTTTTGGCAGAGGAATGTTACGGCATCCGGAGTCATCCCTCAGATTTCTCTGATCATGGGCCCATGTGCTGGTGGGGCCGTCTACTCCCCAGCCCTAACAGACTTCACGTTCATGGTAAAGGTAAGAAAGAAGGGCCTGTTTTTGGTGCCGTTTGAGATTTGTGCAGTTCCTTACCTGCAATAAAAATAATTCCTGACCCAGATCTAGGTTGTTACCTGCATTCTCATTGGCTTTCAGCATAGTGATGATAAGGTGTTAATGGAGAGAGGGTTTTGGCATGAAATCTGTAGCTTGTGGGGGTTCAGTGGCAGGGGATGCTTATGTACTTCATTGGTGGGTGATTTTACTTGTTGATCTGAATTGCAAATGATTTTCAGGTAATCAAAGAATCCTGTCCTTTGACCAGATAGATGACTGTTTACTGAGTCCTATTCAAGAAGTTTCTCATGGAAGGCTTTTCTGTAATCTGTTTATTGGGAAGTTGTTTCTTCCTTTATTTCTTCAGCTCCTTGCCATTTTATTACATTGTGTCCATAATGGTAAAGGATAAATCTGATCTCACACTTCATTTTCAGAGGTACATATCTTTATTACATGACTTTAATGGACTTATATTTTAAAAATATTTTTAAATGAAGTCTATTTGAAGTTATACATGAGTAATTACCATTCATCTCAAACCTTGCTTTAAAAAAATCAGCCTTTTCTTCTTAAAATATTAATAAAAATGAACATTGGATGCCAAGACAGAATGGTTGGGGGGAAAAAGTAGTGATAGCCATCCAACTTGAGGAGAGGAGTTCTAGAGGGAGTGTAAATGGGAAACCCTTTGTTCTCAAGGGAAGTTAGGCAGTAGGAATTCAAAAGTTTCACAAAGTGCTTACCACTTTGACCCAACTATTCTGTTCTTAGTGATATACCGAAAGTAGTGTAAGTGTTCAACAATAAGAGTGTCTTTTATTAATCAAATTTAAGATGGGCCATACACAGTGTCTCACGCCTGTAATCCCAGCACTTGGGAGGCTGATTCAGGTGGATCACTTGAGCTCAGGAGTTTTAGACCAGCCTAGGCAACGTAGCGAAACCCCATCTCTACAAAAAAATACAAAAATTAGCTGGGCGTGGTGGTGCATACCTGTGGTCCCAGCTACTTGGGAGGCTGAGGTGGGAGGATCACTCGAGCCCAGAAGGTCAAGGCAGCAGTGAGCCAAGATCGTGCCACTGCACTCTAGCTCTGGGTGACAGAGGAAGACCCTGCCTCAAAAAAAAAAAAAAAAAAAAGGTAAGATGACCACTTCTCTTACTTGGTGGACAATGCAGAATTTTCTGAACTTTGCTTACTAAGTCTATATATACACACCTAGCTGGTGCTACCCCCATTCTCTCCTCCTTCCTGCCTGTTACGAAGGGAGGTGTGGGATCAATTCCTCTGGCTAGAGCCATCCTTTCCTCCTGCTACACACATCCACATTGCTGAATATAACTCTCCACCCTTCTTCAGGACCCTTATACTGTTCCTTTTCTCCTTTCTCTTTAGTATCTTCAGTCTGTCCGTTGGTACTAGATCCTCCCATCAAAACTTAATCACACTCAGGTCTTTCCTATCATCAAAACAAAAACTGTCCTCTAGTTGGCATACTCCTGTAGCTCTTGCTGTGTTTCTCTCTTGCCATCCCATTCTTTAACACGTGTTAATTTAGCTTTGTCCCCTAGACCACTAAATCGTTTTTTTTTTTTAAGGTCCTCAGTGACTTGCATCACTGTAAATGCAGTTTAACTCTCATTTTCCTGTCTTTCAACAGTATTCCCTTGGCTTCCATTATACCATACTCTGGCATTTCTTCTCACAACTCTGACCATACCTTCCTGGTTTCCATTGGCAATTTACATGATTCCATTCAGACTCTAGATGCTGGAGTTCATTTCAACTGCTTTCTCTTTTAATTCTGTGTTTTATTCTAAGCAATCTCATTTTCTGCTTACAAAACTTTAGTTAATAATTGCATATTAGTGAGACTTCCTCTCTTGTCCTCAGCACCATTCTTAAGCTGTCACCATTCTACATCTTAAATATTCTGTGTATTTAATAAGAGTGCAGTGGAAAATACTAAGTCTTTTTTAAAGGACTACACAAGGTAATTATAAAGTTCTTATGGGAGGAAGAAACACCATGCAAGAATAAACATTCTATGAAAGTAGTGTAATGAGGAGTTAGCCCTACCAGGTGCCAGGATATAAAACTACAATAACTAAAACTGTCTGAAGAACTTGTAGGTAAATGGACAGAAAGACCAAGGGACATTACAGAATTGATACATAGATCTATATCTATTTGGACATTATGATGAAAAGGATATTATTCTAAGCAGAGTCACTGATAATAACAATTTCTTATGTCAGAGATACCAGTGATTGCTGCATCACTAAATCCAGTTGACATTTCTCACCCTTTGTCTTACCTGTTGACAACATTTGCTCTAGCTGATCACTCCAGTCTCATGACTTTAAATACTGATCCGTATGCTGACAACTCTGAAATCTGTTCCTCCAGGATTATATTTTTAAGAGCCTACCAGAATTTCCATTTGGACTTTAATGGGTATCTCAAACTTAACAGGTTTTGATTTCTACCAAGCTTCTCCTGCATTGCTCTCCTGCAGCCTTCGCCATTTTAAATGGCAGGTCTAGTCTTCCAGTGGCTCAGGTAAAAGCTTTGACACTGCCTTGACTCGTCTTTTGCTATCACATCCCAAATTTAGTCAGAAGGTCCTGTTGGCTTTACTTTAGAATATAATCCACAATATAATCAAATTGCTTCTTAGCACGACTACTTACTTCTTACTAACAAAACTGCTACCACTTTGATTCAAGCACATCATTTCCCACCTGATTATTACAGAATCCTCCTGACTGGTCTCCCTGCTTCTGAACCTGGGAGCTGAAGGTTGCAGTGAGCGCTTTGGGAGGCTGAGGCGGGTGGATCACTTGAGGCTAGTAGTTTGAGACCAGCATGGCCAACATGATGAAACCCTGTCTCTACTAAAAATACAAAAATTAGCCAAGCGTGGTGGTACGTGCTTGTAATACCAGCTACTCGGGAGGCTGAGGCAGGAGAATCGCTTCAACCTGAGAGGCGGAGGTTGCAGTGAACCAAGATCGCGCCACTGCACTCCAGCCTGGGTGGCAGAGCAAGACTCTGTCTCGGAAAAAAAAAAAAAAATAATAAAAATAACCCAGGTCAGGAAATAGCTCTTCAAGAGCCCTGTCATCATGATCCTTTCTAAGGATCATTGTAGCCTCCATCCTGCTTAGAATTTGTTATTAATAATAATTCTTTATTGTCTCAGCTTTTATGGTAGTGTTTTTATTTGCTTTGCTTCATAGTTGAAAATAAAAATTGCCTCCCTAAACAATGTGGATTAGCGTTTCCTGTTTTGACCTTTACGTTAAGTGAAACCATATAATATGCTTTCTTGTGTGCATGGCTTCTGGCTCATTATGTTGTTAAGATTTATCTATGTTGTTCTTTGAAAATGTAGTTCATTCACTTTAATAGCTGTGTAGTAAGTGTGTGTGTGTGTTTTTTCTTTTGTGTGTGTTTGGTGTTTTTTGTTTTTTTTTTGAGACAGAGTTTTGCTCTGTCACCCAGGCTGGAGTGCAGTGACATGGATCTCACCTCACTGGAACCTTTGCCTCCTCGGTTTAAGTGATTCTCACACCTCAGCCTCCCATGTAGCTGGGACTACAGGCGTGTGCCACCACACACCCGGCTAATTTTTTGTATTTTTGGTAGAGATGGATTTTGCTGTGTTGGCCAGGGTGGTCTCCAAACTCTTGGCCTCAAGTAATCTGCCGGCCTCAGCCTCCTAAAGTGCTGGGAGTATAGGCATGAGCCACTGCGCCCAGTTATAGTAAATATTTCTTAACATATTCATTCATTCCACTGCAGATGGACATTTGAATTATTTCAAGATTTTTGCCATTGCAAATGATGCTGATGTAAACATTTTTCTATATGTGTCTTGGTGCGCACATTTTATTTTCTGGTGCTGATGTAAACATTTCACATTAGAGGCAATCTTAGGTCATAGGATATATATGTCTTCAGCTTCTCTAGGTAATGCCCGTCTGTTTACTAAACAGGTTGCAGCCAGCAATTTGAGAATTTCACTTGTTTCACATCCTTGCCAGCACTTACATTAACATAGTTTAATTGTGCCAGTTTGATGCTTGTGGTATAGTCTCTTATTGTGTTGTCAATTTGCATTGACTCAATTTGCATTAGTCCATGACTGATAAAGCTGAGTGCCTTTTTGTATGATTCCTGTTCTTCTAAATTAAGGTATGTTTATGACTCAGAATGTAGTCTATCTTGGTGAATGTTCCATGGGAGCTTGAGAAGAAAGCGTATTTTGTTGTTAGATGAAGTATGTCCATCATATCCTGTTTATTGATACTGTTTTTCTTTTAATTTTAAAAATGATTTCTATTTATTTTACTTCTTAAAATGTTTTTTATTATTTTTTTTTATTTTTTGAGACGGAGTCTCCCCCTCTCACCCAGGCTGGAGTGCAGTGGTGTGATCTCAGCTCACTGCAACCTTCGGCTCCCAGGTTCAAGTGATCCTCCTGCCTCAGCCTCCTGTGTAGCTGGGACTACAGGCACACACTGCCATGCCTGCCTAATTTTTTTTTTTTATTTTGGTAGAGAACTGGTCTCACTGTGTTGCTTAGACTGGTCTTGAACTCCTGGGCTCAAGCAATCGTCCTCCCTCCCAAAGTGCTGGGATTACGGGTATAAGCCACAGCACCTGGTCTATAAAAATGTTTAGAGACAGGGTCTCACTCTGTTGCCCAGGCTGGAGTGCAGTGGTATGATCATAGCTTACCACAGCCTCGACCTGCTGGGCTCAAGTGATCCTCCTGTGTAGCTGGGATTACAGGCACATGCCAACACACCTGGCTAATTTTTTATTTATTTTATTTATTTTTTTGAGACAAGGTCTTGCTGTGTCGCCCATGCTGAAGAGCAGTGGTGCGATCTCGGCTCACTGCATCCTTGACCTCCTGGGGTCAAGCAATCCTCTCACCTTAGCCTCCTGAGTAGCTGGGACTATAGGTGTGTGCCACCATGCCTGGCCAATTTTTTTATTTTTGTAGAGACAGGGTTTCACCATGTTGGCCAGGCTAATTTTTATTTATTTTAATTTTTGTAGAGATGGGGTCTTGCCATATTGTCATAGGCTGGTCTTAACCCCTGGCCTCAAGTAATCCTCTCACCTAGGGCCCTTGAGTTGCTGGGATTATAGGCATGAGACACTGTGCCCAGCTGATTGGTGTTACTGAGTTCATCTATGTCTTTACTGTTTCTGCCTGCTGGATCTGTCCACTTTTGATAGAGGAGTGTTAAGATCTTCAACTGTAATCATGGATTCATCTATTTCTCCTTCCAGTGCTATCAGTATTTGCCTCATGTTATTTTGATGCTCTGTTGTTAGGTGCATACACATGAAGGACTGTTTGTCTCCTTGGAGAATTGACCCCTTTATCATTATGCAGAATTCCTCTGTATAATAACTTTCCTTGGTCTGAAGCCTTTTCTTTCTGAAATTAATATAGCTACTCCTGATTTCTTTTGATTAGTCTTAGCATGTAATTAATATCTTTCTGCATTCATTTACTTTTAATCTTTATGTCTATTTCAAGTGGGTTTTTTGTAGACATCCCTTATAGTTGTGTCTTGTTTCTTGATCTAGTCTGACAATCCGTCTTTTAATTGATACATTTAGACCATTGACATTCAGAGAGATTGTTGGTATAGTTGGATTAGTATCTACCATATTTGTTACTGTTTTCTTTTTGTTGTATTTGTTCTTATTTTTGTCTTCCACTTTTCTGCCTTTTGTGATTTTAATTGAGCATTCTATATGATTCCATTTTTCTCCTTTATTAACATGTTATACTTTTTTTTTACCTTCTTCAGTGGTTGCCTTAGAGGTTGCAATATAATTTACAGCTATTTTAAGTTAATTTCAGATAACACTTTTCTGCTTCCCAGGTTGTATGAGTACCTTATAATAGCAAAATCATTCTAATTCCTTCCTCCTATCCCTCATATGATATATATAAAATATGTGTACATAATTGCACTTGGTCTTAGCCAAAAGGCTGAGAAGCGATGTGCACATAATTCAATTGTACATAATTGAATGTGTACATAATTGAATTTTTGCTACTATTAATTTGAATCAAAAGTTTTCATTTTACCTTCATTTATTCCTTCTTGAATGCTCTTTCTTTCTTTATGTAGATATAAGTTTCTGATCTTTATCATTTACCTTTTCTGTAAAGAATTTTGCTTAACATTTTTTGCAAGGCAGGTCTACTGGCAGGAGATTACCTCAAGTTTTGTTTGTTTGAGAAGGTCTGTATTTTTCCTTCACTTTTGAAGAATAATTTTGCAGAGCACAGAATTCTAGGTTGGTAGGATCTTTCCCCTCAACACTTTAAATATTTCATTCCACTCTCTTCGTTCTTGCATGGTTTCTAAGAAAAATTTGGATATAATTATTATTTTTGGTCCTCTATAGGCAAAATGTTTTTTTCTTGTGGCTGCCTTTAGGATATTTTCTTTATAATTGATTTTCTGTAGTTTGGAAATAATGTCCTAAGTGTAGTTTTTTGTTTTTGTTTGTTTGTTTGTCTTTTGTTTTTTTAGAGATGGGGGTCTCCCTGTGTTTCCCAGGCTGGTTCAAACTCCTGGGCTCACATGGTCTTCCTGCCTCAGCCTCATGAGTGGCTGGGACAACAGGTGTGCACCACTACACCTAGCTTTCTCTGTGTAGTTTTTTTTTTTTTTTTTGTCATTCATCTTGCTTGATGGTCTCTGAGTTTATTGGATCTGTGGTTTGGTGTCTGACAATTTGGGGAACTTTTCTGTCATTATTGCTTCCTATATTCTGTTCTTTTTTCTCTTTCTGCTCCTTCTGGAATTCTCATTATGTATATGTTACATCGTTTGTAATTTGTGCCACAGTTTTTAGATACTCCAGTTTTGTTTTGTTTTTTTTGATCCATTTTTTTCTCTTCGCTTTTCAATTTGAGTGGTTTCTCTTGAGATATCCTCAAGCTCAGAGATTCTTTCCTCAAGCATGCCCAGTCTACCAAAAAACATCAAATGCATTCTTTATTTCTGTTGCAGTGTTTCCAATCCCTGGTATATTTTAGTTATTTTTTTAGAATTTCCATTTCTCTGCTTACATTGCTCATCTGCTTGCTGTCTACTCTATCCATGAGAGCCCTTAAACCATTTTGTTTGTTTTTGTTTTTTGAGATGGAGTCTTGCTGTCTTGGCCAGGCTAGTGTTGAACGCCTGGGCTCAAGTGATCCTCCCACCTCAGCCTCCTGAGTACCCAAGACTACAGACACATGCCATTACACCTGGCAAACATCTTAATTGTAGTTGTTTCAAATTTCTGGTCTGATAATTCCAACATTTCTGCTACATCTGATTCCAGTTCTGATGCTTATTCTCTCTTCAAACTTTGTTTTTTGTCTTTTAGTGTGTCTTATGACTTATTCCTGATAGCTGGACATGATACACTAGGTAAAAGGAACTATTGTAAATAGGCCCTTAGTAATGATAAGGAGCTGGGGAAGAGGAAGTGTTCTGTAGTCTTATGAGTAGGTGTCAGTCTTTTAGTGAGCCTGTGCCTCTGAACTATGAATGTCATGTGTCTCAGTCTCTCGTACTTTTTTGGTGGGACGGTGGCTAGAGCGGGTTGGGGCTGGCCATTTCCCCTCTTCCACATGGAAAGCAAGAGCTGGCTTGAGTTTGGTATTTTTCTTCCCTCGCGTCAGCAGTTTCTGATAAAACTTCAGCAGGTTAGGCTCTTATCATATAGTTTTGCCTGAGAGAAGACCCTGTTAAGAATGATGCTCTCGTGCGTTTCAGAAGGGTCTTTTTTTCCCCCATGCATGTCAGAAGCATGAGGGAGTTTTCTCTGATTATCACTGTGAGAACCTTGTTGAGTTCCTAGAGGTAAAACTCACAAAAGTGTGGGAGCCCCCAATGATTGGCCGGCCCTGGAGTCTTGATCTCTCCGACTTGTCCATGCTGGGCCTCCAGCAATTTGTCAGCTATAGTTCCGGTTTTCCTACATCAGCCCTGGCTCTGGAGGAGATTTGTGCTTGTGGGTTTCTGCCCTGCAAGGCTCAATTTTCTGCATTTGCCAGTTGGTCTCCAGTTTTGGGGTGCTTTGTTCTGCAAAGACCTCACCTCTTTGATGGACCTAAGAAAAACTGTTGGTTTTTCCCCTGCAACTTTTTCAGCTTTTTATTTGTTAAGAAGGAGTATCAACTTTTAGCTTCTTATGTGCTGGACTAGAAACCTGAAATTTTGTGTCTCTAGTTTTTTTTTTTTTTAACAGTTTCAAATAAGGCTGCTATAAACATTTGTTTAGAAGTCTGTGTGAAGTGGGGAAGACCTTTGTAGCTAGACCTTTCTAGCAAGATTTCAAACCAAGAAGCCATAAGATAAAAGACTGATATAATGCATATGATAGACTAAGGACTAATTTCCTTAGTACATAAAAAAGCCAATGATGTATTAGAAATGGGCAAAGAACATGAATAGTGAGTTCAGAGAGCACTGTAGTAATATTTATTGCAGAATTGCTTATTATACTAAAGTTTTGGAAACAACCTTCATGACCATCAATTGGTGAAAGTTATGATACAAATCCTACTATACTGATATGGAATAGAATGATCTTCAAGCTAGAAAAACAAATTTGAGAACAGTGTGTATTGAACTCTATGTGTATTGAACACAGTGTGTATTGAACACTATGTGTATTGAAAGAATGTGTTGGGAAGAAAATGTTTGCATTAGAAAGTGTTTGTGTTAGATAATGTTTGTGTTAGAAGATAAGAGGGCAAAGAGGGCAAATATATATATAAATGCACATGGATGCATGGGTGTCTCTGTAGAGAGAAGAAACTGACAGGGTATGCCTTAGGGGAGGCGAATTGGAGGCCTGGAAGTAAGGGCTGGGCTGTAGACTTTCCACTGTATCTCCTGTTCCTCTGTTTAAATTTTATGCAGTATACTTATATTATCTATATATTAGAAACTAAAAATTAAAAGCCTATCACTCTTTAATAGCAAAGCATTGATTTATTAGTTTTTTTGTTTTTGTTTTTGAGACAGGTTTTTACTCTGTCACCCAGGCTGGAGTGCAGTGGTGCAAGCAATCATAGCTCACTGCAACTCAAGTGATTGTCCCGCCTCACTCTCCTGAATAGCTAGGACTACAGGCACATGCCACCAGGCCTACCTAATTGAAACAAATTTTTATGGAGACTGGGTCTCGCTATGTTGGCCAGGCTGGTCTTGAACTCCTGGCCTGAAGTGATCCTCCTGCCTTGGCTTTCCAAAGTGTTGGGATTACAGATGTGAGCCACTGTAACCCACTGATTTATCAATATTTTTAAGTAGCTTCATTTAAAGTGACTGGTTGCATACAGTCTCCATATCTCAGTTTCCTCATATGTAAATGAGGGTGATAATAGTACTTAGGCTTTAGTGACACAGTTTTGTGAAGTGCTTAAAAAACTTCTTGGTGCACAGCAAGCTCTGAGTAAGAGCCACCTGTTACTGTGTTCTACAGATGAATGACCTTGAGATGTTAGCCACATTGCAAGTTAACTTCTGAGGTAGAACTGTGCAACAGAAATTTTTTAAAAAAGACAATAAGGCAGGGAAAACTTGGGTCTTTAGTTTGGAGTCGTATCTTTAAGCTACATCCTATCCTCATTCAGCCACGTCACTATCTTCTCTGCATTTGTCATCTTGGCTGAATCAACTCTAAGGCTGTGACCAGCTCTGGTGCTCTGAGGTTGACTGTTCTGGAAATCTTTTATTTCAGGACACCTCCTACCTGTTCATCACTGGCCCTGATGTTGTGAAGTCTGTCACCAATGAGGATGTTACCCAGGAGGAGCTCGGTGGTGCCAAGACCCACACCACCATGTCAGGTGAGAGGCCTTGAAGATGACCTTGTTGTTTTCAAACATTGAGAAGAGGGCATTGCCAAAGAGCCTGGTGGCAGTTTTTAAGAAATATTACTTAATTGGCAGACCTTATTTGGGAAGACTGTGGTACAGTCTATTGTACTACACTACAGTGTATTGTTTACAGATATAGTGATAAAGGTAGATTTAGTATATAAAATTTATTAAATAACACGCTATTAGTAATGCTTGGTTATTCTTTAAAACAATTTAGAGCTAGTTGCTGGAATGGTGATTATAAGTAGGTATGATTTATGTATGTACAGTTGAACCTTTGAAAAAAAATTTTATCTTATTGTGACATTTTTTATTCTAAGGTTGGTATATATCTTAGAGTACATAAGTGTTTTCCAATCATTGGCCAGGTGCATGATGGTCATATATCATGTGTTGATGAATTTGGTCATAGTTGTTAACTTCTTTTTTTTTGAGACAGGATCCAGCTCTGTGGCCCAGGCTGGAGTGCAGTGACACAATCTTAGCTTATTGCAACCTCCGCCTCCCAGGCTCAAGCAATCCTCCCACCACAGACTCTTGGGTAGCTAGGACTACAGGCATGCACCACCACACCCAGCAAATTTTTTTTTTTTTGTAGAGATGGGGTTTTACCATGTTGCCAGGCTGGTGTCAGACTCTTGGCCTCAAGCAATCTGCCCACCTTGGCTTCCCAAAGTGCTGGGATTACAGGCATGAGCCACCATACCTGGCTTTTGTTTTGTTTTGTTTTTGAGATAGGGTCTCATGCTATTGCCCAGGCTGGAGTGCAGGACACAGTGATAGCTCACTGTAGCCTCAGTCTTCCGGGCTCAAGTAATTCTTCTGCCTCAGCCTCTCTAGTAGCTGGGATTACAGGTATGTCACATCATACCCAGGTAATTTTTATTTTTAATATTTTTTTGTAGAGATGTGGTCTCACTGTGTTGTCCAGGTTGGTCTCGAACTCCTGGGCTTGAGCAATCCTCCCACTTCGACCTCCCAAAGTGCTGGGATTACAGGCGTGAGCCACCATGTCCGGCTAGTTGTTCACAACTTTAAGATTACGTACCAAGTTTAAAATGTATAAAGATTATTCTGTGCCTCAGCACTGAAACAAAAAGTTCTTGTTTAAACAGAAAGGCATGGAATTGGAAGTAGGGCATGATTCTGATATTAGTGAAGACATGTTAGCTGTTGGAGTAATTATTGCAATTCCATGTTTTCCTGTAAAAGAAACCACCCAGCTGTGAATGGATTACCTACCACACAGCAATGTAACTAAAGACAGGAGAAATTGCTTCTCTGAGAGATTTTACAGCAGTGAGAGGCTGGCATGCCTGATTTATGCACCTCATTGTACTGTGGTTAAGGCATTGGGTCAGCATTTAATTGTCAGCATTTCTTCCCAGTGTCCCTAAAGTAGAGATGTGTCTTATCAGTGAAGTCTTAGATTAGATGAAATGTAGTTTTAAAAAAGTTAGGGCTCTTGATCCCCCACCCACAAAAATTGTTTCTCCCCATGTCAGGTTGGCATCGATCTTGACTCATTCCTTTCCCTTACCTATCAGCATCATTTAGCCCCATCTTTAAGACATGTCTAGAATCAGAACACTTCTTAGCATCAACTCCAGCACGGCCTGATGCCATGCTATTGTCTCAGGGCTTTATTGGCAGCAGCCTGTTTTTCTTGCTGGTATATAATATAAAGCTGGGTCTTGATGGTGTCTTAGATTTGATGAAATATGCTGTTTATTTTTCCCCATTTTAATAGCATTATATGTTTGTAGTACAAAACTTAGAAAACATACAAAGCATAAAAACTGCTAGATATTCCATCATCCACAGATAATCACTAGTGATTTTTTGGTTATACCCTTGCAGTCTTTTCACGCACATGAGCGTGAATACACAAACACTTACTCAAACATAGGTATGGACATACTCTTATGTAACCTGAGTTTTTTTTTTTTTTTTACTTGACAGCTTAAAGTAATGAATGTCTGCCCATGACATTAAAGTTTCTTCTGTAGCACAATCTCAAGTACGTTTTGTTTGTTTTTTGATTGTAGGGCAGTATGTGGTTTTCTTTCTGGGCCTGAGGCTCTTTGATGGACTGTGTCTGATGCACTTGGCCCTGTATCCCCAGGGCAAGGCACAAAAAGGTGCTCCGTACATATATTTTTCTCTCTTTTCTTTTTTCTTTTGTGGTAACAGCTTTATTGAGATGTAATTCATATACCGTATATTTTAAACACCTATTTATAGTGTACAATTCAGTGGTTTTTAAAATACATTCAGAGTTGGATAATTATTACCACAATCAATTTCAGGACATTGTCATCACCCCAAGAAGAAACCCTGTGCCCATTAGCAGTCACTCTGCATTTCAACCACAGATACTTCTGCTCTAGGCAATTACCAGGCTACTTTCTGTCTCTGTGGATTTTTTCATTCTGGACATTTCCTAGAAATGGAATCATATAATATGTGATCTTTTGTAACTGGTTGCTTTTACTTAGCATAATGTTGTTAAAGGCTCATCCATGTTGTATCATGAATCAGTACTTTATTCATTTTTATGGCCGAATAATATTCCAGTGTGTGGATATACCACATCTAGTTTATTCATTGACCAGTTAATAGACACTGGGTCATTTCCACTTTTCGGCTATCATAAATATGCCTGTATTAATATTTATATGCAAGTTTTTGGGTAGACATATGTTTTCATTTCTCTTTGATTTCTGAGTTAAATGATAACTCGATGTTTAACTTTTAAGGAACTGACAGACTCTCTTCCAAAGTGGCTGTACCCATTTATAAATATTTTTTGAATGAAAGAATTCTGTCATGCTGAAAATGCTTTTTATTCAACAAATACTCATTTAGAATATGTGGAAAAAGGCAAATAGCAAAGGAATTAAAAATTTAAAATAGAATAATAAAAATGTAAAAAAAGAAACAAAACAAAACAAATATTCATCGAGTACCTATGTGTGAAGCATTGTTTTAGGTGCTAGGAATACATCTGTGGACAGAACAAAAGAAAGACACCTGCCCATATGGGGCTTATATTCTAGTAGAGGAGATAGACAATAAACATTGTAAATAAGTACACTATGCAGTATGTTAGAAGGCAATACGTGCTATGGAAAAAGTATAACAGGGTAAAGGGGACTGGGATTGTTGTAGTTTCAAATAGGGTGGTAACAGTAGGCCTCACTGAGGTTAGGAGCTGAGCAGATTTTAAGGAGTTAACTGCATTGATATGTAAGTGGGGAGCATTGCAGGCAGAGGGGAACAGCTTATGCAAAGGCTCTCGGTAGGAGAGTGACTGGCCCGATCAGTGAACAAGGAGGATCATTGGAGTAGAGACATGACACGATCTGACTTAAAAAGCTCTGTCTGTCAGCTTTGTGGACAAGAGACCGTAGGGGCAATGGTGAAAGAAAGGAGTCTGGTGGGATGAACCTGGGGAGAGAGTTCTTGGCTCCGCTTTCTCCATCATACCTATGGCCTTGTTTGGCTGCTCTGTGATTTCAGAGTGCTCTTCAAGAATTATGGCTTGATTCTCACTAGGGGCAGGTGGCTCCCCTCCTTTCCTTCCACTGTTGCTGTGCACCTGTTTGCCAGGTACATTATTCTTAATGTTGGCCAGGCCTGATCTTACCCTGTTGGAGCTGATATTCCAGGAGAGATGTCCGGCAGTAAACAGGGAAATAGGTGATGCAGAGAAAAGTACGGGAGGAGAACTCCCGCATGGTATAGGGATGGATAGTGAAGGATCTGGGAGTGGGTATGGAGGTGACATTAGAGCAAGGACCTGAATAAAGAAAGGTGTGACCCCTGTAGAGGTGTGGTTGCAGAACAGAGGGAACATGTGCTGCATGAGTTGAAGGATCACCCGGAAGGTATGTATTATGTGGCATTACATCCTCAGTGGAGGGTGCAGAGAACAGAGCTATCAGCACGGTCTGCTACTGACATGCCCTAGAAGGGCGCAGTCAGGCATGAAGCAGCAACTTTGGGCTGGCTGGTACCCTGACTCAATCATATATGCTCCCTGTTCTCTTAGGTGTGGCCCACAGAGCTTTTGAAAATGATGTTGATGCCTTGTGTAATCTCCGGGATTTCTTCAACTACCTGCCCCTGAGCAGTCAGGACCCGGCTCCCGTCCGTGAGTGCCACGATCCCAGGTGGGTTGTAGGCCGGTGCACCTTCTCTCATTTTGCAGTGTAGCTTGCCTTTCTCTGCCCTGACAGGACCCCCAGGGTCTGCCTTGTTGGGCAAGTTGCAGCAGAGTGTGGTAGAGTGGCTCCCAGGTGTGGGGATGATGTCATGTTTGGCTATAGGAGCAAAGAAAGATGATTTTATTTTCCTTTTTCCTCTCTGTAATATCTAATGTATATCTTGGTGGTGAAGAGTGGCCCAAAACAGTTTTAAAGAAAAATTTTTTGATTTCTAAGAAACTCTCAAGTTATCTAGAATTAGAGATTCAAGTTTTTTTTGGTCTGGCCTAGTCCCCATGAAGAAGTCTCCCATTTCCTTTCCTTCCCCTCACCCACAAAAGGAAGAGCCATGATTCTTCTTATGCTGACTATACCTGGCTTTTTTCTGTCTAAAGTGACTGGTTCCTGGGCTCTACCTAGTTGTCCTTTTGAAATAAATAAATGTAAAATGATGCAAACAGCATGCCCTTTAGGAAACATGTTTATGCATACTGCTTATAGCCAGAGGCTGGGACAGTCCTGGGGAAGGGTGTGTTGCTGGCCATCTGGTGAAGACCTTTCCTTTTGCTGTTGGAGTCTACCACCTGTTGTGGAGGCACCATAGAGTAAAGTGGAGGCCCTGCCCAGGAACTGCTCCACACCTCTAGCCGTTCCATTTTATTTCCTCTCCAAATTATAAGCACTCACTTGGCCTGGACTTTCTTCTGCAGAAGGGATTTGAAATTGTATTGTTTGGGAAGAGGTCATTTTCAGATGCTATCCTGTAGCTTAAACCTGGACTCCTTCCTGTGGGGCCTGGTCTGGGCCAGGGATGCTCTGAAGAGTTGTGTTGCCAGGGCCTCACTCTGTCTGCCTCTGCCCACTCCACAAGGGACATACCCAGTGGCCCACTGTGTGTAGTCATGGAGGGGAGAGTGGTCACAAGGTCCAGAGCTGTGGGTATAGCCTTTCTGAGTATACAGTTTGGAGTTCCTGAAGGGTTTAGGACATCACTTGAAGGTATTATGGCCCAGGAGCCCAGAAATGTCTGCATAGCCCGCTTTGGCCCAGCTATACCTCTTCTGCATATGATTCCAAGGGAGATATATATCCATATATATGTATACATATATATATGCATGTGTATATGCGTATATATGTATACGTGTATGTGTATATACATATGTTCATGTGTGCATATGTACGTATATGCATATATATGTATACATACATGTATACATATTTGTGCATACACACATACACATGCATACATATGCATGCATAGGTATATATGCATATGTATGTATATGTATGCTTATGTATATGCATATGTATGTATATGTATGCTTATGTATATATGCATATGTATGCATGTGTATGTATAGGTATGCATGTGTATGTATGTATATGCATGTGTATGTATAGGTATGCATGTGTATGTATGTATATGCATGTGTATAGGTATGCATGTGTATGTATGTATATGCATGTGTATGTATAGGTATGCATGTGTATGTATGTATATGCATGTGTATGTATAGGTATGCATGTGTATGTATGTATATGCATGTGTATGTATAGGTATGCATGTGTATGTATGTATATGCATGTGTATGTATAGGTATGCATGTGTATGTATGTATATGCATGTGTATGTATAGGTATGCATGTGTGTGTATGTATAGGTATGCATGTGTATGTATGTATATGCATGTGTATGTATAGGTATGCATGTGTATGTATGTATATGCATGTGTATGTATATGCATGCATATGTATGTATATGCATGCATGTGTATGTACGTATATGCGTACATATGTATGCATGTATATGTATGCATATGTATATGTATACGCATATGCATACATATATACATGTATGCATGTATACACACATGCATGTGTATATATGCATACCCACACATATGCATGTGTACACGCCCACACATGCATATATGCATGCCCACACACATGCATATCAACACATATATGCATATACGCATATCTACACATATACATACATGCATATCTACACGTGTATATATGTATATCTACACATGTGTTCACATACATATATACACATATGTATATGTGTATATATGTATGACAAGTAAAAAGGGAGGACTTTATTAGCAGATGGGGCTACCCTTAGTTTTCTTTCCAGCGTAGAGCTTTTTGCGAAGTTGGGCTTGATGGACACATGGCCTGACCCAAGGCCAAACCTCAGCCCAGGAGTACGTCTCAGGGTCACTGTAGCCCCTGGCTGCCCACACTGGGAAGGAGGGAATGAAAGCCTATTGGAGAGAAGAGGTTGGAGAGGGGCAAGTTGCTGGGTCCTCCTGTAGAGTGGGAGTGGGCTCTGGCTTAGTTTTTCTGCTGAGACACTTGGATGCAGGAGGAAGGAGAGAGTCCATGAGCCTGCATGTGACAGGTTCTGTGGTGATTTTGCCCAGAGGGCCTGCAGTTTTGCTTTTTGAAGGAGCTTTAGCAGATTAACCTAACAGGGAATGTGAACCCACAGTGGTTTATGCAGAGCTCTGCCTTTGCATTTCCAAGTCCTTGTTCTTTTAATGTTCCAGGAAGTTGGGCTGGGCTCTCCCAGGGCTGTGTCTTGTTCACTATAATGTCCTTCAGTGCCCTACACGGTACCTAGAATGTAGGAGGTATTCAGAGAAGATAAATGAAAGAATAACGTTTAGAGGAATAAACTCATTTTTTCCTCTAAAAGAGAACCAGAAGATCTTTTGGATTGATACTTGTCCCAGGTTCAGTTAATATGGTGGTTAAAAAGGAATGACTCTTTGGTGACTGCTTTGTAAGCCCAGCAGGGACAGAACTGGCCCAGTCCCTATGACGTGTCACCCCATTTCCTTTCCCACCCCATTCCCACAAAAGGTAACTGGCTCTTCCTATGTTGACTATACCTGCCTTTTTTCTGCCTAAAGTGACCGTCTGGTTCCTGAGCTTGACACAATTGTCCCTTTGGAATCAACCAAAGCCTACAACATGGTGGACATCATACACTCTGTAAGTGCCACATCTGTTTGTCTTGCCTGTCCTAGTCAGCCACATTCATGGGCATTGTGCTTCGGCTTAGTGAGGAAGCACTGGACCACTTGGCCTCCATGTCAGACAGCACAGGTCGGGAATAGGGTGGGCACAGGACCAGTGGCCACTGAGTAGTGTGTTCTGGAAAGACCTAGTGGCTATAGATACCCTAGTGGCACAGATGGACTTGAGGGCTGGAGATAGGAGTAGTAAGGGCCAGCAGAGCTCAGGAGTCTTTAGAAGGCCCTCTGAGGATCATAAATTAGGGGCCATGTCCACAGAGTCTAGAGTGAGGCCAGAGTGATCATTGTTAAGTATCATTGGGGCCCTCTGCTCAGAGGGGGTTTTGTCTTTATAGAGAAGAGAGTACACAGGGCATCCTAGAAGGTTGGACTGTGTGTGTGGAGGTCCGTGGGAGACAGGAGCCATTTGTACCTTTTTTTGGTACAGCAGATTCCTGGGTCATTAAGTAAAGGGGACAGTGTTGGGCAAACTGAAGGCATCTGTAGATGGCCAATGCCTTCCTTAAGGGTACACTGTGCTCTCGGTAGTCCTTGTGCAACACATCGTGATGGCTCTCTGGTAACTCTAGAAGTCAGATTCTCCCTCTTCCCTAGGGTTTGCTGTTTTCTGTTATTGTTTTTGTCTTTTTTATTCTTGTAGTCTCTTCCTGCACCAAGGATTAGCCTGAGATGTAACCTTAAGGTCTTCCTTAGGTCTTTTCTGAGCCTTTGCAGGGGCACGTGCAATCACTTTCTAATTTTCCCTGCATATGCAGTTGTTTTTGAGTGTCCTAGTTGTTAACGTCTGGCTCCCAAAAGTAGAAAAAGAGAAAAAAAATGAAGATGGTAAAAAGATGTCAGCCCTTTAAATTCCTTGGAAGTCAGTTCAGCCCAAAGCAGGAGAGCCTCGCAACAGTGTGGGGAGTTGTAGCAACAGTGACCACCCATCTCTTTGCACCTCTGTGATCAGAAGCAGCAGTCAGCAAGCACAGATTCTCAATATTTGGAGGACAGGGTCCTTTTATGCCCACCCCGGCTCCTGCAAGCTGTGTGCAAACTGCTGCAGGAACACTTGCGGAAATATCTGTCATGGAGCTGGGGTGGGGGATGGGTAGCTGCTACTATGCTAAGAGCTGAAATTAACTCCAATTTTCAGTCCAATCCTTCCCCTGGAAGTTGCAGTCTTTCAACAGACGCCAGAGTCAAAATAGTTCCATCAGACAGATTCTGCCAGGCAATTGTTGCCTGGGTGGGGAGACAGATTCCTGGTGCTTCCTACTCTGCCATCTTCTAACTTTTTCTTAAGGTACATATGATAACTCTTGATTCTCATTATAAAGTTTTATATCCTGCTACCTATTAAATACTCTTGTTTGTAATTTTTTTCTGTCATTTATTTAGGGTTTTATTTTATTTATTTATTTTTATTTTATTTTATTATTATTATACTTTAAGTTTTAGGGTACATGTGCACAATGTGCAGGTTAGTTACATATGTATACATGTGCCATGCTGGTGTGCTGCACCTGTTAACTCGTCATTTAGCATTAGGTATATCTCCTAATGCTATCCCTCCCCCCTCCCCCAACCCCACAACAGTCCCCAGAGTGTGGTATTTAGGGTTTTAAAAATGTGGTTGTATACTGTCTATGTATAAATAAGAGTTCTGTCGGGTGCAGGGGCTCATGCCTATAATCCCAATGCTTTGGGAGGCTAAGGCAGGAGGATCCTTTCATGCCAGGAGCTCAAAACCAGCCTGGACAACATAATGAGTCACCATCTCTATAAAAAGTAAAAAAATTTGCTGGGTGAGGTGGCTGTCGCCTGTAGTCCCATTTACTTGGGAGGCTGAGATGGGAGGATTGCTTGAACCCAGGTGTTTGAGGCTGTTCTGAGTTATGATCATTGCCACTGCACTCCATCCTGGTGTGCAAGACTCCATCGCCAAAAATAAGTAAATGAATAAAATTTTATCTTTCCAGTTATTTTACATGTCATTTCTTTCCTTGTCTTGCATTGGCTACAACTCCCTATATGTCAAATGTAATGGTGAATCATAGTTGTGATTCTGGGCATCTTTGTATTGTTTGTAAGTTTAGCAAGACTGCTGTCAGTGTTTCCTAATTTATATCTTTTTTCATGTTGAAGCTACTACTGGCTTCTGTTTTAAATATTTTTGTTGTTGTTTATTTTGTTCTTAAAGTTAGGAATGAGTGTTGAATATTGTTGAATGCACTTTCAGTGTTTTTGGAGATGATCATGTGATTTTCTTCCTTAGATCTATTTATAAATCTATCCTAGTAGATTTCTGAATACTAAACTTCCTTCATTCCTGAAGTTGTATATTCTGTTTGCTAATGTTTTGAGTTTCTGCATTGATATTATGTGATACTAGTGCGTATATTTTAAGGTATTTTAAAATCAGGTTTTGGTATCGATGTTGTATTTGCTTTACTTATTTATTTATTTAAAAAAAATTTTTTTTTGAGACAGAGTTTTGCTCTTGTCACCCAAGCTGGAATGCGGTGGCACAATCTCTACTCACTGCAACCCCTGCCTCCTGGGTTCAACCAATTCTCCTGCATCAGACTCCCAAGTAGCTGGGATTACAGGCGAGCCCTACCATGTCCGGCTAATTTTTGTACTTTTAGTAGAGACACGGTTTCGCCATGTTGGCCAGGCTGGTCTTGAACTTCTGACCTCAGGTGATCCACCTGCCTTGGCCCCACAAAGTGCTGGGATTACAGGTGTGAGCCACCGTGCCTGGCCTGTATTTGCTTTATGTATTAGTGTTCTAGTGCTGCCATAAGAAAATACCATAAACTGCATAGCTTAAACAACAGAAATTTATTTTCTGTCAGTTCTGGAGGCTAGAAGTCCAAGATCATGGTGTTGGCAGGGTTGGCTTCATTCTGAGGTCTGTGTCTCTTTGGCTTCTGGACTACACTCTTGCTGTGTCCTCACGAGGTCTTTGCTCTCAGTGCATGCAGAAAGAGATCTCTGGTATCTCTTCGTCTTTTTTTTTTTTTTTTCCCTCAGAGACAGGGTCTTGCTTTGTCACCCAGGCTGGAGTGCAGCGGTGTGACTTTGACTCACTGCAGGCTTGACCTCCTGTGCTCAAGTGATCTTCCCACTTCAGCCTCCTGAGTAGCTGGGACTATAGCTGCATGCCACCACATCTGGCTAATTTTAAAATTTTTTGTAGAGATGGCAACTCACTATGTTGCCCAGGCTGGCTTTTCCAATTATTTATTTATTTTTTTTTGAGTTGGAGTCTGGCTCTGTCGCCCGGGCTGGAGTGCAGTGGCGTGATCTCGGCTCACTGCAAGCTCTGCCTCCCGGGTACACGCCATTCTCCTGCCTCAGCCACCCAAGTAGCAGGGACTACAGGCACCCACCACCATGCCTGGCTAATTTTGTTTTTGTATTTTTAGTAGAGACGGGGTTTCACCGTGTTAGCCAGGATAGTCTCGATCTCCCGACCTCGTGATCTGCCCGCCTTGGCCTCCCAAAGTGTTGGGATTACAGATGTGAGCCACTGTGCCCGGCTGGCTTTCCAATTCTTTTCTTTTTTTTGAGATGGAGTCTCACTCTGTCGCCAGGCTGGAGTGCAGTGGCACAATCTCAGCTTAGTGCAACCTCTGCCTCCCGGGTTCAAGTGATTCTCCTGCCTCAACCTCCTGAATAGCTGTGATTTCAGGCACCCGCCACCACGCTTGGCTAATTTTTGTATTTTTAGTAGAGACGGGGTTTCACCATGTTTGCCAGGATGGTCTTGATCTCCTGACCTCATGATCCGCCTGCCTCGGCCTCCCAAAGTGCTGGGATTACAGGCATGAGCCACGGGCGCCAACCCAGCTTTTCCAATTTTTAAAAGAATTCCAGTCCTAACAGATTAGGGTCCCCCTCTTATGGCCCCGTTTAACTTTAATTACCTCTGGAACATCCCTCTCTCCAAATTCACTTTTTTTTTTCTTTGAGACAGAGTCTAACTCTGTTGCCCAGGCCAGTGTGCAGTGGCGAGATCACGGCTCATTGCAACTTCCACCTTCCAGGTTCAGGAGATGCTTCTGCCTCAGCCTCTCAAGTAGCTGGGATTACAGGTGTGTGCCACCATGCCTGGCTAATTTTTGTATTTTTAGAGATGGGGTTTCGCCATGTTGGCCAGGCTGGTCTCAAACTCCTGGCTTCAAGTGATCCACTTGCCTCGGCCTCCCAAACTACTGGCATTAGAGGTGTAAGCCACTGCACCTAGACCATATATTTACTTTTAACTCAAAAAGTATTGTATTATTACACTTTTTTATTTTGCTTTTTAAAAAAACTTCTTCTGGCCGGGCGTGGTGGCTCATGCCTGTAATTCCAGCACTTTGGGAGGCTGAGGCGGGTGGATCACTTGAGGTCAGGAGTTCGAGACCAGCTTGACCAACACGGTGAAAACCTGTCTCTATTGAAAATACAAAAATTAGCCGGGTGTGGTGGTGTGTCCCTGTAATCCCAGCTACTGGAGAGACTGAGGCAGGAGAATCACTTAAACTGGGGAGGCACAGGTTGCAATGAGCTGAGATTGCACCATTGCATTTCAGCCTGGGCGATGAGTGAAACTGTCTCTAAAAAAAAAAAAAAAGAAAGAAAAAAAGTGAATATGCTAGAAAAGAGTCAAAGCAGTGACTTTAGAAGCTACTTAAGAGTGCACACACAAATCAATACGGTAGTCAGGGGAAGGCATTACTTCTGGGGAAGAAGAGTACAAAGGAAAGAGAGAGGTACCTTTGGAAATTGTGAAGGGAAAATGAAGCAAGGGGGTTACATTTATGTACCTGCAAGACATACAAAATCGAATACACTGAAGGACACTACATCTTTCCCCATCACCCTCCCTAAAATTAGTCACCCATGAACTAAACTGCACTTTGCTATACTGACAGAAGAGGGTGCTCTTGAACTAGGATTTTTGTTCATTTGTTCATCTGCCAGCTTTGGAGAATGCAGATACAAATAGTTTTCATTTATATAAAGCTACAATAAGAAAACAAAAAGTGAGAATGAAACATGTCAGTTGATGGAACTCCCTTCACTGTAAAAGTCAATCATGAAGCAGCTGACTATGCTTCAATCTGAGTGCAGTAGCCCCTGATAAGCATTTGAGGTTGTAAAAATAGAAAATTCAGAAACTAATGACAAGATGGAGAGATAATAGTAAGAAGTTAAAGCTGATTGAATTAAGAAAATGGGCAGGGGAGACAAAATTGCATCAGAAATGATATCAAAATTGCAAGGTGCTCAAAGGAGAATGTATTTCAATGAAAATTTAATAAGGAACATTAAAGAAAAGTAGATAAATAGCCTAAAAAATGAATGAAATAATATAAAAAAGTAAAAGTAGATTTTACATTCTCACCACAAAAAAGTATGTGAGGTGGTGGATATGTTAACTAGCTTTAGTCATCCTACACTGTATACATATATGAAAACATGTACGTTGTACATATATGCAATTATAAAATTTTAAAATAGTACAGATACCTTTAATACAATTATTGGTTATATTGTCACATCTGGGATTAATTTTTTAAAATTCTTAGTTAAATGTATGAGAAAAAAGTGACTACAATGAAAGGCAAAGAAGAATGAACATACATATAATTGGAGTGTCTGAAGAAAAACCAGTAGAACAGACTTAATATTTAAAACTGTAATCCAAGAAAATAGTCCAGAAATAAAATAAGATTCAGATTTATATAATGAAAGAGCACACTGAGCACGTGGGAAAATTGACCCAGAATTGTCAAACTAGAGAAAATATTAACTGTTCGATTTTTAAAATAAGGAGAAATACTCAGGACCTTTGGGCAGAAATCAAATGACTTACAAGGGCAAGAGAATAAAATGGCATCCAACTTCTCCAAAGCAACGTAGAAAAGCAAGGAAACAACAGAAAAGCACTTTCAGGAGGCTGAAGGAAAGAATCTGTGACTAAGGATTTTATGTTTAGCAAAGCTCACCTTCATGTATTAAGACTGCAGAAAACCAGTTTTAAACCAAGAACCGAGGGAAGTTTGTGTTAATGAGGCTTTCTTGAGGAATCTACTAGAGAATGAGCTTTATCCAATCAAGAGGTAGCTGGAGAAATTTCAACAAAAGGATTGGTAGTGATTATCTAATATACTTAATTATAATTCTAAGACTAAAACAGAAGTGGGGATGAGGGTAGAGAACAATGTATAAGTACTATATGTTTAGTTTCAGAAAAAAATGCAACTGAAAAATGGGAGGAGAAGAGAGGGGAAGAATATTGCAGAATCAGCTCACTGATTATTGTTAGCTAACAGATATCATTAAAAACAAACTAGTTAATAAAAGATTAAGGAAATGAACTAAAGGCATCAAAAGGCATAATTACAAAGGTAACCACTAGACTAAAAAATACAAACATTCTTTAATACTACTCACATAAACAGTATATATCATTGTGGGTAATGATAAAGGGGAAAAATAAAAAAAAAGGTAAAAGACAATAAATATAGAATACATAGTAATTATAAAAAATAATATGACAGGCCAGGCGTGGTGGCTCATGCCTGTAATTCCAGTACTTTGGGAGGCTGAGGCGAGCAGATCACCTGAGGTTGGAAGTTTGAGACCAGCCTGACCAACATGGAGAAACCCTATCTCTACTGAAAATACAAAATTAGCCAGGTGTGGTGGCACATGCCTGTAATCCCAGCTACCCGGGAGGCTGAGGCAGGAGAATCGCTTGAACCCAGGAGGCAGAGGTTGTGGTGAGCCGAGATTGCACCATTGCACTCAAGCCTGGGCAACAAGAGTGAAACTCCATCTCAAAATAATAATAATAATAATAATAATATGATAGTAAAAAAGTGTCATACCAATAAATATGGATGGGTTTGATTCACTTGTTAAAAATATGTCTAATTTGTTATGGACCAATTATATTCAGTATATAAATGTGATTCAGAAAGGCTAAAAATAAGGAATGGGCAGAAATATACTGGGAGAATGGAAACAATAACAGCAGTATTTGTGACACTAATATTGAACAGAGTAAAGTTCAGGTATTAACCATAATAAGGAAGGACTTTTTTTTTTTTTTTTTGATATGGAGTCTCACTCTGTAACCCAGGCTGGAGTGCTGTGGCACAATCTCAGCCCACCGCAACTTCCACCTCCCAGGTTCAAGTGATTCTCCTGCCTCAGCTTCCCAGGAAGGACATTTTCAACTGCTAAAAGCCATAGTTCACAATGATAATGTAAAGCATATCGAATATCTGTGCCAGAAATAACCACCATCTTTATAAAGCTGAAACTATAGGAGATTCAACAGACTTAGGTAGAAAGACTGAATAGGAGATGTATACACAGCATTGTTATTACAAAGCAGGTCAAATGGACAAAAGTAATAATTTAGGAGACCTAAATAACGTAATAGGTAGATCTTACACATTTCTTTTGGACTTTACACCCTGGTAATGAACAATAAATCTTATTCTGAAGTGCACATGGAATATTCACAAAAGTTGATCATATGTATTAGATCAGAAAGAAAACATCATTAAATCCCATAGAGCAAAAAATACTGTGAAACAACATTGCTTAAAATTAGAAACTTTTGTAGCAACTAAAACAAAAGTAGCCTCCAGCCGGGAAATAAATCTTCTAGTAAACAATTCTTGGATGAAAGGGGAAAATAGAAACCAAATGACAGAATTCTAAAAGAAAAAAAGACAAAACACTATGTGTCAAAACCTATAGAATATGTTTAAAACGATGAACAGATGAAAATCTGTTTCCTGAAACAGTAAAAATCAGAGAAGGAAAATAAACAGGCCAGGTGCGGTGGCTCACACATGTAATCCCAGCACTTTGGGAGGCCGAGGCAGGTGGATTGCTTGAGCTCAGGAGTTTGAGACCAGCCTGGGCAACACGGTGAAACCCCGTCTCTACTAAAATACAAAAAATTAGCTAGGCATGGCGGCATGTGCCTGTAATCCCAGGTACTCAGGAGGCTGAGACAGGAGAATCGCTTGAACCTGGGAGGCAGAGGTTGCAGTGAGCCCAGATCGTGCCACTGCACTCCAGCCTGGGTGACAGAGCAAGACTCCATCTCAAAAAAAAAAAAAAAAAAGAAAAGAAAAACAGATTCCCAACTGGAAAAGCCAGGGGAAAAAACCCTGTAAAATATTTCAGAATAAATCCAAGAAATAATTTAATAAGGATAAATGCAGAAATTTATGATGGAAATAGAAGAATAGCTGCAATTAGTAAACACTGGCTAACTTCAAAAAAGAGACAGTAAAAGCAGAAGTATGAAGTGAGAAAGGGAATAACCATTGAAAAAGAAGAAACTTAAGAATCGTTAAGAGGCCAGGTGTGGTGGCTCATGCCTATAATCCCAGCACTTTGGGAGGCTGAGGTGGGAGGATCGCTTGAAGCCAGGAGTTGAAGACCAACCTGGGCAACATAGTGAGTCCCTGTCTCTACAAAAATTTTTAAAGTTAACTGGGTGTGGTGGCATGCACCTATAGTCCCAGCTACTTGAGAGGCCTCAGTGTAGGAGAATTGCTAGAACACAGGAGTTCAAGGCTGTAGTGAGCTGTGATTGCACCATCATACTCCAGCCTGGGCAACATAGTGAGACCCTGTCTCAAAAAAAAAAAAAATTCTAAGAGACAAGATACATTGGAAAATTTGTTTGGAAAACACAGTTTAACAGAAATTGATCCCATCAGAGATAGGAAGCTTAAATGAACCACCAAATTCCACGGAAGGAATTACTTCACCAAAAAGCACAAGGAGCTGGATTCAGTGGCTCATGCCTATAATCCCAACATTTTGGGATGCTAAAACGGGAGGATTGTTTGAGCCCAGGAATTTGAGACCAGCCTGGGCAACATGACGAAACTCTGTCTCTACAAAAAATAAATTAGGGCCAGGCAAGGTGGCTCACACCTGTAATCCCGCACTTTGGGAGGCCGAGGTGGGCGGATCACCTGAGGTCGGGAGTTCGAGACCAGCCTGACTAACATGGAGAAACCTCGTCTTTACTAAAAATACAGAATTAGCCAGGTGTGGTGGTACATGCCTGTAATCCCCGCTACTCGGGAGGCTGAGGCAGGAGAATTGCTTGAACCCAGGAGGCGGAGGTTGCGATGAGCCAAGATCGTGCCATTGCACTCCAGCCTGGGCAACAAGAGCGAAACTCCATCTAAAAAAAAAAAAAAGCCAGGCATGGTGGTATGCACCTGTAGTCCCAGCTACTGGGGAGGCCAAGGTGGGAGTTCACTTGAGCCCAGGAAGTTGAGGGAGCAGTTAACCATGTTTGTGCCACGGCACTCTACCCTGGGTGACAGAGCAAGACTCTGTCTCAAACAAACAAACACCAGGCCCAAATAGTTTCATGTGGAATTTCTGAGACCTTTAAGGGCCAAATAGTCCTAGTGCCACATAAATTCTTCCAGAGCATAGAAAGTAAACAAAACACACAAGAACCTTCCAAAATTTTTTAAAAGAAGTATGATATCAGTACCTGAACCTGATAAAGGTAGTACTTAAGATTTCAGTTTCATATTGCTTATTTCTTTAAAATTATATCTGTGGCCTACTGGGATGTATTCTAGGAATGCAAGATTGGTTCTAGGAAACTCAATAATATACTGTATTAACACATATAGGGGAGAAAAATCACAATTATTTATATAGACGCTGAAGAAAACCTTTAAGAAACATCAATACCTATTCCTGATAGACTTCATAAAATAGGAATTAATACTTTCTTAATGTAATAAAATTTGGTATAGACCTTTTCAAAAGCCTGCATCTCACCTAATAAAGACTAGCTTCTACTAGGATTAGGAACAAGTATAGGATGCCCATTATTCCCATTATTATTTAACATTGTTCTGGAAATATTAACCAATACAGTTATCCAAGAAGAGGACCAATTAGAGACAAAAGCCTTGGGAGAGATGTCAAGCTGTAACGTAGGTGATATAGTATTGTAGTATTCAAGAAAACTCTAGAGAATGCATTATTATACTAAAACAATACTTGAGGAACAGGATACAAAATTAACATATAGAAATCTTCATATACGCAAGCAGTAACCAATTATGGTAGAGTAAAAGCCTCTCTTACATAGCAACAGGAAGATAAAATATTTAGTAATAATTTTAACAGGAATGTACAGAAGCTGTTTTAGGGCAAATTTATTTTTTTAGACAGGGTTTCACTCTGTCACCCAGGATGGAGTGCAGTGACCCAGTCACAACTCACTGCAGCTTCAACTTCCTGGTCAAGCAATCCTCCCACATTGCCAGGACTACAGGCATGCATCACCACACACACCTGATTTAATATTTTTTTTTTTGTAGGAAGAATTCCTGCTATGTTGCCCAGGCTGGTCTCGAACTCTTGGGCTCAAGCGATCCTTCTGCCTTGGCCTTCCAAAGTGCTGGGATTTTAGGTGTGAGCCCCCAAGCCCAGCCCAGGGTGATCTTAAAAACACTTTTGAAAATCAAAAGTAGGCCAGGCATGGTGGCTCACACCTGTAATCCCAGCACTTTAGGAAGCTGAGGAGGGAAGATCCTTTGAGCCCAGGAGTTTGAGACCATCCTGGGCAACATAGTGAGACCTTGTCTGTACAAAACAAAACATTAAAATAGACTTGAACAAATGGAAAGACATTCCTTGTTCCTGGGGTTAATGTTATTAACAAACTGGTGATTCTTAAGTTGTTCTATAAATTTAAGGCAATCCCAATAAACAGTTTTTAAAAACTAGAACTAGATAAGTTTATACAAAAGTGCACATGGAAAAATAAAAGTGCAAGAATACCTAAGAATATACTGCAAAAGAAAAGCTGTAAGTGGGGACTAGCCATGCTTTATATTACAGCATCCTATAGTTAAAACTGTGGTACAGGCACATAAATAGACCAGTGGAATAGAATAAAAGAGCCAGAAATAGACTCAAGTACATACAGAATTTTAGTACAGTCACGCGTTGCGTAACAACAGGGATGTGTTCTGAGAAATGCATCATTAGGCAGTTTCTTTGTGCGACCATCATAGAGTGTACTTCCACAAACCTAGATGGTATAACCTATTACACACCTAGGATCTGTGGTATAGTCTGTTGCTCTTAGGCTGCAAACCTGTATAGCACGTTACTGTACCAAACACTGTATGCAGTTGTAACACAATGGTAAGTATGTATCTAAACATAAAAAGGGTACAGTAAAAATAGGGTATTACAATAGGACCACCTTCCTATAGGCAGTTTGTCATTGACCAGAACCTCTTTGTGTAGTGCCCAACTGTATATGATAATGATATTTTATCAAATCTCAGGGGCAAAAATTAGCTTTTAATAAATGATGCTGGGGCAACTGACTAGCCATTTAGGAAAATATAAAATTAGATTCATACTTTACACCATGTACAAAAATAAACTACAAATGGGTCAGAAAACTAAATATAATCTGTGAATCCATACAAGCACTAAAAGAAAACACAGATGAATTCCTCTGAAACCTTAGGGGAAGGTTTAGAAATGCTTTTGAACTGTAACTCAACTAGTTTCAGTGAAAGATAGACAAAGCTGACTGTGAAAATTTTAAAATCCCACTCTTCATAGCAAAAAACTATAAATAAAATCAAAAGGCAACCAATATGCTAGAAGAAACTCTTGGCAGCATGTATCCCAGAGTATGAATATTCTTAATAAAGAGCTCTTATGCTGAGGGATTAACAACCAAAATTGATAGAAAAGTGGGCAAAAAACCACGGATAGATAGCTCACAAAAAAGATATAAAATGGACCTTAAACATGTCAAAAGATTTTCAACTTCATACATAATGCTAGAAATACAAATTCAAATTACACTGAGTATTTTCTCATATGTTAGATTGGCTAAAAATAAAAACCCCGAAAACACTTTCCATTGGAAAGTCAGTGGAGAAGCAGGCACTCCTGTGCATTGCTGGTAGGGGACTCTGGTATTATCCAGGACTAAATTAGCATTTGCCCTTTAACTCAGCAATCCCATTCCTAGCAATTTACCCTGAAGATACACTTCCCACCATACAAAATTATAGATGTACGAGGTTACGACCATTACGTTGTCATTTGTAATTGCGAGATACTCTAAATAACCTAAATGTAAATTTTAAAATAATGTAAGCCACGTGTAGATTGGTTGAATAAACTTTGGTACATCACACAGTACAGTACTATGCAGAAGTGAAAAAGAATGATGATCTCTATGAACTGATAGGAAGTGATTCCCAGGACATATTAAGTGAAAAAATTCAAAGTGCAAGAGTGTCTGTACTGTTACTTTCCATGTAAGAAGGGTAAATTAAAAGATACAAATGCAAACACACACATAATACATCAGAAAATAATGAGATTAATAACAGGGTAGGTGGGACTAGGGTGGAAGGGATGGGGAAGGAACACTATTAAACTGTATTAGTATTTTACATATTAAAAAATAAAATCAAGACTGGGGAAAACCTTTAAAATGAAATACAAACATGAACCTGTTTTAAATGAGTGTCTTTTGAACCTATATTTTGACTATATACCTTTAATCTAAAGACCAAAATAGCTGTAAAAAAATTCTAGCTAGTAGGTCTGTTTTTTGTAGCTAAGTTAGCAGTTCTGAAACCATTTTCTCTGTATTTGAGGATCGAATAAATAAGTACATTTTGAGGGTAGTAGCAGCCAGATTCTGCTATCGGAGAAGGGAGTTGTGAATATGGCAAGAGAAAAAAATCTAGAATGAACCCTATAGTTGCACTGGAGTAGGATTAGAATTATCAGCATGAACTCATGGTTTTTCATATAGCTGGACTTTGGACGTTTTAGAAGGAGTCACACACACACACACATCCCTAAAAGGAACCCAGGCCTTTTGGAGAAATGGCTGATTGTAGGGCTGGGGCAGGAAAGAAACCAAGATGAACCAGAAAGTAAGATACTTCCAAAATATAAGGTAGTGCTCAAAGAATGATGGGGACACTTTAGAAGGACACAGGAACCAGCATGAAGGAACTTTGGTAAATATAGGACAATTTAAACATAAAATGATGGTGAAAGATTATAATCCATAGAATAAAACAATCTATAAGTTCATATTGATACCTATAAGTAAATGGGAAAGGCAAAGATCTTTCTTGTGGTAGATGTCAGCTAATAAATGGAGAAGAAAAGTGGAATTGGAAAACTCACCCTTTGGGCTGGGTGTGGTGGTTCACACTTGTAAGGAGGGCGGATTGCTCGAGCTTCGGAGTTTGAGCCCAGCCCGGCCAATACGGTGAAACCCTGTCTCTACTAAAAATACAAAAATTAACCAGGTATGGTGGCATGAACCTGTGGTCCCAGCTGCTTGGGAGGCTAAGGTGGGAAGATCGCTTGAGCCTGGGAGGTGGAGGTTGCATCGAGCTGAGGTTGCTCCACTGCACTCCCACCTAGGTGGCAGAGTAAGACCCTGTCTCAAGAAAAACAAAAACAAAAACAAAAAAACAAAACAAAAAAACTCACCATTTGGCAGCTATCATGACAGTAATGAGTCAGGCAAGAATCATGGCTGCTTGGTGGCTGCTAGGATGCTAAACCTAGTGGATGAAGAACTAGATTAATGATTAAAGTTTGAAGAACAGGATTTTATGTAGTCTCAACGTATTTCCTCACAAAATTCTTATTAAATTGGAGAAATAGTAACTTTACAAGGAAACCTGCAGATATCACCATCATTAATGGACAAATCAACACATTGTGCCACTTGATGAGAATGCTCCTTCTGTGGTACTCCTGTGGAAAGGCTTAGCTCAAAATTAAACATGAAGAAATACCAAAGGAACCCAAATAGAAGTCATGCTTTACAAATTAACTGGTCTGTTGTCTTCAAAGATGTCATGATTATGAAAGACAAAGATGGAGGGGGAAAGTTAAAGGAGCCTAAAGAGATATAACCACTAAAAGCACCAGGTGATCCTGGCTCAGGTTCTGGACCAGAATTTTGTTGCTTGTGCTGCTATAAAGGATACTATTGGAACAATTGGCAAACTTGAATAATGTCATATAATAAGAAATAGTGGCCGGGCGCGGTGGCTCACGCCTGTAATCCCAGCACTTTGGGAGGCCGAGGTGGGCGGATCACGAGGTCGAGATCGAGACTATTCTGACCAACATGGTGAAACCATCTCTAAAAATACAAAAAAATTAGCTGGGCATGGTGGTGCGTGCCTGTAGTCCCAGCTACTCGGGAGGCTTAGGAGAATTGCTTGAACCCAGGGGGCGGAGATTGCAGTGAGCCGAGATCGTGCCACTGCACTCCATCCTGGGCAGCTAAGCGAGACTCCGTCTCAAACAAACAAAAGAAAATTGTGAATTGGGCACAGTGGCTCATGCCTGTAATCTCAGCACTTTGGGAGGCTGAGGCAGGTGGATTGCGTGAGGCCAAGAGTTTGAGACCAGCCTGCGCAACATAGCAAGACCCTGTCTCTACAAAAAATATAATTTTTTTTTTTTGGTGGCATATACCTGTAGTCCTAGCTACTTGGGAGGCTGAGGTGAGAGAATTGCTTGAGCCCTGGAGGTTAAGGCTGCAGTGAGCTGTGATCATGCTTCTGCACTCCAGCCTGGGTCACAGAGCAAGACCTGTCTCAAAAAAAAAATAGTATTGTGGTAATGTTTATTTCCTGATTTTGATAATATCACTGTAGTTATAAAAAAGAATGTTCTTATGTGTTTATATATATATAAAAGAGAGAGTGATGGTCGGGCACAGTGGCTCACGCCTGTAATCACAGCATGTTGGAGGCCAAGGTGGGAGGATTGCTCAAGGCCAGGAATTGGAGACCAGTCTGGGCAACATAGCGAGATCTCATCTCTACTAAAAATTAAAAAATTAACTGAGCATGGTGGTGCACAGCTGTGGTCCTAGTTGCTTGGGAGGCAGAGGTGGGGAAGATCACTTGAGCCCAGGAGATCGAGGCTGCAGTGAGCCATAATTGCACCACTGCATTCCAGCCTGGGTGACAGAGGGAGACCCTGTCTCAAAAAAAGAAAAAAAAAAAAAGCAGAATAGTTTGTAGTAAAATAATAATGAAGAATCGGGGTGAAGGGTATATGTACTGTTCTTGAATTTTTTATTTTTATTTATTTATTTTTTGAGATAGGATCTCCCTCCGTTGCCCAGGCTAGAGTGCAGTGGCATAATCTTGGCTTGCTGCAACCTCTGCCTTCCAGTTTAAGCGATTCTCCTGCCTCAGTCTCCTGAGTAGCTGGGATTACAGGTGCCTGCCACCACACCAGGCCAATTTTTTGCATTTTTAGTAGAGATGGGGTTTCGCTACATTGGCCAGGCTGGTCTTGAACTCCTGGCCTCAGGTGATCCACCTGCCTCGACCTCCCAAAGTGCTAAGATTACAGGAGTGAGCCACTGGGCCCGGCCTGACATTTTTATTTAGGTTGGAAATAATTTCAAAGTGAAAAGGTAAAGTTGTCACAAAAATTCCACACTCAAATAGGACTTTTAAAACAAACTTCATTGGTGTGTCCATCTTAGCAGCAGTTGAGGTTTTCCACACCATTTCTCCCCAGCAGGGAGGAGGTGCTGCCTCTGCCTGTTGTCCTGCTTCCTTGGAGAACCTGTGATAGAGCTGGAGCTGTCTACCTCTACCTCTGTAATTCTGTAATAGAAATGTCATTCTGTAGTGTCATTACATCTTATACTTGTCTTTACCATTTTGAGCTCAGAAGTAAATTTATTCCTGCAGGTTGTTGATGAGCGTGAATTTTTTGAGATCATGCCCAATTATGCCAAGAACATCATTGTTGGTTTTGCAAGAATGAATGGGAGGACTGTTGGAATTGTTGGCAACCAACCTAAGGTGGCCTCAGGTAGGATGGAGCTCTTATAAGCCTTGGTTTTGGGGTTGGAGGCCAGGGAAGCCTGGGTCCATGGTATCCTTTCTGTCTTTTGCCTGTTCTTCAGACATGGCCTTCCATGACCAGAGGAAAAAATCTAAATGGTTGTTATAAAAGCTAATTTTTTTTTTTTTTTTTTTTTTTTTTTTTTAGACAGGGTCTTACTGGTGTCTAGGCTGGAGTGCAGTGGTGTGATCTCAGCACACTGGACCCTCTGCCTCCCAGGGTCAAGCAGTCCTTCCACCTCGGCCTCCCGAGTAGCTGGGACTACAGGCACATACCACCATACCTGACTAATTTTCTTTTTTTGTATTTTTGGTAGAGATGGGGTTTTGCCATGTTGCCTGTGCTGGTTTTGAACTCCTGAGCTCAAGTGATCCGCCCACCTCAGCCTCCGAAAGCGCTGGGATTACAGACATGAGACACCACAACTGGCCTATAAAAGCTACTTTTAATATCTCAAAATGCTTCTTTCATACTCCTTTTCAAAGGTTTATAGGAAACTTACATTCTTAGTGTATAAGGTTTTCAATTTTTTAGGGGTCAGTTTTCTGTTCCCCCCTACCCCCAGCTAAATATATGACTCACCCACTAATCATGAGCTCCATGAGGGCAGGGGTGGTGATGTCGTATTCACAGTAGTATCTCCAGTGCCTTCAACAGTGCCAGGCACATAGATGGTACGTGACAAGTTAATGGCATCTTACCATGTCTGTGCCCCACAGCTTTCTGGTGATATGGCCAGACCTGATTCGCAGCCAAGTGAGGGAGACTCTTCCATGGCTGTGCTCTGGGAGGGATTGGGAGTGCTGGGGTGGGGACTGTGAATACCACTTCTCTCCTCAATATTTTTCCTCTTAGATTTGTTTTGTATCCTTGTTTAGGAAGAATCTGTCTTTCTTCATGACCTAACCTCATCTTATTTCTGCCATGGAAATTTTTTATTGTCTTTAGAAAACTGTTTTGGCTGGGTGTGGTGCCTCACGCCTGTAATCCCAGCACTTTGGGAGGCCAAGGCGGGTGGATCACGAGGTCTGGAGTTAGAGACCATCTTAGCCAACATGGTGAAACCCTGTCTCTACTAAAAATACAAAATACAAAAAATGAGCTGGGCGTGGTGGCACGTGCCTGTAGTCCAGCTACTTGGGAGGCTGAGGCAGGAGAATTGCTTGAGCCGGGGAGGAGGAGGTTGTTGTAGTGAGCCGGGGATTGTGTCACTGCCCGGGAGGCAGAAGTTACAGTGAGCCGAGATCACGCCACTGCATGACAGAGTGACACTGTCCCCACCTCCCCAAAAAAAAAATTTTGTCATGGTAAAATATATATAACAAAATATGTCTGTTTGGCCCATTTAAAGTAGTGCAACCGCAGTGATTACATACAAAGTGTATGCAACCATCACCACTGTTTCCAAACATTTTCATCTCCTCAGAGACTGTGAACCTGTTAAACAATAACTCACTATTTATCTCAGCCTCCAGCCTTTGCTATTCTAAATCTACTTTCTCTCTCTATGAATTTGCCTATTTTAGATATTTCATATAAATGGAATCATACAGTGTTTGTCCTTTTATATCAATCTTATTTCACTTAGCATAATCAGGCTTATTTCATTTAGCAAGATTCATCCATATTGTAGCATATGTTAGAACTTCATTTATTTTTATGGCTGAATAATATTATGTTGCATGTATATACCACATTTTGATTGATTGTCCATTTGTCAGTGGACACCTGGGTTATTTCCACCTTTGGGTTACTGTGAATAATGCTGGAATAAACATTGATATATAAGTATCTGTTTGAACCTCAGTTTTCACTTTTTCTGGGTGTGTACCCAGAAGCAAAATAACTGGGTTATGTGGTAATTCTAGGTTTAACTTTTTGGGGAAACACCATACTGTTTTCTACAGTGTCTGCACTATTTTACATTCCCACCAGCAATGTGCAAGGGTTCCAGTTTTTCCACATCCTTGCCAACACTTATTATTAATTTTTAAAAATAGTAATCCTAGTGGATGTGAAGTGAATGGAATTGTGTTTTTGATTTGCATTTCTCATCAACATTAGTCTTGGTGAGCATCCTTTCATGTGCTTATTGGCCATTTGTATATCTTCTTTGGAAAAATGTCTATTCAAGTCCTTTTCCATTTTTTAATTTTGTGTGTTTTTTGTTGTTGAGTTGGAGTTCCTTGTATATTCTGTATATTAAACTCTTACATTTGACTTACAAGTATTTTCTTCTGTTCTATAGGTTGTCCTTGCACTCTTTTGATCATGTCTTTTGATACACAATTTTTTTTTTTTTTTTGAGATGGAGTCTCGCGCTCTCTTGCTGTCTCCAGCCCGGGCTGGAGTGCAATGGTACGATCTCGGCTTATTGCAATCTCTGTGCCCCGAGTTTCAAGCCATTCTCTCACCTCAGCATCCCAAATAGCTGGGATTACAGGCATGTGCCACCATGCTGGGCTAATTTTTGTATTTTTAGTAGAGACGGGGTTTCGCCATGTTGGCCAGGCTGGTCTCGAACTCCTGACTTCCAGTGATCTGCCCACCTTGGCCTCCCAAAGTGCTGGGATTACAGGTGTGAACCACTGCACCTGGCTGAAAAGTTTTTAGTTTTGATTAAATCTGATTTCTGTATTTTTTCTTCTGTTGCATGTGCTTTTGTTGTCGTATATAAGAATTTAAATTCAAGGTTGTGAAGGTATGTTCCTGTTGTTTTTTTCCTGAGAGTATTACGGTTTTAGCCCTTACATTTAGCTTTTAATTTCGAGTTAATTTTATATGTATTGGATAGGAGTGCAACTTCATTCTTTTGCATGTGGAAATCCAGTTATTCCAGCACCGTTTGTTGAAGAGATTATTCTTTCCTCATTGAACAGGTGTGGCGTGCTTGTGGGAAATCAACAGGCTGTGGGTGTATGAATTTGTTTCTGTATTCTTAACACTATTCTGTTGGTCTGTATGTCTGTCCATATTCCAGTGTCACACTGTTTTGATTACTGTAGCTTTGTATATGTTTTGAAATTGGGAAGTGTGTCTTCCAACTTTATTGTTGTTCTTAGGATTGTTTTAGGCATTTGGGGCCCTTTTAAATTCCATATGAATTTTGGTAGTGACTTTCCCATTTCTCCAAAAAAGGCTGTTGGAATTTTGATAGGGATGGTGTTGAATCAGTAGATTACTCTGAGTAGTATTGACACCTTGACAATATTGTCTTTCAATCCATGAACACAGAATGTCTTTCCATTTTTCTTCTTTTTTTATTTCTTTCAGCTGTGTTTTGTAGTTTTCAGAGTCCAAGCCTATCACCTCTTTGGTTAAATTTATTCCTAAATGTTTTATTCTTCTAGATGTCATGTACATGGAATTGCTTTCTCAATTTCTTTTTCGGATTGTTCATTGCTGCTGTATAGAAGCACAACTACAAAACTGATTTTTGTTGATCTTGTAACTTGCAACTTTGCTGGGTTTATTAACTTTGTTAGCTTTTGTTTCAAAATTTATATTGCTACATTTTGTTTGATTGTTGATCTGTGGACATGGGGTATTTTCACCTTTTAGTTGTGAATAATGCTGGTGAATATTGTGAATATTATGAAAGTTGATGAATTTGTTCATTAGCCCTCTTGTGGATTTGCTGGGATTTTCTATATATAGGGTCATATTTTCTGCAAATAGAGATAGTTTTACTTCTTCCTTTCCAATTTGGATGCTTTTTATTTTTCTTGTCTAATTGCTCTGGCAAGAATTTCTTGTACATTGTTGAATTGCAGTGGTGAAAGTGGGCATGGTTGTCTTGTTCCTCATGTTAAGGGAGGAAAACCTAATCTTTCATTATTGTATAATGTTAGCTGTGGGTTTTTCATGAATGCCCTTTATAATATGGAGGAAGTTTCCATCTGTTCATGATTTTCTTTGTTTTATCATGAAAGGGTGTTGGATTTTGTCAAATGCCTTTTTTGTGTCAATTGAGATGATCATGTGGTTTTTGTCCTTCCTTTTGTTAACATGGTGTATTATGTTGATTTTCTTATGTTGAACTGCCTTTGCATTCCTGGAATAAATCCCACTGGATCACAGTGTATAACCTCTTTAAAAAAATAGACTTACAGAACAGTTACAGGTTTGCAGCAAAATTGAATGGAAAGTACATAGAATTCCTGTACACCTTCTGCTCCCACATGCACACATGCACAGCCTCCATATGTCCAAAATCCTGCATAAGAGCAGTATATTTGAGGTTAATGGTTGTATTAATCTGTTTTCACACTGCTATAAAGACACCACCCAAGCCTGGGTATTCTATAAAGGAAAGAGGTTTAATTGACTCACAGTTCCATATGGCTGGGAAGGCGTCAGGAAACTTACAATCATGGTGGAAGGCAAAGTGGAAGCAGACGTTCTTCACATGGCAGCAGGAGAGAGAAGTGCAGGCAGGGGAAATGCCAGATGTTTATAAAACCATCAGATCTCATGAGAACTCACACACTATCACGAGAACAGCGTGAGGAAAACCACCCCCATGATCCAGTCACCTCCCTCCCTTGACACATGGTCCCTCCCTCAACACATGGGGATTACAGCTTCCTCTCTCAACACATGGGTATTACAATTTGAGATGAGATTTGGGCGGGCACACAGAGCTATCCCATACCAATAGTATTTTGTTTTAAATTTCAGATTCTACTGGTTTATTGCCAATATATAGGAAAGTAATTGATTTTTGTATATTAGCCTTTTATCCTGCAACCTTGCTATATTATTAGTTCCAGCAGTTATTTTTTGGTCACTTCTTTCAGATTTTCTGTATGGACAATTTTGTCATCTGTGAACAAAGACAGTTTGATTTCTTCCTTCTCAATGTGTATACGTTTTATTTTCTTGTCTTCCTGCATTAGCCAGGACTTCCAATACAATATTGAAAGATAGTGGTGAGGGGACATTTGGTCTTAGCAGGAAAACTTCTAGTTTCTTACAAGTAAGTGTGATGTTAGTTGTAGGTTTTTCATAGATGTTCTTTATAAAGTTGAAGAAATTCCCCTCTATACCTAGTTTATTGAGAGTTTTTGTCATGAATGTATTTTGGATTTTGTTACATGCTTTTTTTGTATTCATATGATCATGTGATTTTTCTTCTTTAGACTGTTGATATGATAGATTACGTTAATTGATTTTTGACTGTTGAACTAAACTCACATACCTGAGATAAATCCCACCTGGTTTTGATGTGTAATTCTTTTTCTGCATTGTTGGATTTGATCTGCTAATATTTTGTTGAGGATTTTTTCATATATGTTTATGAGCAATATTGAGATATAGTTTTCTTGCAATGTCTTTGTCTGGTTTTGGTATCAGAGTGATGCTGGACTCATAGAATGAGTTAGAAAGTATTCTTTCTGCTTCTGTCTTCTGGAAAAGATTGTAGAGAACTGGTATTAATATCTTCCTTAAATGTATGGTAGAATTCACTAGTTGAAACCTGGGCTTTATTTGCTTTTTAAATTATGTAGGAAATAAAAAGTGAAGTTAGAAACCAAAATACTCAAATCCTGGTTTTTATATTTGCCCATGTAGTCATCTTTACTTGAGATATTTATTTCCTAATGTAGCTTTGTGATACCGTCTAGTGTTCTTTTCTTTTAACCTGAAGGGCTTCCTTTAGCATTTTTCTGTGGAGTAGGCTGGTTGGTACTGAGGGCCTCAGCTTTTGTTTATCTGAAAATGTCTTAATTCTTAAATTTTCTCTCATTTTTGAAGGACAGTTTGCCAGATATAGAATTCTTGGTTGACACTTTTATTCTTTTAGCATTTTAAATATGTTATCCTGCTGTCTCTGGCTTTCAGAGTTTCTGCTGAGAAATCACTGGATAATCTTAATGAGGATTTCTTGTAAATGATGAGTTTTTTTTTTTTTTTTTTGCTGCTTTTAAGATTCTCTTTTGTCTTTCAGTAATTTGACTATAATATGTCTCAGTGTGGGTTTCTGAATGTATTCTTCTTAGAGTTAGTTGAGTTTCTTATATTTCTAGTTTCACATCTTGCATCAAACTTGGGAAGTTTTCGGACATTATTTCATCAGATTATCTCCTTGCCACTTTCTCTTAGTCTTCTCCTGGTGCTCTTATCCTGTGTATGTTGGTTCACATGTGGGTGTCCCACAGGTCCCTTAGGTTCTGCTCATTTAATTTTTTTATTTTCTCCTCAGAGTAATTTCAATTGTTTTATCTTCATATTCTCTGATCTTTCTTCTGCCTGCTCAAATCTCCTATTGAATCCTTGTAGTGAATTTTTCATTTCATTTATTGTACTTTTCAGCTCCAGAATTTTTCATTATTTTCCTGATTTCCTTTAGTTCTTTGTCCATGTTTTCCTTTACCTCTTTGAATATATTTAAGACTAGTTTAGGCTGGGCATGGTGGCTCCTGCCTGTAATCCCAGCACTTTGAGAGGCCAAGGTGGGCAGATCACCTGAGGTCAAGAGTTCGAGACCAACCTAGCCAATGTGGTGAAACCCTGTCCCTACTAAAAATACAAAAAATGAGCCGGACGTGGCAGAGGGTGCCTGTAGTCCCAGCTACTTACGAGGCCGAGGCAGGAGAATCACATGAACCTGGGAGGCAGAGCTTGCAGTGAGCTGAGATGGCGCCATTGCACTCCAGCCTGGGTGACAAGAAGCAGAACTCCATCTCAGAAACAAAACAAAACATCTCAAAAAAAAAAAAAAAACCCACTAGTAGTGTTTTATAGTCTTTTTCTAGTAAGTTCAGTGTCTATGCTTACTTAGGGATAGTTTCTTCATTTTATACCTTGTGATTTTTTTAATTGAAAATGGGGTATTTATACATTATAATGTGGTAACGCTGGCAGTCAAATTTTCCTCTTTTCCCAAGCTTTGTTTTTTTTTTTTTTGATATTTAATGTCATATATGTTTGCCTAGTGTCTTTTTGCAATGACTTTTCCAGAGACTATATTTTTTGTCATTTGTGGTCACTGAAGTCCCTGTTTCTTCTTATTGTTTCTTTCTTTCTTTTGAGACAGGGTCTTGCTCTGTTGCCTGGGCTGGTCTTGAACTCCTGTCCTTAAGAGATTCTCCCAAAGTAGCCTCCCACAGTGTTAGGATTACAGGTGTGAGCCACCATGCCCAGCCTGTTTCTTAACTTGTATATTTGACAGAAATTTTCTTGAACACCAGGAACTAAAACCAAGAAACAACAAACAAGAAAACTCCTGGTCTTGAAATTGTCTCTGTGTTGGGGCTCTCCTTTGATGCTTAGCCAAACTTGAACTAAGGTTTGAGATCAGCTCAAGGTTAAAGTTTAAGGTTTTCTCTGGTCTTTTATTTTGTAATAGTGTTTTCATTTTCATTCAACTTCTTTTCTTATTTCCCCTCTCAGATCTTTTCTGATCGTGTATCTCATCCTAGGCATACATGTGTCTTTCTGAATTCTCCCTATTCACGGGTGCTTTTGAATGCACTAATTTCCTAAAGACACTCTCTGTTTTTTTTTTCTCCCATATCTTAGGTGGTTTCAACAGTAATCTTTTGCCCAGACATCTGCAGGTTGTTCCTCTACCTTACCATGATTTAAAGAAATGCCTGCTACATTTCCAGCCTGGATAAGTTCTGAGTTAGGTGAAACAGAGATGTGTTCCTTGTGTCAGTCCTTCAGGCAGCCCACAGACAGGTTAGAGCAGACATATGCGGAAATTTGTGAATGAGGTCTGCTCTGCTTCCTCCAGAACCAGGGAGGAAATGGGACAAGTGTAATTAAAAAGGCACAGAGCTTTCATACCATTTTCTTTTATTTTTTTGAGACAGAGTCTCACTCTGTCACCTAGTCTGGAGTGCAGTGGCATGATCTTGGCTCACTGCAACCTCCTTCTCCCAGGTTCAAGCAATTCTCCTGCCTCAGCCTCTGAGGTAGATGGGATTACAGGTGTGCACCACGCTCGGCTAATTTTTGTATTTTTAGTAGAGACAGGGTTTTGCCATTTTGGCCAGGCTGGTCTTGAACTCCTGACCTCAGGTGATCCGCCCACCTTGGCCTCCCAAAATGATGGGATTACAGGTGTGAGCCACCACATCTGGCCATTTTTTTTTGTTCTTTTAGAGACAGAGTGTCACTATGTTGCCCAGGCAGGTCTCAAACTCCTGGGCTTAAGCAGTCCTCCACTTTGGCCTCCTGAGTAGCTGGGACTACATTGTCTTTTTATTGTTGATTTCTAGGGCCTGGCTTGTGACTTGCCTATTTATTTCCTTTCCTTTCCTTTTTTTTTTATTTGAGATGGAGTCTCACTCTGTTGCCTAGAGTGGTGGTGCAATCTTGGCTCACTGCAACCTCTGCCTCCTGGGTTCAAGTGATTCTCCTTCCTCAAGCCTTCTGAGTAGCTGGGAGTACAGGTGCCTGCAACCACGCCTGGCTAATTTTTGTATTTTTTAGTAGAGATGAGGTTTCACCATGTTGGCCAGGCTGGTCTTGAACTCCTGACCTCAAGTGGTCTGCCTGCCCGACCTCCCAAAGTGCTGGGATTACAGGTGTGAGCCACTGTGCCGGGCCATGTTTTTATTCATGAATGGATATTAAATTTTTTCAGGTATTTTCTCTACATCTATTGAGATGTTCATATAGTTTTTTTCCTTTATTTAATAATTTCATTAGTTTTCACATGCTGAAATCAACCTTGAATTCTTGGGATAAACCCCACTTGGACATGATGTATTACTGTTTTTTTGAGATGGAGTGTTGCTCTGTCACCCGGGCTGGAGTGCAGTGGCATGATTTCAGCTCACTGCAAGCTCCGCCTCCCGGGTTCACACCATTCTCCTGCCTCAGCCTCCCAAGTAGCTGGGACTACAGGTACCCGCCACCACACCCGGCTAATTTTTGTATTTTTAGTAGAGACAGGGTTTCACCTTGTCAGCCAGGATGGTCTCGATCTCTTGACCTCGTGATCTGCCCGCCTCGGCCTCCCAAAGTGCTGGGATTACGGTCATGAGCCACCGCGCCTGGCCTACTGTTTTTGTATATATTGCTGGACTTGATAATGTGCCTTACTTAAAAAGTAAAAATTTTTCATTTATGTTTTTGGTCTGTATTCTTTTCTGATGATGGTCCTTGTCTTGCTTTGGTATTGGGGTAATACTGGTCTCATAGAATTAAGTTGGAAACTCTTCTAGGAGGGGAGATTTACTAGTAATTGAGCTCCTACTCTGTGCTGCTTTATAGATTCCATTTCCTTTACTCCTTGGAACTATGCTAGGAGGCAGTATCGTCCCTACTTTGCAGGTAAGGAACCTTAGGTCAAAAGGCAAAGTAATTTCTCAAGGGCACGTTGCCATCATCAGTGGAGCCAGAATCTGATTGGAAGCTCTGAGGACTCTCTAAGACCAGCCCTTGAATGCTGCCTCCCACTGATGGCTCCCTGCGGCAAGGCCGGCTGTGTCTCAGCTGGCGGCAGCCCTTTGGTCTGTAGTGAGTCTGTAGTAGTCTAGTTCTGGGCCTCTTTGGCCAGTGACAGACAGGTGGATTCTTCATCTTCCCTGTTTCCTGGAGTTTGAGGGGTCCTTGTTACCATTCTGCAACAAAGAAGTGTTGGTGCCTCCACAGAAACCAGCTTTGGATGGCTGCTGAGGACAAATCCCCATTGTGGATAGAACTGGGAATTGCCTGGATACTCAGTATGGATAATCTCTCTCTTTCTAGGATGCTTGGATATTAATTCATCTGTGAAAGGGGCTCGTTTTGTCAGATTCTGTGATGCATTCAATATTCCACTCATCACTTTTGTTGATGTCCCTGGCTTTCTACCTGGTAAGTTTTTGACAGAGTGGGGGCTAGGAGAGTTGCCTTTCCCAGTAAGGTGCCCACTTTATTTGGAGATCTTCTTGCAGAACTCCCCGAGGACTTGTGACTTCTCCATGTATTCTGGGTGTCCAGAAGATAGGGCTGTGTAAGGAATGGCCCTCTCCAGAGGTGGGAAAGACCTCACAGCTGAGAGTGGCAGGATAACCATGTGAGGACTTGTGGGTATCTAGTAACTCTTCCTCATGTCTAGGCACAGCACAGGAATACGGGGGCATCATCCGGCATGGTGCCAAGCTTCTCTACGCATTTGCTGAGGCAACTGTACCCAAAGTCACAGTCATCACCAGGAAGGTGAGGACCTCATGTTGGAGGCCATGACCCTGCTCACTTTCCTACAGCATAGCCGTGGTGGGAGGTCTGGCAGAGTTTTACCAGGGCTGGAAGGAGTACACCTTGCTCATCCTTAAAAAGATCTCTTGAGGATGTTGTTCCCAGCCCCGCAGAAATGTCTGTGCTTTTTTAACACAGGGGAACTGAAGGCAGTAGTGGGAAAAAGCCAGAAAAGATAATGAGCATTAACTTTGAAAGGTCTTACAGACCGTGGGCCTTCAGGAGCCCAGTAGGGCTATTCTTGTTCTTTGTCCCAATTTTACCTGGTTTCCTGGGGTCTTTCAGGGACATGATCTGGCTGTCTCAGGCTCTAACACTCAGCATTTGGATCTGTTTTAGGCCTATGGAGGTGCCTATGATGTCATGAGCTCTAAGCACCTTTGTGGTGATACCAACTATGCCTGGCCCACCGCAGAGATTGCAGTCATGGGAGCAAAGGTGAGGGCCTCTTGCTTTTCCCTTTCTGGGTCCAAGGACTCGACTCTACCAGCGAGAGCTCAAGGCATAGCTGGGAAATGTTGGAGAGAGGCCAGGGCCCCTAGGTTGAGCCAGGACTGAGGTGAATGGGACCTAGACCTTGGTAAGTCTCCCTCTTGGGGCTCCAGAGATAGCTCTGCCTCCTGTCCTATACCCTTTCTTCAGGCCCACGCTGGTGTCTTCATGCCAAGGTGGGTGCGGCAGGTGAAAGGAAAGTGAGAGGGGTCCAGAGTGGTTTTGAGATTGTAAGTAAAGGGGGCAAAGGGTTGAGTCAACTGAAGTCACCTTCAGAAGTATTGGACATTCTCCCAGCTCCACCTCAGCTTCCAGGGAGGGCCCCAGAGCTACTCTTTTAAGCTCATAAGAAGCTAAACTGTAGGTCCGACCCTAGTGACGTTGGACAAGGTACTTCCTATTGCTTGACCTATTCCTCACTCCTCCCTGCTTTGAAGTAGCTATTGTGGTCGAATCAGATAACTTCCAGGTCCCCTAGAGTTGACTTATAGGTGCTCTGACTTGAAGGCCAATCCTTCTAATTTCCAGTTCAGTCTGGTCGCCTCTGGCCACCGAATTGTATACTCAGGTCTTAGGGTACCGAAAAAGGGAAATAGCACATTTAATTCCCCTTGATACAAGACCATGGATTTAATAATGGAAAACAGGGCTAACATCTTTGGCTCAAAGAAATATGATGAGTGCAAATGGAGATGGTAGAATGGGCTCTGGGGAGAGAAGCTACTGGCTTTTGCCTGACTGCCCCTTATTGGGGCCACAGGGAAGCATCACATCCCATCATGCAGCCCCTTGTGTCATGATGGTCAGCCCCAGGCAGTTCCTCCCTCTATGCTATGGCCTTTAGAGATGGCACTTCCCCTCAGTACACTGATTTACCAAGAAATTTGCACCCACACACAGTGATAATGAGTTGAAGGAGATCTGTCCAGGTTGGGACGACCAAAGATGTTCATGAACTCCTCTAATCACAGGGCGCTGTGGAGATCATCTTCAAAGGGCATGAGAATGTGGAAGCTGCTCAGGCAGAGTACATCGAGAAGTTTGCCAACCCTTTCCCTGCAGCAGTGCGAGGTAGGGGACTGTGGTGAAGAGGGCAGCTTTGTTTGTTTGGTCAACTTGCTCATTCTTTCTCTACAGAAATTGTCACATAACTGCCTTTTTGCCTTTGCAGTCTAATCTGTTGACTAGTGAGGGTTGGGACTGTCCCTGGGCAGTCATCACTTGGACTAAGGACTGTGGGACAGGCTGCTTTGGTAACCACAATTAAAACAACATTGCCAAAGTGTATTAAATTTCTAGGTGTTGTTCCAGTTGTCTAGTGCTGTGCAGAAATTCACCCTATAACTCAACAGCTTAAACTAACCACCGTTTCCCCCACTGCTTATGGTTCTGTGGGGTCCACAATTTGGTCTGGGCCCAGCTGAGTGGTTCTTGTGCTGGTCTTGCCTGGGATCACCCACACAGGTATAGTCATTCTGTGGCTTGACCGGGGCTTGACAGTCCAAAATGGCGTCACTTACTTGGTAGTTGCTGTTAGCTAGACTCACTCCCCACGTGGCCTCTCACCCTTGAGGAGGCTAGTCCAGGCTTCCTTACATGGTGTCCCGAGAGTAGCAAGGGGGCAAAGGGAAACTGAGGCCTAGATTTGGAAGTTGCACAGTGTCATTTTTGCCACATTTTATAGGCCAAGAAAACTCAACAAGGTTAAGCGAAGGAATACAAATCCACCTCTTGAAGAGAGAAGTGGTAAAGTCACATTGCAGGACTTGTGTACAAGGATGAATTGTTATAGCCATTTTTGAAAACCTAGATGTATTTTCTTTATTTCCTATTGAATTCATTGTGGCAGGATGGAGGCATTGGAGCAAGCAGGGTATAGGGAGGGTGTCCGATTTTCCTTTTCTTGCCAAGTGCTCCTAGGCCAGAAGTTGGGGAGCTGTCAGAACAGGCCAGCTCCTGGGATACAAGGGGGAATTCACAGGGCCTACCATCTCTGTATCAGGTTGGGCACTGCTTATACTGCTGGCCCCAGGGATGGTGCCCAGGCTGAGCAGAAGGTTGAGGGGTGGCATCATCTCGGGATGCAGATGATCCACTCCCTTTTCTGTGCTTCACCAGGGTTTGTGGATGACATCATCCAACCTTCTTCCACACGTGCCCGAATCTGCTGTGACCTGGATGTCTTGGCCAGCAAGAAGGTACAACGTCCTTGGAGAAAACATGCAAATATTCCATTGTAAACAAATCAAAGGAAAAGAAACCAAGAACTGAATTACTGTCTGCCCATTCACATCCCATTCCTGCCTTTTGCAATCATGAAACCTGGGAATCCAAATAGTTGGATAACTTAGAATAACTAAGTTTATTAAATTCTAGAAAGATCTCTTTTGTGCCTTACTGTAAAATTATTTACTTTTTTAAACATTTTAAGTTGTATTTTTTGAGCATAAATTCGATTTTTTTAGGTGGAAATCTGAAAAATCAATACAACTAGAAAGAAAAATAGTACACAGTGTTATCATCTAGAGCTGATTTTTATTTCACACCTCTGGGTATTGTTCTTTTTCCTCTCGAGTTAGTTTTTTTATCCATAGGTGAGATATATAGTAAGTTTTTAAGGCAAAGTATTTCTTAGGCTTAAGTTTCCTTATTTTAAAAATAGGGTAATATGCCCTATCTATCTCCTAATTCCTCCATGAATTGAGGATTAAATGTGATGTTTGCAATTGTGGTATATGTGTTTAGCAGTACAGATGCTCAATAAGGCATAGCACCCTATGTTGACTCAGGTTATTTCCAGAAATGTGTTCTTAAAATTAAAAAAAAACTTTTTAATTGCGAAAATTTTCAAGCCGATAGAAATGTTGCAAGAAGTGTATTGTATCCACTTCACCTAGATTCTCCAGTTGGTAACATTTTCTCCATTTGCTTTATTTCTTCCATACGTAGATATATCTAATAATATATAATATGCATATAAGATATATCTAATTATATTATTAATATAATTAATGTATAATTATATCTAACATGATTATATATATTTATATATTTATATTATGTATTTATACATTATATAATTATATAATTGTATAACATATACAATATAATTATTTAATTGACCCCTTTGAAAGTCAGTTGCAGATTCGTGACCCTGTGTTCCTAGAAACTTGTATCTCCTAGGAACAAGGTCCTTTGTCTTACATAGTCTGTCGTTCATGACGTTGACATTTTTGAGGAGAGCTTACTTGCTGGTTATTTGGTAGAGTGTCCTTCAGTTTGGGATGTCTGTTTCCTGAGGTTTAGATTCAGATAAGACTAACACATATTCCTTTCAGTGCGTCACATTAGTAAGCACATTATGTCAGTTTTTCCTCCTGTTGGTAACTGATTCTGATCACATGGTTAAGGTCGTGGCTGCAAAGGTTTTTCCATGGTAGTTACCATTTTCTCTTTGTAACTGATAACTAATTTGTGGGGTATTATTTAATCTTGTCTGTCAATAAACTTTCACCTGGGCCAGGCGCAGTGGCTCATGCCTGTAATCCCAGCACTTTGGGAGGCCAAAGTGGGCAGATCACCTTAGGTCAGGAGTTTGAGACCATCCTGGCCAACATGGTGAAACCCCATCTCTACTAAAAATACAAAAATTAGCCGGATGTGGAGGCACATGCCCAGCTACTCAGGAGGCTGAGGCAGGAGAATCGCTTGAACCTGGGAGGCGGAGGTTGCAGTGAGCCGAGATCACACCACTGTGCTCCAGCCTGGGTGACAAAGCTAGATTCTGTCTCAGAAAATTAAATAAATAAACTTTCACCCAATAATTTTAGTATTCATTGATGATTTTTGCCTCAATCAATGATTCTGCATTGATTATAAAATGTTGAGTTTCTAACTCTCTCATATTTATTAGTTGGAACTCTAGGTAAGGAAGGGAGCTTTCTTTTCTCCTGTTTTTGTTTTCTTAGTATCATTTTGGACTTGATTTATTTTATTTTATTTATTTATTTTTTGAGAAGGAGTCTCGCTCTGTCGCCAGGCTGGAGTGCGGTGGCGCAATCTCGACTCACTGCAACCTCTGCCTCCCAGGTTCAAGCAATTCTCCTGCCTCAGCCTCCCGAGTAGCTGGGACTACAGGTGTGTGCCACCATGCCCAGCTAATTTTTGTATTTTTAGTAGAGACGGGGTTTCACCATATTGGCCAGGATGGTCTCGATCTCTTGATTTCGTGATCTGCCCGCCTCAGCCTCCCAAAGTGCTTTTAATATATCCCACTGATTTTTTTAGTATTTCGTTATTTTCTGACAAGATAATGCTCTAGGCTTATCTTGTATTTTCCTTGCCCAGCCCAGGAATCAGCAGTTTCTCCAAGGAGTTTCTTTAATAGGTATGTAGTAGTAGTATATAGTAGTTTCTTAGTTTCTTTTAGTAGGTATGTCATTTAGAAGCTAAAATTGGCACTAGGTATTCACACTGATACTGGATATCATTGCTTTGAGGCATTTCAGCAGACAGAACTAGGAAAATTTATGCAAATAAGTGTGTGTATATATATGTGGGACACATGTATATATGAATACATATTTATCATACTTTTAAATCATGAGTTCATACTGAAACTTTTAATCCAACACCATGGGTGCTTCTTTGCCTTCCCCCATTCTGTATTGTCTCTCTTACCACAGCAGTAATAACCCTGGCTCCCATTATTCTCAATATATTTCACTCATTTGCTCAGTGCTACCATAAATACAAGTTTCAGAATCACTACAGCTCTATCAACAATAAACCTTCTAAAGTTCACGACTTCTTTGTAGTTCATTTTGTCTTTAAACTGAAGATACATGGTTAAGCTACCTCAATTAGTAACTGAGTGGTTATCAATATGAATTAGTCCTTTTTGTTTGTAAACCACTTTAAAGCCTTTCCTCCTACACTGTTGACTTGATTTTACTAAGTTAAAACATTAATAGTTTTACCGAACTGGAGATTAAGTTTGAGCAGAAGTACCAACCATGGAGTGCTGATCCAAGATGCCCCCCCACCTCAGGCATCCTCTCTGGTGAAACCCCAGGGCCCTCCCACTACTGATGGCTTTCCCTTGGCTCCAGAGATCTGTAAGCACTGCTTGGACAGTGAATCATTATTTCAAGGTCAACTTAATGTGTGACTGTTTATTCTCCACTTTTCCCATTTCAAAAATATTTTCCCCTACCCCCCATTCCCAGTAGCCCTTAAGAGTCATTCTTTTTTTTTTTTTTTTTTTTTTTTTCTTAAAGCATCTTTCCACTCTCCTTCAGTCACCAATCCTAGTTGGGCTCTGAGGACTTTTGCAGCAGTCTCTTCACTGATCTCTGTGGCCTCCCACTGAGCTGGAAGTCCTGTTCTCAGCTACCATACTAACTCCAGATCCAGATTTTGTTGCATTCCTCTGCTCCAGCGCCACTTCCAGAGCTCCCTGTTCTCCAGAGTCCTTAGCCCACGTAGGTGGTCCTGGACAGTCTGTCCCTCCCTTGCTTGCCTAGTGAGTTTTCTGAGCCCACAGTTCTTGTTTTCGTGATCTCTGCTATGGTCCATAAAAGAGTACATACAAGCTCTTTTTTTTCTTTTTGGAGGTAAGAGTCCAAGAAGTGTTTCACCAGGTTGTGCAGTCTGGACACCGAGATGGTAGAGGGGCTGTAAGATGGTAGAGGAACCAGCTCAGGAGAGCAGCTGGGCTAGCAGCTTTACGGAAGCCTTGGATGGTGGGGAAACTCCCGTACAGAAACTCAGCTGGTCAAAGAAACTCAAAGCCACAAGACCTTGGAAGCTTTGTCAAGTGGACCAGCCTCCATGGACCACGGAATACCTTGAGAGTAATGACAGTTGAGTGTTCTCTTGTGTGGGAATGCCTTCCCCAGCTGGTGCCCTCACCTTAAAGGGAAAAAGAAAATACACTGAATTTTGTAAATGGGAAATACTTGGGTCCACTGAGCTGATAGCTGACAAGTGTCTGTCTTTAAACTGAGAGCAGATAATATGGTGAGCTGTGGTGTAGGAAGCACTGCTAGGGTCTTGCTGGTCCTGCCCCGCCTTGTGTTAATCCAGTTCCTCCTGAGCTACACAGCTGACAAGTGGTGAAGCTGGGATTTGAACTCAGATGGGTTTGACCCCAGCCAAGCCTGTGTTCTGATCATTTCAAAGTACTACCACTCAGCTGATGAGGAAGGTGAGATGGACTTCTAAGGGTTGGCCTAAGAGTAGGGGTGAGGGAGGTTGGTGGTCTGTTCCCCTGGGCTTGTCTTAACCCAGAAAGCTACTACATTTAGACAGCTTTCCTATCTCCCGCATGATTCTCTTGCAAAGCAGTACCAACAGATGGCCAGTCATCTTTTTGAGTTGCTAGAGTAATGGGGAGCACATCCACAATACACCCTTCTAATGCTTGTTAGAAAGTGCTTTTGTTGCAAAGTTCTTCTAGCTTCTTTTTTTGACCCTGTCTTGGTCTCCCCAGCCCAACTTTCTGCCTCTGGTTGCACTGATACTTTGTCCTGGTGCTGGTGCTTAAGATGTGGTCTGCTCAGCCAAAGAAGTCTGTGAAGGATACTCACCCACATGTGGAGTTGATGAATCAGCCCTCTTCACCTATTCAACAGATGTGACTGTTTTGTCTTTCTGGTTCCAAAGGATTTCTGGAGAGCTATGACTTTACCCTTTTAGAAGTATTGGTCCTCATACTCTGTGCACCTCTGATGTCAGCATGGGATTTCTACAATTCCAAGCAGGAGTTGCAGCCACTTGATAGGCAGTGCCTCAGTCTGGGGCCTCTGTGGAATCCAGCTGGCATATTCCAGCCAATGTGGCAGCCTCAATAGTTAGTTAAGTTTTGACCATGTCCCTACTGTCCTGGGTGGTGAAAATACTCCCTTTATGTGTCCTTGGGAGCAGAAAGATGCTCTTCAAAAAGTGGTGCCTGATGGAGATCTCCACAGAACAAGACACTCAGAAGGGCAGGGATAGAATCTTACCTGAGCTTGGTCTAGTATGAAAAGCCTAAGGCTGGGTGCGATGGCCCATGCCCTGTAATCCCAGCACTTTGGGAGGCCAAGGCAGGTGGATTGCTTGAGCTCAGTTCATGACCGGCCTGGGCAACATGGTGAAAGCCTGTCTCTACTAAAAATACAAAACTTAGCTGGGCGTGGTGGTGGGTGCCTGTAATTCCAGCTACTTGAGAGCCTGAGGCAGGAGAATCTCTTGAACCCCAGAGGCGGAGGTTGCTGTGAGCTGAGATCACACCATTGTACTCCAGCCTGGGTGACAGACCGAGACCCTGTCTTCACTTACCGCCCCCCCCCCCCCCCCGAAAAAAAAAAGGCAAGCCTGAGTGGCATCAAACCTTTGTTTCCCATGAATATACTAGTCCCTGCTTGATGGACTGTTACCTGGGAACAGGGGCAAACAGGGAGTTACAGTCAAGCCACAAATGGGAGATTTGCAAGCCTGACCCAAGCCTGAAAGTGCTCATCTAGTCTCATACTCTTGTAACCATCTAGATGAGCTGTTACAGACCATCCTTAAATGACCTTCCTTCCTTGGCTGTCTGGAAAGCTTGCTTGCTGATTTGTCTCCCACACCTTTGCCTTTTTTGCATAGGCATATTAGGCCATTTAAGGAACTCACCCCCTATTGCCAGACCCATGAAGTGTGTAGGGTATGACTTCTTAAAGAAAGAGTGAGGAGGTCTAATGCCAAGAGAAACTTTTTAAGACAGTCTGGCTCTGTTACCTAGATTGGAGTGCAGTAGTGGTGCAATCTTGGCTCACTGCAACAACCTCCACCTTGTGGGCTCAAGCCATCCTCCTACCTTAGCCTCACGAGTAGCTGGTGTGCGCCATCATACGCAGCTAATTTTTGTATTTTTTGTAGAGGAGTTTTACCATGCTACCCAGGCTGGTCTCGAACTCTTGAGCTCAAGTGATCCACTCACCTTGGCCTTCCAAAGTGCTGGGATTACAGGCGTGAGCCACCATGCCTGGCTGAAAACTTCATTTCTGTAGCTGCATTGACTCTATGTGGTCTTCAAAAGGGCACTGCCAGGGTGCAATTATGCATGTAAGCCCAGAGTCTCAAGCCGTGAGGACCCATGCTACAGGCCAGTGGATGGGTGTTCCCTGAATGCCTCATGCAAAACTCAGTTTGCAAGAGACTCCCTCTTAAACCACAGATGACTTGGCCTACACACACTCCAGAGAAATCTAAGGAATGAAAGAAAGTGAGCTATTCCTAAATTCTGCTTTCTTAAAAAAAATTAAAAAGCCAAAACAACAAAACCACCAACTCACTAATAAGGTTAACTTGCTGCCATTTAACAGATTATCAGAAATTGCAAACTCTCTCAAGAGCCACAGGACAGAAAATCATCTCTTTAAAGCCATACCTGGTAGAAACAATAGGATGACTACCACAAGCCTGATTTTGAATAGTTTATTAAAGGAAAGGTGAAGCATCAGTTTCAAATTGTACAAAAGGAAAAAAAACCTCATATTGCAAATGTACAATTTACAGAATTACTAGCAAAACCAATCAAGGAGACACCGAAAATACAAAAATTTGATTGACTTCAAACTGAACTGGAAACCCATTGGAGTAGATATTTAGCCTTTTTGTGTGGCATGGTAGTCTACAATTCTGTCAGCATCTGTTTTCCATACAAGACTGTCACGCAAAGGATCAATTTGTGCATGTGCCAGGGCACCTCATGGCTTGCTCCCTGGCCAAAACCACAGGCAGGCAGGGCTGGGGTGGACAGTCCAGTCATTCCTGCACCTTCACTTCCAGTGAAGCCCACAATTCTGGGAGAAAGTGAGGCCCCAGCTCCCCTAACTGGAGCCCAAGAATTGCTGAATTAGCAGAGAAGATATTTTTGGTGACCAGGTTTTTTTCAGAACTGTACAAATGTTGAGAAAAATGTTTTGTGTCTTTACTAAAAGGATGAATAAAATCATCCATCATCATCTTGCTTTCCCGCACAAAAGATGATCACTGGGTGTGCAGAATTTTAAAAAATGTTTTTCGTATTTGATAAAAAGGGAAAGCCTCATGATTCTGTTGCAGCTACTTTAAAAACCAGCCCAGAAACAGCTGTGGATGAATTGGTTTGGAAATTCTGAGGCTTACTTTAGAAATCAGAAAGGAAGAGAGAGACTAAGTGGGGTTTTTAAAACAATAGCAGCAAGTCATAAAAGTCTAGGCAGAATGTAACTCTAAACCATTGTAGACTGTCCTGAAGATTCATAATTTCTTTCCCCAAAAGAATTATTCTTAATATGCACATTTAACACTGAAATGTAGCTGTAATTCAAGGTAAGCTTAGGAACTTCACCCTCTAAGCACAGACTTCTATGCAGCACATACTTCTATAATCAGTAAACTTAATTCACAAAATTAGCGCATAAGGGTATTAAGTGCATGGGAAGTAAACACAGTTATGTTACACTTAAAATTACTTTTGAATGATTGATAAAGGATTTCTTCATGATTGATTATCTTAAGAAAATGGAAGTCTGTGTAACTTGAATTTGGCAGGGCATGAAATAAGTGGTAAAAACAGCAAACTGATAACTTGAGAATCATTTTCGTTTTACTGAGAATACTTTATTTGCTGGTAGAAGTTGCTAAAAATGCACAGAACAAATACCAATAGAAAATGCACTGTATTTGAATCTCCCTAGTCTATATAAAATGAACGGTGTACAGCATCTGTTGGAAAAATGGCTGCATGGACATTTCTTATTTTATGCCCACTTATAAATAAAAATAAACCTTTTATTCAAGAGTATATAAAATCTGGGAATTCATATCCATATCCACAGAGGGTGTGTGGTTTTTGGCAGAGATGTACTATGTCAGAATTTCATCTTAGCTTGTCAATGTTCTGCTCCTTCATTATTTGTGTTCCACAAAGGTCAACCAAATCCAGTGAACTCCAAAACACTCTTCGCAATTAGGATGAGCTGCTTACTCATAGGTTTAATAAAAATGGTTAGCTTTTAAAACATAAAAAGGCAAAATGTTAAAACGGTTTTTAAATTGTACAACAGGAAAATAAAGTTAAAAATATGTTTTTTTTTACTCAATGTTGAGTTTTCATAAAACAGGTGTATAACAGTGTTTATCTTGACAGCTGTTTTAAAAATTTAAAATTTCTTCCTCCCTCCAGAAAAACACACACATCTGTATTGGGATAAGTCCAATAGTAGGACACAAATGATTTTCAGGTCAGTCTTTCTGAGTTGACATTCACCAACATTCCCTTGGGTAATTTACATGCTCCTCTTCTGTCACTGCAAAAAGGGATTGACCTTAATCATTTGATTAAAAAACAAATCAGATCACATCAAAAGTGTTTTTCCCCATACAAGCTATCACAGTATATAGGCCTCTAGCTCTAAATAATAGAGTTCCAGATTTGTAAATTTTCTTCAGACTTCAGAACATAGGCATTCCAAATCCCTAGAAAAATGATGAGAAACATAATTATTAATTTCATGCATAAACAGGACCCAGGAACCATAAATAAAAAGCAGTAATAATTTGACATTTACTGAATCATCTTCTATGATAGCTGCAGAGTCAAAGAAGTCTGGCCTTAGCTCAGCTCTCTCTCGCCGATTTCTTGATGGAGGCTGGAAAGAGAAATCGGTTTCTTAATTTTTTTCTGAGATCATTAAGACAATGAATTGTGATAATCAGCTAATATTTCTGACAGTATCATAAATATATGGAACTGCTAAGAGTCAATTTTGAAAGGAAGAAGAGAATCTGGCTTTTATATGAAATAGATTTTTTAAAAACAAACAGTACTTTTGGCTTTTAATTATGTTGGCAAAAACAAGGCACAAAACTTTCAAACTATCATGAATAAACAACATGTTAATACATATAAATAACTTTGGGCCTACATGCCCAGGCCATATCTTCCCTTTAAAGTCACAGAAAAATTACAGAATTCATTAACTACTAGGTGATAAACCTCTGTGAATTCCCCAAAGCAGGTAGATGGAAAGTTATTGGAAGGTGGGGGCAGGGAGATTATAGATTGGAGTAATATGATCTCATTTATATTTACAAAACTTACAAAAACTTTTCATTATGGAAAATTCACAACATACAAAGCAAAATGTTACGGGCTGAATTATGTCCCTTCAAAATGTGCATGATGCTGAAGTCCTAATCCAGTACCTCAGAACATGCCAGTATTTGGCGACAGGGCCTTTAAAGAGGTAATTAAGGTAAAATGAGGTCATATGGGTGGGCCCTAATTGAATATAGTTGGGGCCCTGATAAGAAGAGGAGAGACACATATAGGAAAGACCATCTAAAGACAAAGGAAGAAGGCAGCCATCTACAAGCCAAGGAGAGAAGCCTCAAAAGAAATCACCTTCATCTCAGGACTTCTAGCTTCCAGAAATGTGATAAAAAAAATAAATTTCTGGGCCAGGCATGGTCGCTCACACCTGTAATCCCAGGTGGGCGGATCACGAGGTCAAGAGATCAAGACCATCCTGGCCAACATGGTGAAACCCCGTCTCTACTAAAAATATAAAAATTAACTGGGTATGGTGGCATGTGCCTATAGTGCCAGCTATTTGGGAGGCTGAGGCAGGAGAATCGCTTGAACCTGGGAGGCAGAGGTTGCAGTGAGCCGAGATTGCAGCATTGCACTACAGCCTGGCAACAGAGCGAGACTCCATCTCTAAATAAATAAATAAAAATTTGTTTACCCACTCAGTCTGTGGTATTTATTATGGCAGCCTTAGAAAATACACAGAAAAAGCAGCATGATTAATTTCTATGTACCCATCACCCAGTTTCAAAAATTGTCAAACATTTGGCCAGTCTTGTTCCACTGAGTCTCACTGTTTTTCCTTCCCTATGTAATTCTGCCTATAACTACTACAATGTGTTGTCTATAACTGATGAGAACTTTTGAAAAAAACATAAACACCATGCATTACTATTCCTGAAGAAATAAGTTCTTAGTATCACCTATGGTTAAGTCCATATCTCAAACATGTCTTCTCATACTGAACAAAGAAGTCCCATATTCGGCATTTTGTTATGCTGAAGCACCGTGGATTTTTGTCAGGCTCAAATTTAAAGCACAAGAGGCCAGATACACAGTGACGCTGAAAGATCTGGTATGAGCTCTCTTCAAAGAAGGTAAAAAGAAAGAACCAGTTTCTGTTATTATCAGAATTTAAAATATGACTGCTTTGAAAGGAGGCTTGAAGAACACCCAAGCTCATCCAAATGCCCACTGTTGTTGATCAGTGTCACCTCCTCCTCACCTCACCCTTCCTCCCAGAATTCTGAGAATAAGAGGATAATTTTTTTTTGTTTTTCTGAGATGGAGTTTCGCTCTTGTTGTCCAGGCTAGATTGCAATGGCACGATCTTGGCTCACTACAACCTCAGCCTCCCAAGTAGCTGGGATTACGGGCACGTGCCACCACGCCTGGCTAATTTTGTATTTTTAGTAGAGACGGGGTTTCTCCATATTGGTCAGGCTGGTTTCGAACTCCCGACCTCAGGTGATCCACCCACCTCAGCCTCCCAAAGTGCTGGGATTACAGGTGTGAGCCACCATGCCCGGCCTAAGAGGATCATCTTACACCAATGCCCCCACATATTTTAACAAAAGAAAAATATAGTGAATTTCTCTACCAGATCAATAACCATGGTGTCCTCAAATTCTTCATTCATATCTTCTAACTGGCTTCGGGATGACATCATCACATCTTCAAAGATGGGCTCAGCATCTTCCTCCATTAGACCCCGACTGGTAAGAAAAAGGTATTGTCAGAAAGCTCATCAGACTCCACCATTTGGAGTCCTGGCTGTTTCTCAGATTAAAGTTATTCTAACCAAGTGAAGTATACCTTCTAATCATGACCTACAGACTACACAAATTAGACTGAATTCCAAGACAATTAAGAATCATTCCTTTGGTTCATTCAAGATTTCATCTCACATATCAAAAGGAAGTACAATTCAATAATAACGGTTGTTAACATTTATTTATGTGTCAATTACCCTAAAAATCTTATTGGTAGTATTATCCCAATTTTACAAATGAGGAACCTGAAGCACAGATTTTTTTGAGACGGCGTCTTGCTCTGTCGCTCAGGCTGGAGTGCAGTGGCGTGATCTTGACTCACTACAACCTCCGCCTCCTGGATTTAAGCGATTCTCCTGCCTCACCCTCCTGAGTAGCTGGGATTATAGGCGCCCACCACCATGCCCGGCTAATTTTTTGTATTTTTAGTAGAGACGGGGTTTCACGATGTTGGCCAGGCTGGTCTTGAACTCCTGACCTCAAGTGATCCGCCCGCCTCGGCCTCCCAAAGTGCTGGGATTACAGGCGGAGCCACCGCGCCTAGCCAGCACAGATGTTTTAGAGCTTGTCCAAGGCCATGCAGCTGCCAAGTGGCAGAGCTAGGATTTAAATGCTGAAAGTGTTAAGAACTCACACCCTCCTTTCCTATGCTGCATAGCATATCACGAATTATAATTTTAACTCCTAAGACCAAACATCAAAGAAACCCAAGTCATTTCACAAAATGATGGGCATCACATAGTTGTTATGTTCTTGTGATACTCCATGTAACACTTACACAGCATGCCTCACTCCAGTTCTCACTTTCATGTAGTTCATTCCTGTTCTGTCCTTCCGATTTAAGTCTTCTAACTTCGGCTGGCCTAACCAAGAGATCTGCATCTGAGGACTAAGAGAGGGTACTATTATTAATTTTGTAGCAGCAGATGATGAATTTAGCTAATGAGCCCCAAGCTAAGAAAGCCAAGGTAGGTTTACTTAATCCCATGTTGGAGGAATTAGCTGGATTTATTCTGGTGCCTTTTTATAAAAAAGGCAATAAGTTGCCCAAAGATATCTGTAAGTCTCCAAGAGAAGCTGGCTGAGGCTAATTGTTAGATGCTTAAACTATCAACCAAATCTCTGCCAAACAAGGGTTCTCAGACCTCTGTTTTGGGCTGGTGCCGCACTCACAGGTGTACCTAGCTGGACAGCAGATCCCCAACTAACAGAAATTATGTTGGCTTGGCAGCTGAAAGTTCTCCAGAATTCAACAAGGAAGAATATAGCATCTTTTCCTCAGTCTTTATGGAGTCAAATCTGCACTTGTACTCTAAACTTATTGGCACATGGAAGTGTGTGTAAACATGCCTCTAAGGAATTTTTTTTTTTTTTTGAGATGGAGTCTTGCTCTGTCATCCAGGCTGGAGTGCAGTGGCACAATCTTGGCTCACTGCAACCTCCGCCTCCCTGGTTCAAGGGATTCTTCTGTCTCAGCCTCCCGAGTAGCTGGGACTACAGGCGTGCACCACCACACCCAGCTAATTTTTTGTATTTTTAGTAGACATGGGGTTTCACCATGTTAGTTAGGATGGTCTCGATCTCCTGACCTTGTGATCCACTTGCCTCGGCCTCCCAAAGTGCTGGGATTACAGGCATGAGCCACCGCGCCCAGCCAGGAATTTTTTTTTTTTAAGACAGGTTCTCACTCTTGTCACCCAGGCTGGAGTGCAGTGGCATGATCTCAGCTCACTACAACCTCTGCCTCCCAGGCTCCAGTGCTGCTCTCACCTCAGCCTTCCGAGTAGCTGGGATCACAGGCATGCGCCACCACACCTGGCTAATTTTGTGGTGGTGGTGTTGAGACAGAGTCTGTGTCACCCAGGCTGGAGTGCAGTGGCGCGATTTTGGCTCACTGCAACCTCTGCCTCCCGAGTTCAAGCAATTCTCATTCCTTAGCCTCCTGAATAGTTGGGATCACAGGCGTGTGCCACCATACCCATACATTTATAGGATGTAAACTTTAGTGGTTTTTTAGCCAATACAAACTGTCACATGAAGTTGTCTCTAAGTAGCTGTCTTTATATCATGTGGGGCCACCACCTTGATTAAACCTATAAACCTGGAGCAGGGAAAAGAAGGCAGACCATGGCCACAGGGAATGACAAATGGTAGGGTCAGAGGGGCAAGGCAGGCTGCTAAAACAAGGAGAAACCCACCCTGTAGGAAGAGGGGTGGGGATATTGGTTAGGTCACCCATCTTCGGATGCTTGCCATAAGGCAAACCACCTTCTAGGATACTTGGCAGCACAAGAATGCCCAGTTATACCATGGGTGACAGTGAGTATCCTCTTGGGTTTGAAGGCTGATCCCTTAGAGCAAAGGGATCATGAAAACCCAGGATTTGATACTTCTAACACTGTCTCTATTTTCAACCTAACTAAATTTGTTGAGTTCAAATGAGAGTTCTCCCTCTTATCCATCAGAGTAATTCACAGCATTACCCAACTATACACAGAAACACAAGTGAGGAGCTCAAAGAATTTCAAAGTTGGATGGAAAACAACAATAAGATTTTTATAAGCAAAACACGCCATCACCCTCTGCCTTCTCTACAATTTTCAGAGGTCTGTGTACTAGAAAACATTTTAATTACTAGCATGGAGGAAAGGTAAGACCTTGATTTTCTCTTTGAGGGCAACTATTCTCAGAATTTATCAAGTAAGATCTTAAAAATTCTTAATCCATGAGAAGTTTGAGTTTAAAATGTAACAAGACAAAATATTAATTAAATGGATGATAAAGCTAAATACAGTCTATTTATTTGGTGTCCAGACTACTGACAACTTAATATAGGCTCTTACAGGTTTTCTTGCCTAGGAAGTAACCTGCATTTCTTGGTAAGTCCCTGAGAAGAAACAGACCTGCCCAATGAAAATGCACATGCCAACTGAAATTAGCACCTGGTGAGACACCGTACATTTAAAGGTCTGTAAACTTCCAGGAACTGGTATCTTCAACAATGTTTACAGACTTTTTATAGCTCTTCTCACATGAAGTGTTTACCCTCCGTTTGTGGCTTATCATGAACTGACCAGCAATATGTTCTGATGAACAAATAAAGTTTTTCTTAAATAGTTTTACTTTCTTTAAAGGCTTTTTGTGAAAAAGACAAATTTTTGCTACTTACTTGTGTAAAAAGTCTGGTTCAGAACCATGTTCAGACTCAGGTTCTTGAATCTGGTCTCCCATGGGCCGACTGTTCTCCCGCAGTACAGTGGATGTGAGTTGTGGTGCTGGCAGGGGGCCAGGAGTCTGAATCATGGTGTCAGTCCTGTTTAGCCATGTGTTATCCAGACTCTCATCTGTAAAATTCCAGTTAAGGTCACACAATGTCGTGGGTGGAGTGAACTCTGGTAGCAGTCATAGCATAGACTTGTGAAGAGTGTGGCTCTGCAGTCAGACTGCCCACTTTAAATCTCAGTTCCACCACTTACTTACATGACTTTGTGTAAGTCATTAAACTTCCAAAGTTGAGTTTTCTCATACATACAATGGGGATGCATTACCTAACCTCACGAAGTTGTAGGGACTAAATGAGGTAATGTATGTAACCACTGAATGTTAGCTATCATCACATCATCATCTCTTTAAGTCCCTCCATCTCTAAAGATTCATTCATCCTAGAAGGGGAAGATTGCAGCCAGCCAGAGACCTCTCCTCTTTTCTTTGTTCAAGCAATAAAGGGCCTATTTCCTGGGCCTCGTAGGGGTCCCAGGCAGTAGCAATTAAAGTCTGACTGGCTTTTGTGGAGAAATAAGCAAATCCCCTTGCACAACTAGACACTGGTCAGTAACTTCTTGCCAGGTTATACATGTGGAGATGGGTTGAAAGGTTCACCATTTTCATGCCTCTGTACTTCAGGGAAGCCTTCCCTGATTACCCCTACCCAACCCCCCACTTACCATTCTTTGTTTAAACTTTTTTTTCAAGACGGAGTCTCACTCTGTCGCCCGGGCTGGAGTGCAGTGGCGTGATCTCGGCTCACTGCAACCTCCGCCTCCCAGGTTCAAGCGATTCTCCTGACTCAGTGTCTCGAGTAGCTGGGATTACAGGTGCCCGCCACCACGCCCAGCTCATTTTTATATTTTTAGGAGAGACGGGGTATCATTATGTTGGCCAGTCTGGTCTCGAACTCCTGACCTCAGGTGATCCGCCCACCTCGGCCTCTCAAAGTGCTGAGATTATAGGCATGAGCCACCACGCCCAGGCTTCTCTTTTAATTTCTAGAGGAAATACAGTCATTCATACTCACTTAGGACTTAATTATACACTATACTGCATTAGCAGGTTACGTAATTTGTCATGTATATAAATTATCTCTGTAAAACTTAAGTTTTCCAGGGGCTACGAACTGTTTTTCTTTCAGAACTTATGAAAATGGTTTATAAATATATATATATTTTTTGAGACAGCGTCTCACTCTGTCGCAGGCTGTAGTACAGTGGCACGATCTTGGCTCACTTCAACCTCCGCCTCCTAAGTTCAAGTGATTCTCCTGCCTCAGCCTCCCAAGTAGCTGGGATTACAGGCATCTGCCATCATGTCCAGCTAATTTTTGTATTTTTAGTAGAGATGGGTTTCACCATGTTGGCCAGGCTGAAATGGAACTCCTGACCTCAAGTGAGCAGCCCACCTCAGCCTCCCAGAATGCTGGGATTACAGGTGTAAGCCACCAGCTAAGATGGTTTATAAAGATTTGAGCAGATTAAAGCATTATTTACAAACTGTCCTGATAAAATATTACCTAGTTGTTTTTTTTTTTTTTTTTTTTTTTGAGATGGGGTTTTGCTATGTTGCCTAGGCTGATCTCAAACTCCTGAGCTCAAGCGATCCACCCATCTCCCAAAGTGCAGAAATTAAAGGCATAAGCTACTATGCCCGGCCAAGTTTCTACCTATAAAAATTCTAAATTATTCTAATATGATAAGGCTTCTTAAAAAGTATTACTGCTTTGGTTTTCCTTCTGAAGAATTTTAATCCCAATACATAGTATGAATCCTGTTGCTTTTCCTCTCAAGTCTCAGAGATGTGTGTGTTAGGTTCCTCTTTTGCCATCGAGCATCCTGTTTCTCCTCGTATTTCTCAGGTTTCTGATATTTTTTTAGACCTGTACATTCTAGATGGGCTTTTCTGTGCCTGGAAATACCTACCCATTGTCTGGTTAAAGTAATTCCTCTGATCTGAAGCTCACTACTCAATCTCTTCTTAGTTAACAAAGACACATTTCATCATCTTCTATTCATAACACATTTCATTCAACATTTAATTCAAAACTTTTATTCTCTACCACACTTAAAATTTTATGATAAAAAGATTATTATCACTTAAGTTCTGAACCTGGTAAACTCGTCTGTCAGCTGTCTACTACATGTCATCTTTTCCAGAAAATCTTCCTGTATTCATTAAAAGTTTGGTCACTGTCTATATGTTCCCACAACCTCCTGTGTTTGGCACATCAGAGCATTGACCATGGTGAAATCAAACAGCCTGTTTCTGTTCTCTATCTGCACTCACAGCATATTAATACTTAATCTGTAGTACTTAGCACAGTTCTTAGGAAGGCGCTTGGTAGAAACTCACTGAATGAATGGATAACTCCAGGGAGAACTCTCATCTTAAATAGAAATAGATACTTCTAATCCTTTAAAGATTCCTCAATGAAAATATTTCTTTTAATACTTTCTCATTTTCATCTCTGAAGGATGAAACTCTGCAGCCTAAGGGTTCTGTGCATGCAACCCATCTTAGTCATTTTGTAAATCTCAAATTGACAAAAAAGTTTTCTTTTTTTAATTTAAACAAATTAGGTTATCTGGTTCCACACAAGCTTCTCTTAATCTTGAAAATAATATTGACTGTACCACTAATGAACATTATGGATAGTTAAAATCTCTAAGCTTTAGTTTCTTTTGTGAAAAATTTAGATAACAGTGTTGACTTATAAGACATTTATACACTTATACGTCATTCGCTATGTGCCAGAGACTGACTTAAGTGCTTTATAAATATGTCAAATAAATGATTAAATGATATAACGCATGTTAAAACATATTCCTAGTACCTAGCAAAAATTTGATGAATGTTGGCTAATAAGAATATTACATTGAAGAATGGCTAGGCGCAATGGCTCATGCCTGTAATCCTAGCACTTTGGGACACTGAGGCATGTGGATCGCTTGAGTCCAGGAGTTCAAGACCAGCCTGGGCAACAAGGTGAAACCCTGTCTTTACGAAAAATACAAAAATTAGCTGGGTGTGGTGGCACATGCCTGTAGTCCCAGCTACTTGGGGGCTGAGGTGGGAGGATTGCTTGAGCCAGGGAGGTTGAGGCTGGACAAGACCCCAGCCTGGGCGACAGAGTGAGACCCTGTCTCATTAAAAAAAAAAAAAAAGAAAAGAAAAACAAAAGGCCAGGTGCAGTGGCTCATGTCTATAATCCCAGCACTTTGAGAAGCCAAGGTGGGTGGACCTACTTGAGGTCAGGAGTTCGAGACCAGCCTGGCCAACATGGTGAACCCCTATCTCTACTAAAAATACAAAAATTAGCTGGGCGTGGCGGTGGGCACCTGTAATCCCAGCTACTTGGGAGGCTGAGGCAGGAGAATTGCTTGAACCTGGGAGGTTGAGGTTGCAGTGAACCAAGATCACACCACTGCACTCCAGCCTGGGTGACAGAGGGAGATCCTGTCTCAAAAAAAAAAAAAAAAAAAAAAAGGAAATGCCTGTAGTCATTCTTTAGAGAAAAGTCCAGGATCCTACAGTACAAAGACAAGATTTTATATTTTCTTTCTCTGGACTTTTAAAAAAGACTTTAAGTCCCAAAGCTGTAATTTGAAAGGAAATCTTAAACTTTGTGGAGATTTTGTTAAACTTGAACAGTAACATTTATATTAATTCTTTTATTCCTTTTGAAATATAGATGCTTTGAGCTGGAGCTGCAAGGTTAAAAAAAGAAAAGGAATACAGATGCTGCCTAATTTACTGACTGATGCTAGATAGATATGAGGCATTACTATACAATGATAACGTTCAGATAATTTATTGAATGCTACCTATGTGCCAAGCACTGTGCTCAGTACTGTGTGTATACTAAGTAGTTTATTTGTAGTATCTAATATTCACGGGAACTGACAGGATAAATACTCTGCTAATCCTTCATTTGATGAATGATTTAAACTTAGAGAGGTTAAGTAATATGCTCAAAGGTTGCATAGCTGATAATGAGAAGGCCAGGTCTGAATTCTGGAACTCTCATGTTAGAATTTGTACTCCTCATCAACAGTCAATACTGTTTCCCCAATAATGAAAAGAATCATTAGATTTAAATTCTAATTAATTTTGCCACAGATTTTAGCAAAACCTTTATTAGTCATTTTTTTAGGCAGCACAGGTAAGATGCTGAAAGATAAGAAGTTATAAAAAGAACAAGAGAGAAGGCTCAGATCACAGACCTCCTCTTGGTTTGGAGAAAATTTATTAGAAGCATGAAGAAGGATGAAGATTATTTGAGAAAATAAGCATTTTTACTTTGAGGCTTCTCTTAGTAATTTTAACAGGAATGCTTTGTTTTAATAGAGCAATTTTTAGGTTTTTTTTTTTTTTTAACATATAGGAATACCTACTGTTGATCAGATTTTCATGACAATTTAACTTCCCATTCCCCATAGTCCAAGAGGGTTATAAAACCAGATTTAGCCATTACTGCCTTTTTAAAAAATTAAATGATGGGAGTCTTCCTCTGTCGCCCAGGCTGGAGTGCAGTGGCATGATCATAGCTCACTGCAACCTCAAACTTCTGGGCTCAAGTGATTCTCCCACCTCGGCTTCCCAAGTAGCTGGGACTACAGGTGCATGCCACCCATTTAAAATTTTTTTTTTCTTAGAGATGGGAGTCTTGCTATGTTTCCCAGGCTGGTCTCAAATTTCTGGCCTTAATTTCCTGATCCTCCTTCCTTGGTCTCCTGAGTAACTGGGATTACAGATGTGAGCCACCACACCTGGAGGCCATCACTGTCTTACTGTTCCAACCAAGTGGTAGAACTGGAAAACAACTATTCTGGTATATTCAATTTGCTGCAGAAATCTACCCTCAAATTACCTGTATCTCATCTATATTAGGAAGAATTTTAATAGAATAGCATTGTGACTATCTTACTTTATATTTTAATGTATTAGAGGCATATAGTATGGGGATTGATTTTATAGACCTAGCTAATTTTTTCCTCTTTTGGGCTGTCTTCCTTTGTGCTCCATGCTTCCTCAACTTCTTTTTCCTTGATGCTTTTCTGTCTTACTTCATCTGTTTCAACCTTTTTGCCTTAACATCTCATTGTGAATAAAATATACAAGAAAATCATGTGCCTGATACTATTATCTTGCTTCAAAAGATTATTTACTACTTTATCTCTTTAAAACCAGGCAAATTGTTTCTTATAGTGTAAAGGCAGACTTACCTTCTACTCGTTTTTTATGAAGTGGAGGTCGTCCTTTCTTATTCCTTACTGATGAGGTTTTGCTGCTGCTACTTCCACTGTTCACAGACATTCTATCATCTTCACCCCCAGTGACTAATGAATTTCTATAGGAGATGAGTGGAAGCCATACATCCTCCCTCCTTTCCATCATCTGCTCGGTAAGGAATTTCTCTAGGTATGAATGACTAGAAACACAATAGAAACAGCAGTGATTTTCAGAGAAGCAGTTCATACATCACTTACTTTTTCTTAATCTGAGGCTCTCTTTCTGCAGGTTCTGAAGAATACCTAAGGACACACATTAAACTATTAACAGTGGTCACCTTTGGAAAGAGAGGGACTGAGGAGTTAAGGTTTTGTTTCACTTATTCTTGGGATACTTTAAAGCAAGTGAGTGTATTACCTAAGGGTGTGTATGTATGTACGGTCTTTCCTATATTTCTTCCTTTGCTTTTAAACACCAATGTTAAAAAAAAATCAGAAGTTTAGCTCAAAAAGATTATTGAGTTTTCTTATAAAGTGTTCAAGCCAAAGCAGGATTTCTAAGATGGTGGAGTAAGGAGGCTGGCATGCCCTCTTTCCAGCAAAACAACATTTTAACTAGTAAAAATTATAAAATACCGTAATTTAAAGTATTTGCCAATTCTCTTAAGGGCATACAGCAAATGGAGAAAAATTTATTCAAGAAAATCTGGCCAGGCACCGTGGCTCACGCCTGTAAATCCCAGCACTTTGGGAGGCCGAGGTGGGCAGATCACTTGAGGACAGCAGTTTGAGATCAACCTGGCACAACCCTATCCCTACAAAAAAAATTAGCCAGGCGTGGTGGCATGCACCTGTAATCCCAGCTACTCAGGAGGCTGAGGCAGGAGAATCGCTTGAACCCGGGAGGCGGAGGTTGCAGTAAGCCAAGACCGTGCCACTGCACTCCAGCCTGGGTGACAGTCTGGAGACTCCATTCAAAAAAAAAAAGAAAATCTAATACATTTTAGCAAGAACAGCAAAAGTTTTGTAGCATTTGATCCACAACCTGTTCCCTTCCCTTGTTTCCTTCTCCCTGCCACTACAGCTCTATATTTTAGAAACTCTATCTAGTCCAGGCAGGTGGCCAAGAAGATGGGGGTTCCCTCTCTCTCTAGTTCCCAGGCTACCCTGAAAGAAAGAAGCATACCATTTGCATTTCTCATCACCTCCCAGCCCTGTGTTGTGTAAGTTCTATTCTGAACAGCAACCAGGAAAAATGAAGCTCCTTTTATCCCACCAAGTCTCCACTCCTGGGGTAAAACACTACCCTGGGCACAGCAGGCTGAGAACACTGGAACCCTGAATGCCCCACCTCAAACTCCCTGTCGAGAGATTCCAAACCTGGGGCAAGCTGAGAACCAGGGGTTACCTACTCTCTCCCCTGCTCAAAGAGCCAGAGGTGTTATTCTGGGAGAAGAGGGATGCTGGTCCATGCCATCCAAATTCTGCCCTCCTCCCCATTTCAGTGGCATAAAAGTTAAAGTTCTCCCTGGTGGCTGAGGCTGACTATGAAGAAGAAACTGCAGCTGGAGAGAGGAGTGAGGAGGAAGGTGGTGGTGATGACTTTGTTTATTTGGAATGAAATGTAGAAAATTCCTTTCCTAAGGGTGTTGACAACAGAGATCCTGATGGAGTGAAAATGAGAGGGTGCTGGTAGTTCTCTGACACTAGCAGCAACAAATGACAGCGCAAAACAGCCGGAAGTTCAACAGAGAAAACCAGAGAAAGAGACAGCCAAGAAGAACCTTCCTGGAGTCATAGTCAATCCTGGGAGTTGGATTTGTTAACTGACTGTTGTCATCATCTTACAACATATATGTATATCAAGACATCATATATATACACCTTAAATATATATTATTTTTTAAAAGGAAGGATTTGTTTCCCTTTGTTTTTAACTAAAAAACAAGTGATTCTTCATTTCACTAGCTCCCTTTGATTCATTTGAACGTAGCCTACCAAATCCTCCACTGTGCTTATTTTTTTTTTTTCATCACAGCATTGGAAGAATGCTTTATCACCAATCTTTGGTGGTTATTAATAGGTTGCTGAGCTAACTTGGCATTTCACATATTTCTTCTTATATGAAAGAAGGATAACATTTTATAGTTACTGATCTGCTTAAGTAATTGCTATGCTTAAAAGTTTCTTTTGTTTATAGGTTTCAAATTTTGTGAGTTTATCTGTTTATCCATTAAGCATATTTGGAACAGGTTTAAAAAATAAAATAAAAAATAAAAGTGCTGGGAGTTGGGAAAGCTATGCACATATCCTAAGCTGCATTCACTCATGGGCAAAAAAAGGGAAGGGAATGAGGCAGACTTGAAAGCATTCCCCAAGCCACATACGGATCTATCAACACAGGGAGGAAGCTTCACTGGCAAAAGTGGTTTAAATACAACCTCTCACCAAACACTGGCTGAACTAACAGCTATTCTTACACCTAGGAGCAACTCCTAGGAAGCCAGGCTTAAAAATAAAATAGTAATGCTTCCCTGGTTGTCTGAAGACTGCACACCCAAGGCTGCCTTTCTCAGGAATAATCAGAGAGGTATCTTCCAAGCTGCTAGTCCCTGGCCTAAAATGTGGGTCAAAAAAGTAAATACCCTGAATTATGAAAGCAGCCTGCAAGCCATACACATATCCAACAGTAAAGGGTAAACCTAACTGGCTAAGGGGTTTAAGCGCAACCTTTGATCAGTAAGTGGCTTATGCTAACCCAGGGGTGACCTCCTCAGCAGCCAAGACAAATGATAAAAACAAAGGAAAAAAGATCTGAGCAAAGACATCAGAGGCTGCACAAGGCAGAGAAAACAGATTTTGGAGTTTGTTCATCCAAGTAACTAAACAAATAAATGACCAACGAGAAAATAATATCAACCTCTAGGGGGCAGATAATTAGTAAAGAGTAGCTATATTATTATTTCAAAAGATATCATTTTTGCAATATTTGTTCTTTTTATTTATTTATTTTTTTGAGATAAGGTCTCACTCTGTCACCGAGGTTGGAGTGCAGTGGCACAATCTTGGCTCACTGCAACCTCTGCCTCTCAGGCTCAAGCCATCTTCCCACCTCAGCCTCCCGAGTAGCTGGGACTACAGGCATGCATCACCATGCCCAGCTAATTTTTGTATTTGTGTAGAGACAGGGTTTGCCATGTTGCCCAGGCTGGTCTTGAACTCGTGAGCTCAAGTGATCGGTCCGCCTTGGCCTCCCAAAGTGCTGGGATTATAGGTGTGAGCCACAGCGCCTGGCCAAATGTCCAGTTTTTAAGAAAAAATTATGAGACGTACAAAGAAACAGGAAAATGTGATGGATACATTGATAAAAGAGCAAGCAACAGCACCTTGGCCCACAAAGATTTCAAAGCAATGATTATAAATACAAAGTCCCCAACTTACAATGCTTTGACTTATGATTTTTTTTTACTTTATGATAGTGCTTTTAGCTGTGTACTTTAATGGTGAGTACCTATACAATCATTCTGTTTTGTACTTTCAGTATAGTATTAAACAAATTTCATAGTATATTTGACATTTCATTATAAAATAGGCTTTGTGTTACATGATATTATCAAACTATAGGCTAATGTAAGTATTCTGCGTGTTAAAGGTAGGCTATATTATTCTGTGATGTTTGGTAGATTAGGTGTATTAAATGCATTTTTGACTTACAATATTTTAAACTTATGATGGGTTTATTAGATGTAACCCCATCTTAAATCCAGGAGCACCTGTATGTTCAAAGAACTAAAGAAAATCATATCTAATTAAAAGTGGGTATGATGACAATATCTCTCATGAAATAAAGAGTATCAATTTTAAAACAGAACCAAGTGGAAATTCTGCAGTTGAAAGTATAATCAAAATTAAAAATTTACTATAGTGGCTTGACAGTAGATTTGAGCTGACAAAAGCAAGAAACACCACATTTGACGATATATCAAGAAGTTATGCCATCTGAAGAAGAGAGAGAAAAAAGAATAAAGAAAAATGAACAGAGCATGAGAGAAGTATGGGATACCATTAAATATACTGACATATGTGTAATGGGAGTAACCAAGGTAGCAGACGAAAAAGCAGAAAAATTTAGGAGAAATAATGGCTAAAAACTTGCCCAATTTGATGAAAAACATAATTTACACATCCACAAAGTTCAATGAACTTCAAACAGGATAAATGCAAAGAGATGCACACATGGATTCATCATAGGAAAAATGCTGAAAGCCAAGGATAAAAACAAAATCATGAAAGTAGTAAGAGAAAAGTAATTCACTACATACAAAGAAAATCCAATAAAATTAATGATTAATTCTTATCACCTGGCTCACAATGGAGGCCAGAAGGTAGTGGGATCACATGGTCAAAGTGTTGAAAGTAAAAAACTATCAAACGAGAATCTTACATCGCTCACTGTAACCTCAAACTGCTGGGCTCAAGCAATCTTCCTGCTTCAGCCTCCCAAAATGCTGGGTTTACAGGCATAAGCCACCCCTGAGAGAATCTGTTGCTATCAGACCTGCCTACTAAAGGAAGTTAGTCAAGTTGAAAGCAAATGTCACCACAGGGTAATTTGAATTTACATGAAAAAACAAAGAGTGCCAGTAAAGGTAATTTGTAGGTAGTTACAAAAGTATAATTACATATTTACTTATCCCTTCTCTCTTAACTGATTTAAAAAGCAAATATATAAAACAATATGTATGTTACTGTATTGTTGGGTCAATAACATAGAAATGTAATATATTTGACAATAAACACAAAAAAGTGAGTGAAAGAGAAGCTGTATTTGAATATAGGAATGATACCAGATGGCAATTCGAATCCACAGGAAGAAATGAAGAGAACCAGAAAAATGGTAAATAGGAAGATTAATATAACAAACTCTATAAATACATACTGGCTTTCCTTTCTTTTCTCAGTTTCTATAAAAGATTATCTCAAGTATAATTATAACAATTTATTATTGGGTTTCTAATATATATAGATGGACTAGGTATAACAAGAATAGCCAAAAAAGGAGGAAGGAAATGGATTTATATAGAATTAAAGTTTCTGTATTTCCTTAGAATAAATCAGGATAGACCTTAGGTAAATTTTGTTTTGTTGAGGCGGAATCGCACTCTATCGTCCAGGGTGGAGTGCAGTGGCACGATATTGGCTTACTGCGACCTCTGCCCCTGGGGCCCCTGGGGTTCAAGCAATTCTCCCACCTTCGCCTTCCAAGTAGCTTGGATTACAGGCATGTGCCACCATGCCCGGCTAATTTTTGTATTGTTATTAGAGATGGGGTTTCACCATGTTGGCCAGGCTGGTCTTGAACTCTTGACCTCAAGTGATCTGCCCACCTCAGCCTCCCAAAGTGCTGGGATTACAGGTGTGAGCCACTGCACTCGGCCAGTAAATTTTGATAAGATGTATACTGTAAGGCCTGGTAAGGCCACTAGGAAAATAACTAAAAAAATACAATTAAAGATTAATTAAAGGAATTAGTATGCTACACTAGAAAACATACATTTAATATAAAAGAAGGCAGTAAAGGAGAAAGAACCAAAAAAAAAAAAAACCAAAAAACAAAAACAAAATCTCCAGGAGACATATAAAAAACAAAAAGTATAATAATAGAGAATGTCAGGTTGAATTTAAAAACACATGATCCAATTTGCTGTCTACATGAAACACACTTTAGATTCAAAGATACAAAGGCAGAAAGTGAAAGGATGGAAAAAAAGGTGTACCATGCAAAACAGTAGTCAAAATAAAGCTGGAGTGATTATAGTAGTATGACACAAAAATGTCTTAGAGAATGACACTTTAGAATAAGACTCAACTGGTCAGGAAGATGTAACAATTAAAAATGTATGTACAGGCCAGGCGTGGTGGCTCACACCTGTAATCCCAGCACTTTGGGAGGCCGAGGTGGGCAGATTACTTGAGATCAAGAGTTCAAGACCAGCCTGGCCAACATGGTGAAACCCCATCTCTAATAAAAATACAAAATTAGCCAGGTGTGGTGGCACGCGCCTATAGTCCCAGCTACCCAGAAGGCTGAGGCAGGAGAATCGCTGGAACCCGGGAAGCAGAGATTGCAGTGAGCCAAGATTGTGTCACTGCACTCCAGCCTGGGTATCAGAGTGAGACTCCATCTTAAAAAAAAAAAAAAAAAAAAAAAAAAAAGTATATACACCTAACAAGAGAGCCCCAAAATGTATGAAGCAAAAACTGACAGAACTGAAGGGACAAATAGACAATTCAATAGTAATATTTGGAGACTTCAATATCCCACTTTCAATAATGAATAGGACAACTAAGCAAAAGATTAACAAGAACACTGAAGACCTGAAAAGCACTATAAACAAAACTATAAGCTAACTAGACAGAACACACATCTACAGAACAAAAACTCCAACCAAAACCAGAATGGTAACACATTTTGTCAACTGATACATGGAACAGTCTCTAAGACCGTATGTTGGTCCATAAAACAAGCCTCAATAAATTTAAAAGGATTAAAATAATACAATGCATGATCTCTGACCACAATGAAATGAAGAAATCAGTAAGAGAAGGAAAATCTGGAAATTCAGAAATACATAAAAATTAAACAAAATACTCCTGAATAACCAATAGGTTAAAGAAGAAATAAGTGAAATGAGAAAATACTTTGAGATGAATAAAAACAGAAATGCAACATACCAAAACTTACAAGATGCAGCTAAGGTAATGTTTAGAGGAAAATGTATAGCTGTAAATGCCTGTATTGAAAAAGTTTTCAAACCACTCCCACTAATATTCAACACCTGTCTCTATCATATTACCCCATTTCAGTGCCTGAAACTCTCGTTTGTCTGCCTGTTTTTTTTTTTTTTTTTAGAGACAGTCTCACTGTCTTGCCCAGGCTGCTCTCAGACTCTTGCCCTCAAACAATCCTCCCACCTCAGCCTCCGGAATAGCTGGGATTCCAGGTCGGAACCACTGAGCCTGGCCATCTGCCTGTTTATGCTGTGCCCCCTGGCATTAGAGCATAAGCTTTACAACAGTAGCTGACCATACTAGGGGCTTAATGAATATTTTCTGATCAACATGACATCAACATCTTTACTTAGAACTATCACTTATAGTCATATAAGTATTAACTGTCTCTCCAAAATTCTATTTATTTAGAATCCTGTTATATTTAAAAAATCGACTGATTGACACAGGCTCCCCAGGCTGTCACCCAGGCTGGAATGCAGTGGCATAATCATAGCTAAGTGCAGCCTCAAACTCCTGGGCTCAAGTGATTCTCCGACCTCAGCCTCCCAAGTAGCTGGGACTACAGGTACACACCACCACACCTGGCTAATTTTAAAATTTTTTTATAGAGATGGGGTCTTGCTACGTTGCCAGGACTGGTCTTGAACTCCTGGACTCAAGCAATCCTCCTGCTTCAGCCTCCTTACAGGCGTGAATCACTGCACCCAGCTAGAATATTATAAAGGACTCTCTGTCTTAACAGTTTATAAAATTTAGGATTCATTATAGTATTATCCTCTAAAAAAGTTTTTATTTTATTTTATTTTTTTATTGAGACGGAGTCTCGCTCTGTCACCCAGGCTGGAGTGGAGTGGCATGATCGCAGCTTACTGCAACCTCTGCCACTTGGGTTCAAGCGATTCTTGTGCATCAGCCTCCTGAGCAGCTGGGACTACAGGCATGCACCACCATGCCTAGCTAATTTTTTTTTATTTTTTTTAAATTTTTTATTTTATTTTATTTTTTTTGAGACAGAGTCTCGCTCTGTCACCCAGGCTGGAGTGCAGTGGTGCGATCTCGGCTCACTGCAAGCTCCGCCTCCCAGGTTCACGCCATCCTCCTGCCTCACCCTCCTGAGTAGCTGGGACTACAGGCACCCGCCACCACGCCCGGCTAATTTTTTTGTATTTTTAGTAGAGACGGGGTTTCACCGTGTTAGCCAGGATGGTCTTGATCTTCTGACCTTGTGATCCGCCCGTCTCGGCCTCCCAAAGTGCTGAGATTACAGGTGTGAGCCACCATGCCCAGCCTAGAAGTTTTCTGGTTTGGTTTTAAATAAAACTTACCCAATCAAGATTTTCTTTTGAAATTACATATATATTTCTTTAAACTGTTATCAATAATCAAAAAAAGCAAATATGAAAAAAATCAATCTTTTGAAACAAGTCAAATAGAATATAAAACTAAAATGAAATTAATATAAAAGGAAAGAAGGAAGAGTTACACAATGGCTAAACCAGTGTTTATACATCTTTGAACTGCATAATAAGAAATCATTTCCACCTGCTTAATTTCATGTTGCAGATTCTAGGGTACTAAAAGATAAGCAGTGAAATAACTACTACATAAATGCTTGAAGGAAAACTATAATTCCTTAAAACAAACTATCAGAGCCTAAATTATCAAGAGTAAAGATATCCAAATGATTAAAAATTTTTCAAAAAATAAACATTTACAACAGTATTATTATAAAAACCACTTCTCTTGTAATGTGCAACTTACACTGTCTTTTTGTCCTGTCGAAGAAGTTTAGAAGAAAATTCACTTAGTACTTCAAGAAAAGCCAGATTAGGAGGTGGATACTCTTGTCCTTTCTGATTTTGGTATTTAAATGCAAACTCTATGCCATCCCTGAAGTAAAAGAAAATATCAACTTATTTTTCCAGATAGTGTAATTCTCTCAATTAGCTAACATTACACAAATATTTGTGAAGGTAGTAAAATTATCACAAAAGGTAGTAAAATCTGATAAATTCAAATAATAAACTAATGTGAATATATAGGACATATTTGTGTATATTTATAGTATGAAACTGTAAGTTGGGGAAAATATACAAAAAATAGCTACAGAGCAACAAAGCTAAATTCGTATTTTTTTTTTTTTTTTTGAGACAAGGTCTCACTGTGTCGCCCAGGTTGGAGTGCAGTGGTGCTATCATGGCTCACTGCCTTGACTTCCTGGGCTTAGGTGATTCTCCCACCTCAGCCTCCCGAGTAGCTGGGACTACACGTGTGTGCCACCACACCTGGGTAATTTTTGCATTTTTTGTAGAGATGGGGTTTCGCCATATTGCCCAGGCTGGTCTCAAACTCCTGGGCTCAAGCAATTGGCCTCCTTTGGCCTCCCAAAGTGCTGGGATTACAGGCATGAGCTACCCGTGCCTGGCCCACTATGTGTAGTTTTTAGAGGTAAGAAGATACCCTGGACAGAGAATTATTAATACATTGCCAGAATATTTGCTTCTTAGAGCTGGTAATGGTACCAAGCTGTGTGAGTTTACTAAAGATTTTCTGTTACTTCTGTTTTCACAATAATGAAACCCAAATCAGTTTTGTATAGTCTTAACAAAAAATTCTATAATAATTATTTTTTCAGAGTCAGGTTCTCACTCTGTTTTCCAGGCTGGAGGGCAGTGGTACAATCATAGCTCACTATAACCTCAAACTCCCAGTCTTAAGTGATCCTCCTGGCTCAGCTTCCCAAGTAGCTAGGACTGCAGGCACATGCCACTATGCCTGGCTCATTTTTATTTTTTGCAGGAGACAGGGTCTTACTGCATTGCCCAGGCTAGTCTCGAACTCCTGGCCCCAAATGATCCTCCTGCTTTGGGCTCCCAAAGCACTGGGATTACAGGCGTGAACCACCACACCCAGCCTGTATAGTCTCTCAAACCCACTGTTTTCTTACTGACAGACCAGACAATAATATGTTATTAAATTTTGCTTTCCATACTTTGTAAGATGAACAAATGGGTGGTTTAAGTTTTTTCAAATTAAAAACATCCTCCCAGTTTAGAATCTCTAAACTAATCTCCAAAGTTCTTATAACTTAAAATTCTATCGTCACTTTAAAAATGGGTCATATAAGAGTTATTTCATTAAAATTCAAGTAAATCAGATTCTGCATAACAAAGTGTTTATCTCACTCACTTGTGAAGTGTGGCAACTGCTTCTCGTGTCTTAATCTGGTCCAATCCAAATGTAAGGGCAAAGCGACGTGCCAGTTCTTTAATGCCACTGACATGGGCAGATGTCCTATCTAGGTTGGGACCTTGCTCTTGAACAAGTTCATTAAATAACTGATAGAAAGAAAAAAAGAAGAAAAAACCTATAGCTCAGAATTTTAAACAGTTATTTTCAGAATAGGTAATTAAAAAATATGTAAAAGGTATAAGGTGAAATGTTTCTCTTCTTGCATTGAATTTTAGCTACTCTGTTCCCTTTCTACAAATTGTCTATTATTAATAGCTTGAGTTAATTTTCATGCTAGTGGTGTGATTAAATGCAGACAGAAATTTGTTTCTAATAATAATAAAAAAACACATTCTTTTATTGAGAGTCTCGCTCTGTCACCCAGGCTGGAGTGCAGTGGTGGGATCTCAGCTCACTGCAACCTCCACCTCCCGGGTTAAAGGAATTCTCACGCGTCAGCCTCCTGAGTAGCTGAGATAATAGGCGTGTACCACCATGCCCATCTAATTTTTAGCAGAGATCTTGGCCAAGCTGGTCTCAAACTCCTGTCCTCAAGTGATCCGCCTGCCCTGGGCTCCCAAAATGCTGGGATTACAGGCGTGAGCCACCACACGTGGCCAAAAGAATGTATTTTGAGATGGGAAAAGGAAATATATTTATAGAAGTACACTGTATATTTATAAACATCTATTCTTTTTGTTATTGTTTTTACAGGAATGACAATATATGAAATATAGGGTTAAGAGGTTTGTTTTTTCACTTATTATATTTCAAACAAGAACATTATATAAAAGAAGACCATTTACATACATGGTGCTATGATTTTTCCCACCCAGTAACAAAATATACCAAAAAGTTCTTAAGCTGGGTGGAGTTTTATAAATTGCATATCTGTTAGCTATTTCCTGTGAAAATAACAACAAAAACAGAACCCTGGAGGTAATATACAAGCAATTATCATTCCACTACCAAATCTAAAAACTTAATTTTATCTGTAGACATCTACCTTTCCTCCTGTTATGAGGGGTGAACTGTCCAGACTTTCACCTAAAGCCATTCCCTCCTATGTATTAGATAAGAAGGGAGTATGTAAGGTTTCGCCTGCTCAATAGTTTTGCTCTTGTGTTTACTGCTCTCTCCTGCCTCCTAAACTATTCCTTCTGTACTAGATGTATACATCTTAAAAATACTCTTAACTTCTTGACCCCATTTCCTCTGCCAGCTACTAACCCATTTCTCTGATTCCCTTTATAGCAAAGGTCCTGAAAAGTATTGTTGACATTTCTTTTCTTCAGTCTCTCACCTCCCAATCTCTCAATTTATTCTAATCACACCATTCACTGAAATAGCTCCTGGGTGCTAATATGTTCTGCACCTTTTTAGTTTTCTTCAGCAATAGATTGGCCTGAACTACTTGCTATGTCATTACTGAAGGAACAGTTCTTCCAGGGATTTCAAATTTATTCATAGATAATTGTTTATAAATTCTTTTTTTTTCCTGAGGAGTCTCGCTCTGTCACCCAGGCTGGAGTGCAATGGCATGATCTTGGCTCACTGCAAGCTCCACCTCCTGGGTTCATGTCATTCTCCTGCCTCAGCCTCCTGAGTAGCTGGGGCTACAGGCGCCCGCCACCACACCCAGCTAATTTTTTGTATTTTTAGTAGAGAGGGGGTTTCACCATGTTAGCCAGGATGGTCTCGATCTCCTGATCTTGTGATCTGCCCGCCTCAGCCTCCCAAAGTGCTGGGATTACAGGCTGTTTATAAATTCTTAAACTTTAAAATGTTTTCACATATTGGTATATACAATAGCCTTAAACTTTAAAACTTAAAGTGTACATTTAAAGTGAATACAAAGAATACATTTTGTTGTGAAAAATTCAAAGAATATCAAAGTAAAAGTTATTCTTTCTCTCTTCTACCAAATACCATTATTCTCTCCAAAGGTAACCAGTGTTTAAAGTCTGAAAGTTTTCTAGATCAGTGTAGACATATTACTTTTACAGCTAAAGTTTTTATTTTTACATAAATGGTAGCATACTGCATTTGTCCTGAAACTTGCTATTTTTCACTCAATATTTTGTCTTAAAAATCCTTTATCTAGCTCAGTTTATTTAACCATTCCCCTGTTGATAGACATTTAGACTATTTCCAGTTTGTTACTATTACAGAGACTGCTGCAATAAAACATCTTTTACATATATTTATTGGTACACACCTGTGCATATCCATGTAGATACCTAGAAGCAAAATTACTGGCTTAAAGGGAATATATATCTTCAATTTTGGAATATACTACAAAACTGTCTTCTAACAAGGCAGTTTTCAAAAGGGGCCTTTTCCTCTATATCTTTGTCAATCATTTTCATTCATGCCAATCTGTTGAGCAGTAAGTATCCATTTTAATTTGTATTTCATTAATAATAATTATTATTATTAGAAATGGGGTCTCACTCTGTCACCTAGGCTGGAAGGCAGAGGTGCAATCATAACTCACTGCAGCTTGGACCTCCCAGGCTCAAGCCATCCTGTCACTTTACCCTCCCGAGTAGCTGGGACTACGGGGTGCGTGCCAACACATCTGGCTATTTTTGTTTTTGTTTTTGGAGACGGGGTCTTGCCATGTTGCCCAGGCTGGTCTTGAATTCATGGGCTCAAGCAATCTGCCTGCCTTGGCCTCCCAAAGTGCTGGAATTACATGTGTGAGCCACTGTGCTTGGCTTTCATTAATTATTAATTACTTATGTTATATATAATTAATGCTTCTTTTCTTTCTTTTTTTTGAGACAGAGTTTTGCTCTTGTGGCCCAGGCTGGAGTGCAATGGCATGATCTTGGATACCTGCAACCCCCGCCTCCCAGGTCCAAATGATTGTCTTGCCTCAGCCTCCTGAGAGTAGCTGAGATTACAGGCACCCGCCACCACGCTTGGCTAATTTTTTGTATTTTTAGTAGAGATGGGGTTTCATCATGTTGACCAGGCTGGTCTCGAACTCCTGACCTCAGGTGATCTACCCGCCTCGGCCTCCCAAAGTGCTGGGATTACAGGTGTGAGCCACTGCGTCCAGCCTAATGCCTCTTCTCATGTTTACTGGTTTGTAAGATTCTTCCTTGGAAAAGTGCCTTTTTCATATCCCTCGCTCACTTTTCTATGGGATTTATTTATCTTTCCTACTGATCTGTAGGATTTGTTATGTAGGACTGAAAATATTTCCATCTGTCACTTTTTTTTTAACTTTGCTCAAAGTGCTGATTGATGTATACATCTATTTAATCTATTTAAATTTATACAGATTGGCTGGGGCAAGGTGGCTTATGTCTATAATCCCAGCACTTTGGGAGGCCGAGGTAGGTGGATCACTTGAGGCCGAGGAGTTTGAGACCAGCCTGGCCAACATGGTGAAACATCATCTCTGCAAAAAAAAAAAAAAAAAGAAAAAAAAAGAAAAAAGAAAAGAAATTTATACGGATCATCAATTATGAACTCTGTGACTTCTTTAGAAAGAGGATTTAAAAAATATCCTCTTATTTTCTTATAAACCCTTATTTTTGTCCTTTTATATATAAACCATCTAGTAGTTATTTTGGGTACACATTAGGTAGGACTATAAACAGCTATTTTTTTCAAATACACAGTCAGCTGACCCATCACCATTTATTGAATAGTCCCAATCCTTTTGCCACTGATATAAGACTTTTATCATAAACTAAATACAAACATATATATATTATGTATTTTTATATATGCACATATCACATATATATATCCACTAGGCCCCCTGAAATCATTTTAAATTACTAAGCATTTATTAGAAATCTTATTTACGCAACATGAAAAACATTTTCTTATCTCCTGGTGCCCTTCCTCATGAAATACTTTTTATATTTTTCTTCTTAAATTACTACTTTTTAAATTTCCAGTTTGACATTTCATCTAGTCCAAGAATAAATCACCTTAGGATTGCATCTATTTGAAATATGAACTCTAGGATTTTCTTCCAAAAGAAAAGACACCTAACCTATGTCTTTGTACCAGAAAATATCCACAGTAATGCACTGACAAAATGATATAAAATGACCTAGTTTAAATGAGATGAGATACCTAGCAAATATTAAGCACAGAGAAGTGCAATAATGTTATTTCCATTCTTTGTCTCCCTCTCTCCAAATTTCTTACCTGTTGCAAACTGAGAATGAGAGTCTTGGCACACTGAATTTTATCAATCTGCCTGGTTTTACTCAGTGTTTCCTTAATAATATCACCATAGTCATTGTAATACTGTGAGGGAAAGAAAGAAAACATGGCTTTAAAATTACTGACATTTCATGAGATAAAGAATAGGTTGGTGTCACCTCCTTTGAAAATGAAAAAAAAAAAAAAAGAACAGGTTGGTTGGTAAAAGAAAGGAAAGGTAAATAAAAAAGTGTTTTATTTCTTCATCTTAAACATAACAGGAGTTAAATAACTAAAGTTACAGGAATGCACATTTGATGTTTAAGATTATGAACTAATACTAGTAAAACCAAAAAAGCTGGGAATTCCAGGAAGAGAGGTGGTGAGAAAAATTCCCCATTCTTGTTTTTTCTTGTTTGATACAGGGTCTCACTCAAGCTGGAGTGCAGTGGTGTGATCGTAGCTCACTGCAGCCTTCAACTCTGGGCTCTGGTGATCCTCCCACCTCAGCCTCCTAAATAGCTGGGACTACAGGCATGTGCCACCACGCCTGGCTAATTTTTTTAAAAAATATTTTGTAGAGATGGGGTTTTTGCCATGTTGCCCAGGCTGGTCTTGAACTCCTGACCTCAAGTGAGCTACCCACCTCAGCCTCCCAAAATGCTGGGATTACAGGCGTGAGCCACTGCACCTGGCCTTCTCCATTCTTGTTTTTTGTTTTTGCTTTTATTTGTTTTTGAGATGAAGTCTCACTCTGTTGCCCAGGCTGGAGTGCAATGGCATGATCTCGGCTCACTACAACCTCTGCCTCCTGGGTTCAAGCAATTCTCCCACCTCAGCCTCCCAAGTAGATGGGACAACAGGTGTGTGCCACCATGATCGGGTAATTTTTATATTTTCAGTAGAGACAGGGTTTCACCATGTTGGCCAGGCTGGTCTTGAACTCCTGACCTCAAGTGATCCACCAGCCTCAGCCTCCAAAAGTGCTGGGATTACAGGCGTGAGCCACTGTGCCTGGCCCCATTCTTTATAACATGATTGAACAGACAACATCTAAAAGGTGACAGATCAAGAAATAGAATTTTGGTAGAAGCCTCCTGAAGAACTAAAACCAAAACAGTTAAAACTGCTTACTTCTGGGGGGTGGGCCTAAATAGGGGGAAGGGGGGATTAGGGTAACAGACTTAACTCTTCATTTAATACTTTGTGCACTATCTCATCCCTGTAACCCCCCCATCAACATGTCTATATTTTACTATCGAAATATAAAAAAGTAAAACACAGACATCTTCGACAGTGACTGGGAAAAGTTATAATTCAGTTTCTTGACACAAGATTTAAATAATTTTTTCTGTGAGTAAATAATCAAAAGGTTTCATTTAAAACCATTAAATCTGGACATTGTTTCCAAGCTAAAGTCTACAGCCTATGTGAAGAAGTGATTAATAATAGTTTGGCAATTAGATTTTCAAAATCTCAAAAAGATAGGTATGTTTCCATGATGTGAAATGCTAAAAGGCGAACAGCTCAAAAGGATCCTTTTAGTGCAAAGAAGAATTATCTCAATGAAGAGAAAAAGATAAATATCAAAACACTAAAGTACTGGAGCAGGCAGATTTCTTTTAAGTTCAGACTGAACCAATTATGTACAAAAATTGGAGGAAAAGCCACATAGCCATATATCAGAAGAGCAAATAGCTATTATAATACTCACAAAAAGGTTAGAGCCTATAGTGAATAGAAGTGTCCCTGAAATGCTAAGGATGATAAAAGTTCTGAATAAGACTCACTTTTTGGAACCAATGAAGTATTGTTAAAGGATTACCAGGAAAAACCAGAATTCAACATATTTCATGCCCTTTATTTCCTGCTAAAGAGAAAACTATATAAAAAGGGTAGGATAAACACTTATAAAATGGAACTGACATCCAGGTTTAGTGAAGAGATAATGAAAGCATCAAGTTGTTCCGAATTGAATTAGTTTCCTAGGCCAGATGAATCGTGTCTTAAGAAAATTTGTGGAGATTATGGAAACTTTGTGCTCTTTAAGAAATGGTGAAGAATAGGAAAGGTGCTAGAGGACAGAGAAAGATAATCATAGTTCTGATTTTCCAAAAGGAAAGAAGGTTATATGGAAAATTAACCCCTCCTCCACAAATGCCTGGGATCCACCCTAAATATTTTTCATTTAGGTTGAGTGGGACCCAGGAACATGTAATTTGGAATAAAGTTCCAGGTGACTGATGGAAAATCAGGATGAGGAATAACTTTTCTGAACAATACCATCGGTGAGCTTGATGCTGAGCCTAAGATTACAGAATACATTATTAAATTAAATGTAATGCCTGCGAATATTTGGAAAGTAAATGGTCACTGGAAGCAAGCAGAAGTTTGCTAACAGATCATGACATTTTCTTTTAGAAAGGTTCAACATGCAAATATCACAGTCTATTTGGGTATCAATAATTAGTTTGACAAGTTCTTTCATGATTTCTTTTTGGATTAAGTAGAGAAAAATGAGCTGAAACAGGTAGGCATATTTATGCTGCTGTCTTGGCAAGGGCTTGTCTTCCTTCCCATGCTCATCTAGTAAGCTCCTATTTATCCATGCAACTCTGTTTACACATTAGCTTTAGGAAGTCTTCTCTTGCTCCTCTCACTTAAGTCTCTCTCTATATTTGGTGTTAGGTTAGTAATTTATGCATCTATCACTACAATAATCATGCTGAAGCTTTGTGGTCTAGTGAAAAGAGCTAAGCTTTGAAGTTAGACAAGCCTAAAATAAAATCCCAGTTTCTGTTATTTTAATAGTTGTGTGTGACCTTGAAAGGTTTACCTCTCGAGCCTTAGTTTCCTTATATGTAAATGATGATACTATTTCTTACATCACAGGGGGATTAGAAAGATCAATGATAATGTGAAAGTCTTAGAACAGTGTCTCAAATATAAATGGCATGAACACATGGCAGTCATTCATTATCAGTATGCTACATTATATTATGTTTAGATGTTAGTTAACTCTTAATCTGTAAGCTCCTTAGTGCAGAAATCATGTCTTACTTAAACCTCTGGCTACCAGCACATTACTCAACACATTGCAGTTGTTCAGCATAATATGATAAATCAGCTACTATGCCATAATTGGAATTGGACTACACCCAAACATGAAGACACAAGTAGATCAAATGACACATACAATATTCTAAATAAAAGAGAACATTCTCTCTGACACAAGAACAAGGCAAATACAGGAAAACTGAGTATTCCCTCCCATCTGTGCCTGTCAGGCCACATCAAGAAGGTCTCTGAGCCCTGCTTTTTCAGAGAGTCAGGAACAAAATGGAGCTTATGAAAGTAGCTAGAAAGTATGTTCTTTCATATAAATGCTGGAACTCCTACTCAATGGAACTGATATAATAGTACAGACTGATAAAAAGCTTATATAAGAGAAACTTTATCATAAAATCATCCACATTACATAGGTGAAAAGCTGTCAATTTTAGCTTCTGTCATCATCCTTTCAATTGCTAATTTCTCTGCCAGTTAGAGGAAGGAGAAAAATAAGAATATTTAACTATACCTTCATGTAGTGTTTGAAGATGTCTGCAGCTGCATGCATGTCAACAATGTCATAAATGATAAGTTTGCTGAAAGCAGCAAGTAGATTCCTTCTTTTATGTAAGGCCTCAATTTTATTAGCTTCATCTTCTTCATCACCCTCTAAACACAGATTACAAATTGGTTATGAATTCTGGTACTTTATCCACGTAAAACAATGCAGATAATCTGTATAATTGAAAATTAGCTTAATATTATAACTTCACAAATAGTACAATTCAGTTTTAGATGGGACAAAAACTGTTACATTAATTATTTTAGGGTGCTGTATTTAGTTACTCATTTATCAAACATTTAATAGGTACTAAGGTTTCTGTCTTCTTAGGAGATTATCATAGTAAAGACTGAATAAGATAAGCAAACCATGTATAGTCTACCCTCCCTATCTGTGGATGCAGAACCCACAGATAGGGAGGGCTGATTATACTCTACCATTTTATTTAAGAGATTTGGGCATCCATGGATTTTGGTATGAGTGGGAGTCCTGGAATCAATCCCCCACAATACTGAGAGACAGCTGTATAAAGATTGGTTTTCTGATACTTGTGTCATAACAATACTGTGAAATTATCTGATTACCTTTAAAACGCTGTCTTTTCTTATTTCAATATTCCTTATGTGTTAATACATTCTCACTGAGAGAACACTTCTGAAAAATTTTAAGACACAAGGAAAAAGTTTTCTTTTAGAAAAATATTTAGGGAAGAAATTGAAATATGGATGAGTTAAATTTTCAGTGCTCATCCTAAACATGGTTACATTATCAACTGAGAAACAAAATATTTTGCATACCATGTTATGCACATATAAAAAATTTTTAAAGCCCTATCAAATACTTTCAAAACAAGTGTGTTTCTTCCTCAAATTTGTAAGTTCCAGACCCCACTGGGGTTTCTATTTCTAATCCTAGAAAAAACATGCCAACAAGACTCCAGATGATAACATTTGTTTCAGGCTCTGTACTGACCCTCCCGTGTCCTGGCCTGTCCTTATTTGGAATCAACCTTCTTTCTTCTCTCCCTTATATGTATAGATTCGCAAAAAGAACTTGCTGTCAGTCTCTTTCCTTTCTACTAATTAGTCTTATTGTGAAGCATCAGTGGTTTGAGAAGAACACATTTTTTTGCTTAAGACAAGTAGCAGGTAAATTTGTCTCCTGAGATGAATATAGACTCTAAATAAACATACTGTTTCACAGACTAGTATTTTCCAAAATGTTGTGAAAGAACAGCCGAACAGCATCAAATAGACTTGTGGATCAAATATACTTCTTATATTATTTTAGAGAGCTTAAATAATCTATTTCACAAATAATGTATTCTAAGTGAACTTATTTACAACTAATCATTAACAATTCAGTCTAATATTGCTAAGTTATCATTCTGCAGGCATAGCACAATTTTCACTAGTGAGGTTTGATAACAGTTTTTCAGCATTTAATATCAAACAGTTAGGTTTTGTTCATTTAAGTAATACATAATGACCACTTAGGAACAGAAAGGAACCTGGATACTTTCTTTTAGAAAAATTATGAACCTGGACATAGCCAATTAGAAACAACATCTATCCTACATACACATTTGTACATGTGGCAAATGACAAATGTACACTACTATTCATTACACCATAGTTTGTAATAGTTGAAGATTGGAAACTAGCCATATGTCAATCTGTGTGAGATGGATAATATGAATTATGCTATATCTACATAAAGAAATGCTGTGTAGCTGTTAGAGAAAGACAGAGCTCTCTATATAACGACAGGAAAAGATCTGAGGTACAGTATTAAAGGAGGGAGACTTCACTATGTACATTTTTATTCTTGTTGGTTTCTGAACTATATGAATGTATTACTATTAACTTTTTTTTAATTTATGTTTTTTCTGTTTTGTAGAGACAAGGTCTCGCCATATTGCCTAGGCTGCTCTCGAACTTCTGGGTTTGGAGCAATCCTCCTGCCTCAGTCTCCTAAAGTGCTAGGATTACTGGTGTCAGCCACTGCACCTGGCCAACTTTTTTAAAAGAAAGAAATCTCGATAATTTTTAGAACTGAATTTGTTTCTTTTCTCCTATCTTTTGGGGTTGGTAAAAAAAAATCAATATTGACAAGATGATAGCTACAAGTACCCATGCTCTGGTTCTCCTCGTCTTGGTCAATAAAAACGTGATCCATCACAAAACTGAGGAGTTCAGATTGGAGTCCAGTATCTGGATTGAACACCAAAGGCTGAAGGCCCTCTCTGCCACCTGTCATTAATTGGTGGCTGAAAATCATCAGAAGATCACAGAGTAACATGAAAGCCTGGAATACAAAGGCAATTTATCAGCAAAATATTACACAAATATAACTACAAGTCAACATTAATGAAAATGTATGAAATTAAAACATAGTTTAATAGCAGTACCATAATATAAATTTTCAGTATTTAAATTCCAAATATTGTTATAATTTCCAAATTTAATAAAATTATTTTTTCTCACTAAACAAGTGTCATATTTAAGACTTTTCCCAAATATAACCTATTTCTTTTACTTTGCTGTATCAACTCAAAAATAGCTCATTAAGATAGTTTGACTTGAACTTTTAAAAAATGAGTTTAAGCAAGGTGTTGATTACAGGTCAAAGAACAAAATGAGTTTAACCCAACTTTGCAAATACAAAATTGATAGATTATAACAAAGATTAGAAATCAATTGTATACTGCTTAATCAAATTAGCATAAAATTTGAAACTCTAATTCAACATAGTATAATGAATATTTCTAAAAATTCTAATGTTAAAAAATGTCAGTGTACTACTGCACAGTGATGTTTCCGTCAATAATGAACTGCATATACATGATGGTGGATCCCATAAGCTTGTAATGGAGCTGAAAAATTCCTATCACCTAGTGATGTAGTAACATAACCCTGTGGTGCAACACATTACTCACGAGTTTGTTGTGATGTTGTTTGTGGTGATGCTGGTGTATTATGCTGCCAGTCGTATAACAGTATAGCATATCTAACTTGTGTATAGAACCTAATGCTTGAGGATAATGAATGACTATGTTACTGGCGTATGTATTTACTATACTATACTATACTATACTATACTATACTATACTATACTATACTAATTTCTATTCTATACTTTTAATCATGATTTTAGAGTGTACTCCTACTTATGAAAAAAATTAACTGTGAAACATCCTCAGGCAGGTCCTTCAGGAGGTACTCCAGAAGAATGCATTATTATCATAGGATACGACAGCTCCATGCAAAATACTGCCACTGAAGACGTTCCAATGAGACATGTGGGAGGTGGAAGACACTGATACTGATAATTCTGACACTTTGTAGGCCTAGGCTAATGTATGTGTTTCTTTTTTTAATTTTATTATTATATTATTATTATACTTTAAGTTTTAGGGTACATGTGCACAACGTGCAGGTTTGTTACATAGGTATACATGTGCCATGTTGGTGTGCTGCACCCATTAACTCATCATTTAGCATTAGGTGTATCTCCTAATGCTATCCCTCACCACTCCCCCCACCCCACAACAGTCCCCAGTGTGTGATGTTCCCCTTCCTGTGTCCATGTGTTCTCATTGTTCAATTCCCACCTATGAGTGAGAACACGCAGTGTTTGGTTTTTTGTCCTTGTGATAGTTTGCTGAGAGTGATGGTTTCCAGCTTCATCCATGTCCCTACAAAGGACATGAACTCATCATTTTTTATGGCTGCATAGTATTCCATGGTGTATATGTGCCACATTTTCTTAATCTGGTCTATCATTGTTGGACATTTGGGTTGGTTCCAAGTCTTTGCTATTGTGAATAGTGCCGCAATAAACATACGTGTGCGTGTGTCTTTATAGCAGCATGATTTATAATCCTTTGGGTATATACCCAGTAATGGGATGGCTGAGTCAAATGGTATGTCTAGTTCTAGATTCCTGAGGAATCGCCACACTGACTTCCACAATGGTTGAACTAGTTTATAGTCCCACCAACAATGTAAGTGTTCCTATTTCTCCACATCCTCTCCAGCACCTGTTGTTTCCTGACTTTTTAATGATCGCCATTCTAACTGGTGTGAGATGGTATCTCATTGTGGTTTTGATTTGCATTTCTCTGATGGCCAGTGATGATGAGCATTTTTTCATGTGTTTTTTGGCTGCATAAATGTCTTCTTTTGAGAAGTGCCTGTTCATATCCTTTGTCCACTTTTTGATGTGGTTGTTTTTTTCTTGTAAATCTGTCTGAGTTCATTGTAGATTCTGGATATTAGCCCTTTGTCAGATAAGTAGGTTGCAAAAATTTTCTCCCATTCTGTAGGTTGCCTGTTCACTCTGATGGTAGTTTCTTTTGCTGTGCAGAAGCTCTTTAGTTTAATTAGATCCCATTTGTCAATTTTGGCTTTTGTTGCCATTGCTTTTGGTGTTTTAGACATGAAGTCCTTGCCTGTGCCTATGTCCTGAATGGTAATGCCTAGGTTTTCTTCTAGGGTTTTTATGGTTTTAGGTCTGACATGTAAGTCTTTAATCCATCTTGAATTAATATTTGTATAAGGTGTGAGGAAGGGATCTGGTTTCAGCTTTCTACATATGGCTAGCCAGTTTTCCCAGCACCATTTATTAAATAGGGAATCCTTTCCACATTGCTTGTTTTTCTCAGGTTTGTCAAAGATCAGATAGTTGTAGATATGCGGCATTATTTCTGAGGGCTCTGTTCTGTTCCATTGGTCTATATCTCTGTTTTGGTACCAGTACCATGCTGTTTTGGTTACTGTAGCCTTGTAGTATAGTTTGAAGTCAGGTAGCATGATGCCTCCAGCTTTGTTCTTTTGGCTTAGGATTGACTTGGCAATACAGGCTCTTTTTTGGTTCCATGTGAACTTTAAAGTAGTTTTTTCCAATTCTGTGAAGAAAGTCATTGGTAGCTTGATGGGGATGGCATTCAATCTATAAATTACCCTGGGCAGTACGGCCATTTTCACGATATTGATTCTTCCTACCCATGAGCATGGAATGTTCTTCCACTTGTTTGTATCCTCTTTTATTTCATTGAGCAGTGGTTTGTAGTTCTCCTTGAAGAGGTCCTTCACATCCCTTGTGAGTTGGATTCCTAGGTATTTTATTCTCTTTGAAGCAATTGTGAATGGGAGTTCACTCATGATTTGGCTGTCTGTTATTGGTGTATAAGAATGCTTGTGATGTTTGCACATTGATTTTGTATCCTGAGACTTTGCTGAAGCTGCTTATCAGCTTAAGGAGATTTTGGGCTGAGACGATGGGGTTTTCTAAATATACAATCATGTCATCTGCAAACAGGGACAATTTGACTTCCTCTTTTCCTAACTGAATGCCCTTTATTTCCTTCTCCTGCCTGACTGCCCGGACCAGAACTTCCAACACTATACTGAATAGGAGTGGTGAGAGAGGGCATCCCTGTCTTGTGCCAGTTTTCAAAGGGAATGCTTCCAGTTTTTGTCCATCCAGTATGATATTGACTGTGGGTTTGTCATAGATAGCTCTTATTATTTTGAGACACGTCCCATCAATACCTAATTTATTGAGAGTTTTTAGTATGAAGGTTGTTGAATTTTGTCAAAGGCCTTTAATGCATCTATTGAGATAATCATGTCGTTTTTGTCTTTGGTTCTGTTTATATGCTGGATTACGTTTATTGATTTTCCTATGTTGAACCAGCCTTGCATCCCAGGAATGAAGCCCACTTGATCATGGTGGATAAGCTTTTTGATGTGCTGCTGGATTCAGTTTTCCAGTATTTTATTGAGCATTTTTGCATCAATGTTCATCAGGGATATTGGTCTAAAATTCTCTTTTTTTGTTGTGTCTCCGCCAGGCTTTGGTATCAGGATGCTGCTGGCCTCATAAAATGAGTTAGGGAGGATTCCCTCTTTTTCTATTGATTGGAATAGTTTCAGAAGGAATGGTACCAGCTCCTCCTTGTACCTCTGGTAGAATTCGGCTGTGAATCCATCTGGTCCTGGACTTTTTTTGGTTGGTAAGCTATTAATTATTGCCTCAATTTCAGAGCCTGTTATTGGTCTATTCAGAGATTCAACTTCTTCTTGGTTTAGTGTTGGGAGGGTGTATGTGTCGAGGAATTTATCCATTTCTTCTAGATTTTCTAGTTTATTTGCATAGAGGTGTTTATAGTATTCTCTAATGGTAGTTTGTATTTCTGTAGGATCGGTGGTGATATCCCCTTTGTCATTTTTTATTGCGTCTATTTGATTCTTCTCTCTTTTCTTCTTTATTAGTCTTGCTAGTGGTCTATCAATTTTGTTGATTTTTTCAAAAAACCAGCTCCTGGATTCATTGATTTTTTGAAGGGTTTTTTGTGTCTCTATTTCCTTCAGTTCTGCTCTGATCTTAGTTATTTCTTGCCGTCTGCTAGCTTTTGAATGTGCTTGCTCTTGTTTCTCTAGTTCTTTTAATTGTGATGTTACGGTGTCAATTTTAGATCTTTCCGGCTTTCTCTTGTGGGCATTTAGGGCTATAAATTTCCCTCTACACACTGCTTTGAATGTGTCCCAGAGATTCTGGTATGTTGTGTCTTTGTTCTCGTTGGTTTCAAAGAACATCTTTATTTCTGCCTTCATTTCATTATGTACCCAGTAGTCATTCAGGAGCAGGTTGTTCGGTTTCCATGCAGTTGAGCGGTTTTGAGTGAGTTTCTTAATCCTGAGTTCTAGTTTGATTGCACTGTGGTCTGAGAGACAGTTTGTTATAATTTCTGTTCTTTTACATTTGCTGAGGATTGCTTTACTTCCAACTATGTGGTCAATTTTGGAATAGGTGTGGTGCTGAAAAGAATGTATATTCTGTTGATTTGGGGTGGAGAGTTCTGTAGATGTTTATTAGGTCTGCTTGGTGCAGAGTTGAGTTCAATTCCTGGATATCCTTTTTAACTTTCTGTCTTGATCTGTCTAATATTGACAGTGGGGTGTTAAAGTCTCCCATTATTATTGTGTGGGAGTCTAAGTCTCTTTGTAGGTCACTAAGGACTTGCTTTATGAATCTGGGTGCTCCTGTGTTGGGTGCATATATATTTAGGATACTTAGCTCTTCTTGTTGAATTGATCCCTTTACCATTATGTAATGGCCTTCTTTGTCCCTTTTGATCTTTGTTGGTTTAAAGTCTGTTTCATCCGAGACTAGGATTGCAACCCCTGCCTTTTTTTGTTTTCCATTTGCTTGGTAGATCTTCCTCCATCCCTTAATTTTGAGCCTATGTGTGTGCCTGCATGTGAGATGGGTTTCCTGGATACAGCACACTGTATTTATTCAAAAATAAATAGAAAAAAGCTTCTAGAATAAAGATATAAGAAAAAAATATTTTGGCCAGGCACGGTGGCTCACAGTTGTAATCCTAGCATTTTGGGAGGCCAAGGTGGGAGGATCACCTGAGGTTGGGAATTCGAGACCAGCCTGACCAACATGGAGAAATCCCATCTCTACTAAAAATACAAAATTAGCCAGGTGTGGTGGTGCACGCCTGTAATTCCAGCTACTAGGGAGGCTGAGGCAGGAGAATTGCTTGAACCTGGGAGGTGGAGGTTGGGGTGACCCGAGAATGTGCCACTGCACTCCAGCCTGGGCAACAAGAGCAAAACTCCGTCTCAAAAAAAAAAAATTTTTTTTTTTGTACAGCTGTTTAATGTGTTTGTGTGTTAGGTATTATTACAAAAGAGTTTAAAAGTTAAAAAAATTAAAAAGTTTACAAAGAAAAAGAATTATAGTATGATAAGGTTAATTTATTATTGAAGAAAGAAAAACATTTTAATTAATTTAGTATAGTCTAAGTGTATGGTACATATAGAGTCTACAGTGATGTATAGTAATGTCTTAGGCCTTCCTATTCACTCACCAATCACTCATTCACTCACTCAGAGCTACTTCCATTCTTATGGTAAGTATACCATTTTTAAATCTTTTATACTGTATTTTAGATATGTTTAGATATATAAATACCAGTTGTATTATAATTATCTATACTACTCAGTATAGTATTATACAGTACAGGATCATAGCCTAAGAGGAATAGGCCATACCATAGAGCATAGGCATGTGGTAGGCAATACCATTTGTTTGTGTAAATATACTCTTATGATGGTCATACAATGATGAAATTGCCTAACAACACATTTCTCACAATGTATCCTTGTTGTTAAGTGGTGCATGACTGTATTAGAAAACCATTCATATAAAAACCAGTATCTAATAAAGCCTCCAAACAAATTTAATTATATAGAGACTTTGAATACATTTGTACACATTATAGGTATGCTGCCAAATTTGCCCTATTTAATGGATTGAGTGAAATAAATGGGTCTGATCAGTTTATTACAATAGAAAGATTTTGTTGTGGGATAATTGAGGGCTCTGAAACTTCCAAACAATCCACTAACACTGCCCCCTCCAAAGTTGACTTCTATGGGAAAACATAATTTTGGCATTTAGTTTGGGATAACTGTATATCTGGTTGTCCAACTGCAGCAAGAGTCTTGGCAGTTTATGCCCTGACAGCACAACCATGAAATATACTCAGGTATTTAGAAAGAGCCATTTGAAAAAAAGGCAGCATACAGAGAATCCACAGGGAATACTTTTTAACCAGCAGGCCATAGTTTTGGACATCACCAAGCAGGTCTGATGCAGAAACACTGGATTTGGGGTTTAAATGGCAGAGCTGGGCCAGGTGCAGTGGCTCACACCTGTAATCCCAGTACTTTGGGAGGCTGAGGCAGGCAGATCATGAGGTCAGGAGTTTGAGACCAGCCTGGCCAACACAGTGAAACCCATATCTACTAAAAATACAAAAAAATTAGCCAGGCGTAGTGGTGGGCACCTGTAATCCCAGATACTTGGGAGGCTGAGACAGGGAATTGCTTGAACTCAGGAGGTGGAGGTTGCAGTGAGCCGAGATCACGCCACTGCACACCAGCCCGGGCAACAGTGGGAGACTCCGTCTCAAAATAAATAAATAAATAAATAAATAAATAAATAAATAAATAATTAACAAAATAAAATAAAATAAAATAAAATAAAATAAAACAAAATAAAATAAATGGCAGAGCTGGGTATTTCTCCATAAGTAGTGTTCTGAAGATTTAAAGAATAAGGTTTAGGGAAGACCATCTCTGTTTCCATTTTAAGTTAAATGCTGATAACTCAATAAAGATACTTGTCACTATTTATAAGAGACAGCAAAGGATAAGTAATACTGTACTCTTTCACCAAACGACTCTAGCCCAATATCAAAATAAGAAATAGTATGGAAAATATACATTTTGTTTTACACAAATGTACTCCCCAATACAACAGTCTATTTTAAAAAATAGTTTACAAAATCATATCATGGAAACAGTACTTCCCTGGCCCACCCTGACCCCCACCCTGACCCTCTTTGGGCTGTGCCCCTCTACAAGAGATGAGGAATCTATCAGACCAATGGGATATGCCCACCTGCTTACCAAACCCCACTTCTACACCATTGTCCAAGTATAGGGACTCAGAAACTCCTTGCCCTACAGTCCTGATCCTGTTGTCTGAGCCTGCAAAGGCCTCTTCTCTAGGCATACTGCATACCCAATGTACATATTACTAGGCCCCTGGGTGGTGAATGGGCAGCTGTTTGGGCGGGTGGTATTGACAAGAGTTTCAAGATGTGGGGCTAAAGTGTTGGCATGCATGTGTGAGAAACTTAACTGGTGTGGGAAGGAGCTGAAGGTAAGATGATAAAAGGGTATGTCATATGTCAGCTCCCCAGACCCTCAATATTCTGGTGTAGAATTCTTTTTTTTAATCTTTTTTGAGAGAGTTTTGCTCTTTCTGCCCAGGCTGGAGTGCAATGGCGCGATCTTGGCTCACTGCAACCTCTGTCTCCCGGGTTCATGCGATTCTCCTGCCTCAGTCTCCCAAGTAGCTGGGATTACAGGCGCCTGCCACCATGCCCGGCTAATTTTTTTTTGTATTTTTAGTACAGACGGGGTTGACAGTCTCGATCTCTTGACCTTGTGATCTGCCCACCTCGGCCTCCCAAAGTGCTGGGATTACAGGCGTGAGCCACTGCGCCCGGCCATTCTGGTGTCAATTCTTAGGAGTCAAAAAGTCTACATTTCGGCCGGGCACGGTGGCTCACGCCTGTAATCTCAGCACTTTGGGAGGCTGAGGCGGGCTGATCACGAGGTCAGGAGATCGAGACCATGGTGAAACCCCGTCTCTACTAAAAATACAAAAAATTAGCTGGGCGCAGTGGCGGGTGCCTGTAGTCCCAGCTACTCGGGAGGCTGAGGCAGGAGAATGGCGTGAACCCGGGAGGCGGAGCTTGCAGTGAGCCGAGATTGCGCCACTGCACTCCAGCCTGGGCGACAGAGCGAGACTCTGTCTCAAAAAAAAAAAAAAAAAAAGTCTACATTTCAACCTGCCCTTCCAGCTGATGACAGTATACTTGTGAAAGTAAAAGGAAAGAATGTATATTATATAATAAGTTTGTTAGCTTGCTTTATAACATAAATTCACACATCTACAGTCTTGTTCCAGGTCCAGTAAATGTTAGGAATGAACATGTGTACAAAAACTGCCATAAAAAATTGTATCTTCTTAATGTTCATTAATGTATTTGAGTTGATTTTATTGAGAGCTCTTACTGATAATTTCTTACCTGTTCTTTCACTGGAGTATTAACATTAGACAGGCACTGCTGGCAAACAGCCAAAAAGGATTTCACCGTTTTCCTCAATACCAACAAATCCTCCTGTAAGACACATTCAAATTTGCAAGCGTGAATTACAGGATCACAGAAAACTGATCTAGAAGAAACAGTAAGTGGAAAATAGCAAAACTGGTTTATTCTCAAGGAAATTCATATAACCAAATTTAATGTTGGGAACCATTTAATGTAGTCATTTCTTAGTTATCTGTCCTAATAGAAGGGGTAGTGACACTGACACTCTAAAACAGTTATAGTTAGCTATGGAATACTCAGTATGATTGTTTTCAACAGATTTCCTTTATAAATATGGTTTATTTAGGTTGATTAAAATTGCTAGTCATTCCTGTGACACACATTACTGCTAGTAAAGTGAGGCAGCAGAGCAGCACACTGAAAAAACTCAATTAGGCAACAAATGTGTACTGAATTTATCTTATATCTCAGCACTCTGCAAAATGTCAGGGGAAGAAAGATAAATTTAAGACAGTGCCATGCCCTCAAATAGTTAACATTCTAGCAGACAGGCCAATTACGGAGATGAAGTGTTCAGTTATTGTATTAACTCTTAACTGCAGCAAAGTTGGAGAAATCTTCATAGGAGGATGGGCTTTAATCTAAGGTTGGATGGGTAAATAGATTTAATTAGATGGCCAGATAAGATTCCATAAGGAACATTTGAAAAGTCCAAAAGGAAATTTCAAGTTGAGTGCAGTGGCTCATGCCTGCAATCCCAGTGCTTTGGGAGGCCCAGGTTTGAGAGGATTGCTTGAATCCAAGAGTTGGAGACCAGCGTGGGCAACACAGAAAATTAGCCGCGCATGGTGGAGCATGCCTGTAGTCCGAGTTACTGGGGATGCTGAGGCAGGAAGATCACTTGAGCCCATGGGATCAAGGCTGAAGTGAGACATAATTGTGCCACTGCATTCCAGCCTGGGTGACAGAGCAAGACCCTGGCTTAAAATATTTTAAATTTATCGAGTGCTTACAACCCACCAGGCACTGGTTTAAGGGCTTACTATTATATAGTTTAACATTTACATTGATCCTAAGAAACAGTAATTATTAGCGAGGGGTTGAAACTAGGACTATCTGATATAAGAGCTCATATTCTTCTCACTGACTAATGAGTAAGACACATGCAGATACCAACATTTAAAACAGTAATGCAGACTAATTACCTGAGCAAAGGCTAATATAGAAACACTTAAAAAGTACTCAACTAAAACTCTTTAAGCCACTCTATTTTATACAGATGACAGCACTTAGTCTTTTTGGGGATCTTTACATCCCAAATAATGATACTTCAAAAATTACACACATATTTTCTTTTGCTAACATGAGTATAGTATGTGGAAGAAGGAGCGAGTTCATCTTGTGGAGAGAAGTAAAAAGGACACCCTCTTGAGAACTTTTCATGTTTCTGCAGATAAATATCTAATAACTAAACTTCAACATTCCTGAAACTTTAATTTTAAACATTCAAAATACACTGAGGGAAACAGATAAGAGAACAGGCAACTGCAATATAGTGTAAGGAGTGCTATGGTAGGAGAAAACATGGGCCCCATGTTGGAAAATCTTAACTCAGAGTCAAAAGTAGTCATGGAAGAGTTCCCAAAGAAGATAACATGTAAGCTGAGTCCTGAAGGAGAAAAATAATCTAGCTACAGAAAAAGGTATTCCAGTTAAGGCACAGATATTCAAAAAAGCAGAGGTGGCTGGGTGCGGTGGCTCACGCCTGTAATCCCAGCACTTTGGGAGGCTGAGACGGCCAGATCACCTGAGGTCAGGAGTTCGAGACCAGCCTGGCCAACATGATGAAACCCCGTCTCTATTAAAAATAGAAAAATTAGCCGCGTGTGGTGGTGCATGCCTGTAATCCCAGCTACTCGGGAGGCTGAGGCAGGAGAATGGCTTGAATCTGGGAGGCAGAGGTTGCAGTGAGCCGAGACTGCGCCACTGCACCCCAGCCCGGTCAATAGAGCAAGACTCTATCTCAACAACAACAAAAAAGTGCAGAGGTGCTTTTGAGGAACTGTTAATTTATTGTAGCTGGGGTATAAATAGGGAAGACAGCAGCAAGAAAAAAAGCTAAAGAAGAATAAAACCATTTGCATTTACATAGAAGACCATTTAAAATATCACGTTAAATCATTTGAATATTGTCCTGCTGGCAATGAGGAACTACTGAAGAAGGATTTTTAGCATAAGAGTGCTAAAATTTTGTGTAAATGAATCATATTCTAAACACAATGGAGAATGATGTGGAATAGGCCAGTTAGAGTAGTCACATCTTTCGTTGAGAGCTGATATGTACCACATACTGTGTTCCCAGAACTATAAATTTACATTTCACCATCACCCTACAAAGTAAATGGTAATATTCCTATTTTACAGACAAGAAAACTGATACTCACAGCACCCATAGATGCTAAGTGACAGAGCAAGGATTCAAACGTGGGGCTGTCTGACTCTAAAGTCCATGTTCTTAATCATTACTGTGTATTTTATTGCATATTAACAAAGGCCATAGGATTTTTTTTTTTTTTGAGACGGAGTCTCACTCTGTCACCCAGGCTGGAGTGCAGTGGTGCGATCTTGGCCCACTGCAGCCTCTGTCTCCCGGGTTCAAGCAATTCTGCTGCCTCAGCCTCCTGAGTAGCTGGGACTACAGGTGTGTGCTGCCATACCTGGCTAATTTTTGTATTTTTAGTAGATACGGGTTTTCACCATGTTGGCCAAGATGGTCTTGATCTCCTGACCTCGTGATCCGCCAGTCTCAGCCTCACTAAGTGCTAGGATTACAGGCGTGAGCCACCGTGCCCAGCCAGGGATAATTTAGAATGAGGGCCTGAAAATAATATATTGGCTCTAAAGATATGGATAGATGAAAGATAAAGCAGTAGAACTGATAGAATTTAGGGAGCAATCGGGTAGAGCCTGTTGATGATTACTCCTTAATTTCTAGGGAGCTGCCTACTAGAGGAATTGTGGTATTAAGTCATCAAGATAAAAAACACAGGAACAGGCCAGGCATGATGGCTCACGCCTGTAATCCGAGCACTTTGGGAGGCTGAGGTTGGCGGATCATCTGAGGTCAGGAGTTCAAGACCAGCCTGGGCAACATGATGAAATCCAGTCTCTACTAAAAATACAAAAATGAGCCGGGCGTGGTGGTGGGTGCCTGTAATCCCAACTACTCAGGAAGCTGAGGCAAGAGAATCGCTTGAACCCAGGAGGTGGAGGTTGCAGTGAGCTGAGATTGATTGTGCCACTGCACTCCAGCCTGGGAGACAGAGTAAGACCCTGTCTCGAAAAAAAAAAAAGAAAAAAAAAAAAAAAGAAACATAGGAACAAATGCAGTTAGTAATAGTTAAATTTTAGAGATGATGATTTTGAGATCCCTAATAGATATCTTGAAGATGTCTAGTAGGCAGCTGCGTATGTGAGTTCAAAGCCTAAGAGAAAGAAGTAAACAAGGATTTGGGAGTCTTCAGCATTTAGATAGCAACAGATGTGTCAGAAGTGGATGAGACTGCTCAAGGAGAATACACAGAGAAAGGTGACAGCAAGTATCCTGGGAAATACCAATATTTGAAAGATGAATGACAAAGAAGAGCTTATGAAGAAATCTAAGAAATTATTTGAGAAGTAGAAATAAAACCAGGGGAATATGATATCCCGGAGGTAAGAAAACATTAAAAAAATGAATAATTAACAATGACAAATGCCACAGAGAGATTAGAGATAAGTATTAAAAGTGCCAGGGATATAGCAATTATGAAGCTGTGGGTAACCTTGGGGAGAGCACTTTCAATGGAGTTATGAGTGCTGAATCAGACTGCAGTAAGCTGAAAGGAAGATAAGGAAGAAGTCAACTCTTTCAAAAAAGTATGATTATAAAGAGTCAGTGAAAAATAGGATGGGGCTGATAGAAGTCTTTTAAGGTTGATGGATTTTTTTTTGGTCATTCTTGACCTTTTTAATAGAAAAGATGTGAGAATGTTTGCTGAATGAAAAGTAACTAAAAGAACAAAAAGCAAGCAATGCTATTAACTAGCTATATGATCTCAGAAAAATTATTTTACATCTCAGGATTAAAGATTTTTAAAATCTATAAACAAGAGAGTTGAACTAGGTATTCTAAGGTTCTATGTTACTCTGATTCTGCTAAATTAACTCTATGAAACTCAAATGAGAACAGATAGCTGTCAACTTGTAAACCTTCCAGTATTCAAAGGAACACTGTTCCACTGTTAGTACCTAAAATAGTGCTTTGCATATAGTAGATATTTAATAAATAGTTACTCAATGAAATGTTGGTATACTTAATATGGATGTTTACCACAATCCTGGGGGCAACTTATAATGTGTTAATTTCATCAAACAATAAATAATTATTGGGTTTTTAAGAAATGATGCTAGGAGTTACTAATGTTCCTTTACTCCCTCAGATTTCTTGATTAGTATGTAAGAAAGTCTAGGGAATCAGCCATCTTAGGAGTTGGAGGCAAAGGATTCCTTTATAAAGGCTGAACACAAAGCAAATGTGTCTTATGTAAAATGATTACTTCCCAAAACATCTAAAGAGTAGTACATTTAATACCACAAATAAGTAAGCAATCAACTGATGAACTAATTAACAGTAGTATTTTAAGAGACACTGGAAATGTGAAACAACCAAGGCTTTCTTTTTTTTTTTTTTTTTTGAGACAGAGTTTTGCTTTTATCGCCCAGGCTGGAGTGCAGTGGCGCTATCTCGGCTCATTGCAACCTCTGCCTCCTGGGTTCAAGCGATTCTCCTACCTCAGCCTCCCAAAAAGCTGGGATTACAGGTGCCCACTGCCACGCCCAGCTACTATTTTTTTTCTTGTATTTTTAGTAGAGACAGGGTTTCGCCATGTTGACCAGGCTGGTCTCGAACTCCTGACCTTAGGTGATCTACCCGTCTTGGCCTCCCAAAGTGCTGGGATTAGAGGCATGAGCCACCACGCCTGGCCAGGCTTTCTTTATTGTTATTATTTTTTCCCAATGGGGATGGACTAAAGACCTTCTTTAGCAATAAAGTTTGGCCTAGATTTGGATGCAAACTAAATATTATTTGAGTGCTCAAGAAAGTTAATTTAATTGTAACTATATTCCACTGAGAGAATTATACATACTGACAGATTTGGGTAAATAAGCACAGATATTGTATACTTAACAAAGTTAGTTAATCTCTTATAGTAAATCCTTTGAACAGTTGGGAAGATAATTTAGGTTCCTGAAAATTTCAGAACTCAGTGCTTTTATTCATCCACTTCATGATGTTGGCCTGTTACTATACTTCATTTCATTTAAGTAGTGGGAATTATGATTCCCAAGACTGTGATTTTGCTCAAGTTGAGGAAGGCTGCCATTACTGGGTCATGTGATAGTAAGTATCTATACATTTTCAGGGTGTTACATCAAGATTTTGAAATTAGTTCAGGATTTGCCAATTTAAGACTCCAATAGTAAGAAAACAAAGAAGTCTCATAGAGTTAGCTTTACTCTTAATGCCCCTTAAAGAACAATAGATAATATTCAAGAGAAAAAGAAAAAGAAATATAAAAAGATTTGGAATAGGGCAAATTATAAGAGCTTGCTCTAAATAGGTGAAAATTAGCACACTTACTATGAATTCTTTTAAAATATATCACTGACTGCTTTTTAATTTGAAAAAAGTTACATTCCTCATATTATGGATACTGTCACTTCTCATCTGCTATAATAGCTGTAATTCATTATGAAAAAAAGTAAATATGCTTAACTTACTTCATTTTATCTGGGCCAGAATACAATAATAATAAAAGTTAACATTTATCCACACTTACTACTTGCCAGGCACTAATCTAAATTTTTCACAGATTAACAACTGATCCTTACAACTGTGATAGGTATTGGTATTATCACCCCCACTTTATGTATAAAGAAACAGGCACGGCCAGGCGCGGTGGCTCACGCCTGTAATCCCAGCACTTTGGGAGGCCGAGGTGGGCGGATCACGAGGTCAGGAGATCGAGACCATCCTGGCCAACACGGTGAAACCCCGTCTCTACTAAAAATACAAAAAATTAGCTGAGCGTGGTGGCAGGCGCCTGTAGTCCTAGCTACTCGGGAGGCTGAGGCAGGAGAATGGCATGAACCTAGGAGGCAGAGCTTGCAGTGAGCCGAGATCGCACCACTGCACTCCAGCCTGGGCAACAGTGCAAGACTCCGTCTCAAAAAAAAAAAAAAAAAAAGAAACAGAAACAGTCACAGAGATGTTAAGCAACAGGCCCAAAGACACAGAGCCATTAAGTAGCAAAGTGAAATAACAAAAGCAGTCTGCCTCCAGACTGTGGTCTTAACCAGTATGCTATAATGACTCTTTAATATGATAAAATTAATATGTGGCAACTTGCAGAGACAGGCAGCATTATGAAAGTAAGAAATTTGGCTGGGTGTGGTGGCTCATGCCTGTAATCTTAGCACTTTGGGAGGCTGAGGTGAGTGGATCACCTGAGGTCAGGAGCTCGAGACCAGCCTGGCCAACATGGCAAAACCCCATCTCTACTAAAAATACAAAAACTGCCGGGTGTGGTGGCACATGTCTGTAGTCCTAGCTACTCCAGAGGCTGAGACAGGAGAACTGCTTGAACCTTGGAGGTGTAGGTTACAGAGAGCAAAGACTGCACCATTGCACTCCAGCCTCGGCAACAGAGCAAGACTCCGTCTCAAAAAGAAGAAGAAAAAAAAAAAAAAAAGAAATTTGAGGCCAGTCGTGGTGGCTCACACCTGTAATCTTAGCACTTTGGGAGGCCAAGGTGGGTGGATCACTTGAGGTCAAGAGTTTGATACCAGCCTGGCCAAACAGGTGAAACCCCATCTCTACCAAAAATACAAAAAATTAGCCAGACGTGATGGCATACGCCTTTAGTCCCATACTCTGGAGGCTGAGGCAGAAGGATCACTTGAGCCTGGGAGGCGGAGGTTGCAGTAAGCTGAGATTACGCCACTGCACTCTAGCCTGGGCAACAGAGTGAGACTCCATTTCAAGAAAAAAAAAAAAAAGTAAGTAAGAAATTTGAAAGTTGAATTACTCAAATATATTTATATATAAACAAAAAAGCCAGTTAACTCACTAGACACTGAAAAAGAATAATACAAGAACAAGATATGCTGATTATACAGACTGTCATTTTAAGAAACTAGAATACATTGGAATTTTACTTCCACAAATCCCCTTTCTAGTCAGATTACCTGGATTACAGGAGTGGGAACTGAAGCTAATGGGTGAATACAGAAGAGTAATCTATGCTACTTTATCTACTTCTCTTAGTTCATATAAAATGTCCTTATATTGATGCTTCCTTTCAAATTTTCTTTTTCCTAAATGAAACCAATATTTTATCTTATTTTTAGAAAGCAGCATGGCATCAAAAGCACTTTTTCTGGCTGGGTGGGGCAATTCACACCTATAATCCCAGTACTTTGGGAGGGGGAGGCAGGAGGAACGCTTGAGGCCAGGAGATCAAGATCAGCCTGGGCAACAAAACAAGACCTGTCTCTACAATATATCAGCCAGGTGTGGTGACATGCACCTATAGTCCCAGCTACTCAGGAGGCTGAGGCGGGAGGATCTCTTGAGCCTGGGAGATTGAGGCTGCAGTGAGCCATGACCGTGCCACTGCACTCTGGCCTGAGCAATAGAGTGAGACCCTGTCTCTACAGAAAACCAACTTTTTCCTAGAGTACCTGCAGAAAGGAATTCAGATGGCTCGAGTAGTAAGATCACACTGAGATGTAAATCATAGTATCTTGGTTATATTTTGTATCCATTTTGCAAGTAGCTTTATTAGATTGGCTAAGGTTTTTGCTTCCTGGTAGATCTAGTGAAACCGAGAATTAGAAGACTGAAACCTACATATACCCATATATAAAAGGGCTAAAATAGTTTCAGTTTATCAGTGATCTACTAACCAAGATAAGAGGAGAAACCTCTTAAAGAGACAGGGTCTCACTATGTCTCCCAGGCTGGAGTGCAGTGGCACAATCATAGCTCAATGCAGCCTTGAACTCCTGGGCTCAAGTGATCCTCTTGTCTCAGCCTCCCAAGGGGCTGGGAATATAGATGTGTGCTACCACACCTGGGCTAATTTTATATTTTTTGTAGAGACAAGGTCTTGATATGTTGCTCAGGCTGACTTTGAACTCCTGGGCTCAAACAATCCTCCCGCCTCAGCCTCTCAAAGCGCTGGGCTTACGGGCATTAGCCACCATGCTTAGCCAAGAAGAGAAACCTCTTTCAACAAATTAAGTTGACGTTTTTAAAATACAGTCTTGGCCGGGCGCAGTGGCTCATGCCTGTAATCCCAGCACTTTGGGAGGCCGAGGCAGGCGGATCACAAGGTCAGGAGTTTGAGACCAGCCTGGACAATATGGTGAAACACCGTCTCTACTAAAAATACAAAAAAAATTAGCTGGGCATGGTGGTGCACGCCTGTAATCCCAGCTACTCAGGAGGCTGAGGCAGGAGAATTGCTTGAACCCAGGAGGCGGAGGTTGTGGTGAGCCGAGATCGTGCCATTGCACTCCAGCCTGGGCAACAGAGTGAGACTCTGTCGCAAAAATAAATAAATAAAAATAAAATAAAAGTCTTGTCAGCAAGATATCAACAATGAAGAACCCCAAATATGGAAGGCACAATTAAGATGGTGAATTTATCATATAAGCTATATTAGAAAGAAGCTTTCCTAAAGGCACAAAGGCTCAAATTTGACATCTTAGGAAGAAAAAAGATCTTTAAATGTAGACTGACCCATAACAGCAAACTGTATGATTACAGTCAGTGAGGAAAGGTAAGGGAGTTTAATACCTATACACACAAAAACAGAAGTATATAGATTTTAAATGTGTGATTCCTTTTAATTTTCTTCCACAATAGTAGCAAGCACTACAGGCACACACCACTACACCTAGCTAATTTTTTTTTTGGTATTTTTTTGTAGAGACCAGGTACCACCATGTTGCCCAGGCTTTGTTCCAAAATTTTACATGGCTAGCGGAGGACCAAATTTAGTTGCGTTTTCATCCATAACTATGAAATACGGTTAACATAATCACAGTCAGAAAATGAAGCCATGGAAAAACTAATTAGTAAACACATAAAACTTTAGCTCAACATTATCTGACAAATATAGATTTTTGGAATGGGCAGAAATAAACAGTAAAGTAGCAAAACAAGGACCTAGACCAGATAAAAATTCTCAGAATACAAAAATAAAGCCTGCTAAAAATTTAGTGATCAATTTTCATGATGAAAAGGCAGCACAAAACTAAACTGCTTACCCAGAATAGGCAAATACGTTTTTCTAACTGACAAAGTTTGGTACACAAGGCAAAGAAGTTAACTTATTAGGCCACTGGTTGGCAAACTTTTTGTGTTAAGGATCAGATAGTAAATATTTTAGGCTTTGCAGTCCATATGGTCTGGATCCAACTACTTAACTGTCAGTGTAGCATGAAATAGTCCTAGATAGTACTTAAATGAATGAGCATGGTTGTGTTCCAATAAAACATCATTTACAAAAACACATCAGGTCAGATTTGGCCCATGGTCTGAAGTCTGCTGAGCCTGTTCTGAGCTATAAAGATCTTTGGAGACAAACTGTATTATGTTTTTTTGTACCTACCACAGTGACTAATATATAACAAGGCTCATTAAATTACTTTTCACCTGAAGTAAGTCATTATCCATACTATATATAAAACAGAACTAAATTCATTCACTTGGAACAAGTGACAAAAAGAACAAGACACAAAAGGCCCCACCATTGTAGAAGGGTAAACACTATGCTGTATTTCTGAGATTGTTTTCTTCTAAGAGTAATTGCTACTGGCAACTTTCTTCAGAGGGATAGGGGGAGAGTGTGCAACTTTTGTGAATATATAATAAAACGACTATTTGATATTTAAACCCCAAATGTAATACCTAGTTTTCAGTGTTGTTGCTGCTCTTGGCGATCTGAATCCCCACCTGCTGACTCCTGCCATTGCCTCAAAGGCTAATCCACTTATGATCCAGGAACCCTTAAGCTGCCTACTGTAGTTCCAAAACATCTTCTGATTTCTTTCCTGTAGTATACAAAGATGAAGGAAGCTAAAGAAGGAGTCAGAGGAACAGGGGAAAAGCAGTGACTGTTAGGACCAAAGTGAGAGACTTGAATTCCCAAATTATCCCAAAAATTCAGATGGAGGACTAAATCTATCACGCTGTATCCCAAACCTACACTACCCATTAAGTATGTTTATGTATGCCCATGGCCTCAGGCAATAGTTCAATAGTTCATTTTGGTTTGAGCAGGGGAGAAGACTACAAAAACAAAGATTAGGACTGCGACTTAGTGCCAACAAAATAACATTTACTGTTAATTCAAACACTTCTTTCAATTTCATCTTCTCAACAAACCTATCCAGCAGTGAGTATCATTCTCATTTTATATATCAGGAAAGTGAAGCTCAAGGTGAAGTACCTTGCTTATCTTGCCACAGGTGGTAAGAAGTGGAGTAAAAATTCAAACTCAATTTTAACTCCAAAGACCATGTTCCAACACACACACAAAATGCTGGAAACAGAAGAACTGGGAGCTGCTTTTTTGTTTGTTTGTTTTTTTGAGATGGAGTCTCGCTCTGTTGCCCAGGCTGGAGTGCAGTGGTGCGATCTTGGCTCACTGCAACCTCCGCCTCCTGGGTTCAAGCGATTCTGTTGCCTCAGCCTCCTGAGTAGCTGGGATTACAGGCACACACCACCACGCCCAGCTAATTTTTATATTTTTAGTGGAGACAGGGTTTCACCATGTTGGTCAGGCTCATCTCGAACTCCTGGCCTCCAGATCCGCCCACCTCAGCCTCCCAAAGTGCTGAAATTACAGGCATCAGCCACCGCACCTGGCAGGGAGCTACTTACATAGATAAATTGTGTAAGCAACAAGAAGTCATTTAACAAACAACTAGTAACTGTTACTTATTAGGAAAAACAATTTTTAATGAAAAACCTACTGTAGTAAGGAAAATGATTACTGTACCACTTAGGGGATATTAAGCAGGATAAGATACCCATTTCTTTTTTACTCAAATAAATAACCTGACAGGAAAGGAAACTTCTTTTATCATTAATTTTGGTGGAGGAAATCTCAAATCTCTGTACTAGAAAGTGTTATGTTTTGTCTAAATATTCTTTTTTTATATATAATAAGTTTAAAAAATAGAGATGGGATCTCACTATGTTGGCCAAGTTGGTCTTGAACTCCTGGCCTCAACCAATCCTCCTGCCTCGGCCTCCCAAAGTGTCTAAATATTCTTAATATTGTTTTAGGCTTCTGATAAGCTTAGTGAAAACATATTTTTACAATGTAATACTTGTTACTTAGAATTAATTATCTTGGTCCTGCCTTGTTACTTAGATCATGAAGTATTAAATGTCTTAAGAAGTTTGGATATTTGTAAACGAGGCAACTGTCTCTTAATAAGTAAAAACAGCATTCACTGGGGACAGGCTAGTGAGGCTGAGAAGGCCTTATGCTTTATTTACTTATTTGCTTATTTAATTTTTTTTGAGACTGAGTCTCACTCTGTCACGCAGGGTGGAGTGCAGTGGTGTGATCTCCGCCTCCCAGTTCAAGCAATTCTTCTGTCTCAGCCTCCTGAGTAGCTGGGACTACAGGCGCACACCACCACACTTGGCTAATTTTTTTGTATTTTTAGTAGAGACGGGGTTTCACCATATTGGTCAGGCTGGATTTATTTATTTTTATCATTCTTTTCTGAGATGGATTCTTGCTTTGTCGCCCAGGCTGGAGTGCAGTGGTGCCATCTCAGTTCACTGCAGCCTCCACCTCCTGGGTTCCAGCAATTCTCCTGCCTCGGCCTTCTGAGTAGCTGGGATTACAGGCGTGTGCCACCACATCTGGTTAATTTTTGTATTTTTAGTAGAGATGGGGTTTTACCATGTTGGCCAGGCTGGTCTCAAACTCCTGACCTCAGGTGATCCACCCATCTTGGCCTCCCAAAGTTCTGGGATTACAGGTGTGAGCCACCGCACCTGGCCTTATGCTATTTTTTTTTCTTTTTTTTTTTTGAGATGGAGTCTCACTTTGTCACCCAGGCCGGAGTGCAGTGGCATGATCTTGGCTCATTGCAACCTCTGCCTCCCGGGTTCCAGCGATTCTTCTGCCTCAGCCTCCCGAGTAGCTGGGACTACAGGTGCCCGCCACCACGCCCAACTAATTTTTTCTATTTTTGGTAGAGATGGGGTTTCACCATATGGGCCAGGCTGCTCTTGAACTCCTGACCTTGTGATCTGCCCACCTTGGCCACCCAAATTGCTGGGATTAGAGGTGTGAGTCACCACGCCCGGCCCCTTATGCTATTTTTAAAGAGGGGATTCCCTACCAGCAAGCAAGCCTCTATATCTAGGGACTCAGGAACAGGGCTGCAAACACAACATGGTACTCTTAATGGAATGCTGAAACCATGACTTGTAAGTCATTTTCTAAATCGAAGATATTTATTTCTGGTTTTCAGAGAATTTTAAAATATTGGGTTGAATATAATTTTGGAGAAGTTCTGAATTTGGTATGAATAGACACCTACTTTTACATTCCAGATTCTTTTAAATGAATATTCTGAGAGCTGAACATGAAATGGATATTAAACAAGACCTGTATCTTTCTTCTCTAACTTTTCTAGACCAGCCAATCAGGCACTTGTGATTGGACATAATATTAACAGGAACACATGTATTAAAGAACAACTCTGGAGTCATGGAACGACCGAAAGGAAAGGCTTAGAACTAACTAATGGAACAGAATTTCCAATAAATAAAAGGTGGGGGCAAAGATTCTCTAAGAAAAGAAGTGAAATAAAATGCTTACATGCGACTAAAAATTTGTTCCTACAAGGATCACTATTATTTCTCACGCCTGGCCCCACTCCCTTCCTCTCAAAGCAGTTAACTCTGCAGATAGGGAGTTGCTATCTGTATTTTGTTATTACAGGAATTCCGGGCCAGGACTCTAATGAGCTATCTCTTGCTCACTGCTATTCTGAAGGAGTGGGTAGGGAAGAGAAAAGAAAGAGCTACAGAAAGCAGCCTGTAGATTTTTACACATCTGAGCCTATTTCTAACACATTTGTAGGAATGCATGTTTGTGGGAAGGACAGCAAGGTTAAACATGTCTTCTCATGGGGCTTGGCCACTATCAGTCCCACCTTCACCCTTACTGCTCTTTTCTCCAGTCTGTTTGCAGGTCAACAAGTTGGAATTTTCAGAGGAGAACCTTTAGTCAAGACAGTGATGGAAGGACAAATTTTACAGCTAAATACCTCAATAATAATTGGACTTGTAGCTACCTAGGGTATATTGACTTTCTTTGACATAAAGGATTTGAAATAGGGTGAGGGTCCAGAGGTAGGGATGTTTGGCCCAGGCCCTCCCTATTGCAGTCTAGAATAGAAACATGCAGGGTAAGGCAGAGAGAGTAGCACAAATATAAGACTACAGAAAGCAGGACAGCTCCTCCCAGGAGAGAAAAAAAATAAGGATAAATTCTAGATCCGCAGGCCAAAGAAAGTAATAGGGCATTACTTTAGCCCTCTTTTTTTTTTTTTTTTTTTCTTTTTTTGAGACAGAGTCTCACTCTGTCGCCAAGCTGGAGTGCAGTGGCATAATCTTGGCTCACTGCAACCTCCGCCTCCTGGGTTAAAGCGATTCTCCTGCCTCAGCCTCCCAAGTAGCTGGGACTACAGGCGCACGCCACCATGCCCAGCTAACTTTTGTATTTTTAGTAGAGACAGGGTTTCACCATGTTGGCCAGGATGGTCTTGATCTCTTGACCTTGTGATCTGCCCGCCTCGGCCTCCCAAAGTGCTGGGATTACAGGCGTAAGCCACCATGCCCGGCCCATTTTAGCCCTAACTCTTATTTGCCTGGCTCTTTAAATGTCTTTGTGTATGTCCAGAAGGAGCTGAAGGAAGAAGGATGTTTTCTGCTACAAAGAAAAAATGAAGGTTACTTCCACAGGACCAGCACTAGGGGGCACTGGAGCAAAGTATACTTAGCATAACCTGTAAGACTGCCCCAGAGCTTCCAACTCTGGGAATCAGGGGAACAGAGGAAAACCTATTGGTGAAACCCAGTGCACTTCCATTTCAAATAACGATCAAAGCTTTTTCTTGATATAGTCTTCTCATAAACTTTATTTAATAGTGTTTACTGTTGAGTTAAATTATAACTTGAATTTAAACTTCAATTATAACTACCATTCATAATCTCCTGAATGAGTGTTTATGACAATAGAAAAGAAAAAAAATTTTAGAAAAGTACTCTTTAAAAAGCGATTTGGCAGTATGCATCAAGAACCTTAAAAGTATATACAATCATTGACCTAGCAATTCCATTTCTAAGAATATAATACAAGATGAAACAATGAAAAACACAGAACAAGCTTTTTGCACCAGAATGCCCATCATCACAGCATTAATTTTATTAGTAAAAATATTTAAACCCAAATATCTAAGAGCGGAGAGAGGTAAAATAAATTACGGTATAGCTACACAATAGATTATGCATATATTAAAAATATTCTCTATAAACTTTTCTTAATAACTGAAGAAAATATGTTAATTGAAGAGAAGATAAAAATTGAAAGTACATTGTAATCTCAATAAAATTACAAATATATTAAAGAAAAAGCACTAAAGAAAATAAACCAGGCTGGGCGCAGTGGCTCATGGCTGTAATCCCAGCACTTCGGGAGGCTGAGGCAGGTGGATCACAAGGTCAGCAGATCGAGACCATCCTGGCTAACACGGTGAAACCCCGTCTCTGCTAAAAATACAAAAAGTCAGCCAAGCGTGGTGGCATGCGCCTGTAGTCCCAGCTACTGGGGAGGCTGACGGAGGACAATCGCTTGAACCTGGGAGATGGAGGTTGCAGTGAGCCGAGATTGTGCAACTGCATTCCACCCTGGGTGACAGAGCCAGGCTCCGTCTCAAAAAAAAAAAAAAAAAAAAGAAAAGAAAATACACCAAAATATTAACAGTGGTTATCTACAAGTGGTAAGAGTCAGTTTTATTTTGTTTATATTACTATTTTTGTATTTCTTCTTTTATAATAAGCATATGCTGAAGTAGGAGAGCTCAAATTTATGAGAACTCTACCTTGTATTTTATAACAAAAAATAATAAGCATATTTTATTAATAAAAATATGTGACCTCTTGAGAGATTTAAATGTTTCTATAACTGTATAAATGACTACAGAAAGAAAAACAAATAATGGTTGGCTGGCTTGCTCCCTCACTGTCTAAATGACCCATTTCATTTTAACATTTTCTCAACAAAATAATACAAAATTACTTTACGTAACAAACTTTCAGCTTGCTTCTAAATGACCAACATTACAAATATTAAATACATTTAACATATATAAAAATCCCAGTATCTACCATACTACATTTAAACTTCAGGGAAAAAATTAAGGGGAAAAAATGGATAGAGTTTTAGGTGCATTATCACAGAAGTCCTCCATATACTGTTAGTCCTGGCATTACAAACTGAGCCAACTTTTGTAAAAATACAAAAATTAGCCGGACATGGTGGTGGGTGACTGTAATCCCAGCTACTCAGGAGAGGCTGAGGCAGGAGAATCCTTTGAACCTGGGAGACGGAGCTTGCAGTGAGCTGAGATCATGCCACTGAGCTCCAGCCTGGGCAACACAGCAAGATTCTGTCTCAAAACAAACAAATGAACAAACGAGCAAACAAAATGTAAAACAATAAGGTAATGACAACAACAAAGTCCCTTCCTACGCTTCATCTTTTTTTTTTTTTTTTTTTTTGAGACAGAGTCTCACTCTGTTGCCTAGGCTGGAGTGCACTGGTGTAATCTTAGGTCACTGCAATCTCTACCTGCTGTGGGTTCAGGCGATTCTCCTGCCTCAGACTCCCGAGTAGCTAGGACTACAGGCATGTGTCACTACACTTGGCTAATTTTTGTATTTTTAGTAGAGACAGGGTTTCACCATGTTGGTCAGGCTGGTCTCCAACTCCTGACCTCAAGTGATCTGCCCACCTTGGCCTCCCAAAGTGCTAGGATTACAGGCATGAACCACTGTGTCCAGCCTGAAACATGGATTTTTCTTTTTTTTGAGACGGAGTCTCGCTCTGTTGCCAGGTTGGAGTGCAGTGATGCAATCTTGGCTCACTGCAACCTCCGCCTCCTGGGTTCAATCGATTCTCCTGCCTCAGCCTTCTGAGTAGCTGGGACTACAGGGACATGCCCATGCCACCACGCCCAGCAAATTTTTGTATTTTTAGTAGAGACGGGGTTTCGCCATGTTGGTTAGGATAATCTCTATCTCTTGACCTCGTGATCCGCCTGCCTTGGCTTCCCAAAGTGCTGGAATTACAGGCATGAGCCACTGCACCCAGCTGAAACATGAATTTTTAAAGTTTGCATGTGTCTTAAAAATTCATGCTTTTGAAGATTATCACTTAGAGAACCATTTTAAAATTATAGACAGAACTGATGTACGATGACTACTGAATATACCCTGGACTTTTAAAGAAACTACCAACAACTTCAAAATGAGAAGAAATAACTTGAGAGACAAATACCTAAGTAAGAAAAATTCCACATATGCTATAAATGCACATAAAACTATAAATTGTAATTAACTGAATAAAACACATAAAAGATGCTGCAGCATTCTTTCTGGCATAAAGAAAATCAGTGGGTCACACCTGTAATCCCAGCACTTTGGGAGGCTGAGGCGGGTGGACTGCTTGAGTCTAGGAGTTTGAGACTAGCCTGGGTAATATGGTGAAACCCCATCTCTACAAAAAATATAAAAAAGTAGCCAGGCGTGGCTGGGTGTGGTGGCTCACACCTGTAATCCCAGCAATTTGGGAGGCGAAGACAGGCAATCCCAGCAATTTGGGAGGCGAAGACAGGCAGATCACCTGAGGTTGGGAGTTCGAGACCAGCCTGGCCAACACGGTGAAACCCCGTCTCTACTAAACATACAAAAATTAGCCAGGCATGGTGGTAGGCACCAGTAATCCCAGCTACTTGGGATGCTGAGGCAGGAGAATCGCTTGAACCTGGGAGGCGGAGACTGCAGTGAGCCAAGATCATGCCACTGCACTCTAGCGAGACTCTGTCTCAAAAAAAAAAAAAAAAAAAAAAATGTAGCTAGGCGTGGTGGCACACACTTGTAGTCCCAGCTACTTCAGGGGCTGAGGTGGGAGGATCACCTGAGCCCAGGAGGTTGAGGCCACAGTGAGCCGTGACAGTGGGCAACCAGGGTGAGACCCTGTCTCAAAAATAAAACAAAACAAAATCAGTTCTGGTAACAAAATCTGCATTGCCAATGAAATATGTAATATGACTAATACAAAAATAAAACTATCTTTTATTAGGAGAATGTGTCAGACAAAAAAGGCAAGGAATTTCAAAATAATTCTGCTGTAAAAAGATTAAAAAATAGAAAATATTCAAAGAAGTCGATTGAAGAATAGAGATTCTCATTCCAATTATGGAATATAGTTGTAAAAAGACAAAATTTAGGCTGGGCACAGTGGCACACACCTGTAATCCCAATACTTTGGGAGGCTGAGGTGGGTGGATCACTTGAGGTCAGGAGTCCAAGACCAGCCTGGCCAACGTGGTGAAACCCAGTCTCTACTAAAAATACAAAAAACCCGGGCATGGTGGCATGCGCCTGTAATCCCAGCTACCCTGGAGGCTGAGGCAGGAGAATCACTTGAACCCGGGAGGTAGAGGTTGCAGTGAGTCAAGATTGCACCACTGCACTCCTCCAGCCTAGGTGACAGAGTGAGACTCCATCTCAATTAAAAAAAAGACAAAATTTAAATTATTAATAGATTTACAAGGAGGAATTAACTATCAATTATGCTGAATTTTTACGGAATAACATATTCTAAATTTGCTAAATGCAATAATCAATATTTAGCCAAAATGCAAGTAACTCAACAAAAATGACGTCTGTGGGAAAAACTATCTAAAACTCAATCAGAAGGGTGAGAATAAAAGCAATTGTGTAAAATCATTAAACCCTTCCTATCAAATTTTAATATATAAATTCAATCTCCTTTGACTTTACTATATTAAATAACATTTCAAAAAAAGACAAGAGGCTCGCTCTGTCACCCAGGCTGGAATGCAGTGGCAAGATCTTGGCTCACTGCAACCTCTAGCTCCCAGGTTCAAGCGATTCTCGTACTTCAGCCTCCAAGTAACTGGAATTACAGATGTGCGCCATGATGCCCAGCTAACTTTGTATTTTTAGTAGAGACAGGGTTTCATCACGTTAGCCAGGCTGTTCTGGAATTCCTGACCTCAGGTGATCCGCCCACCTTGGTCTCCCAAAGTGCTACGATTACAGGCGTGAGCCGCCAGGCCCAGTGTAACACAGTTTTTTTTTTTTTTTTTTTTTTTTGAGACAGAGTCTCGCTCTGTCGCCCAGGCGGGGGTGCAGCCACGCGATCTCTCCGCTCACTTCAAGCTCCACTTCCTGGGCTCCGGCCATTCTCCTGCCTCAGCCTCCTGAGTAGCTGGGACTACAGGCGCCTGCCACCACGCCCGGCTAATTTTTTTGTATTTTTAGTATTGACAGGGTTTCACTACTGTGTTAGCCAGGATGGTCTCGATCTCCTGACCTTGTGATCCGCCCACCTCGGCCTCCCAAAGTGTTGGGATTACAGGCGTGAGCCACCGCGCCTGGCCTTTTTTTTTTTTTTTTTTTTTTTTTTGGAGACAGTCTCGCTCTATCGCCCAGGCTGGAGTGCAGTGGCATGATCTTGGCTCACTGCAACCTCCGCCTCCCGAGTTCAAGCGATTCTTCTGCCTCAGCCTCCCAAGCAGCTGGGACTACAGGCGCCTGCCACCACACCCAGCTAATTTTTGTATTTTTAGTAGAGACAGGGTTTCACCATATTGGCCAGGCTGGTCTCGAACTCTTGACCTTGTGATCTGCCCGCCTCGGCCTCCCAAAGTGCTGGGATTACAGGCGCGAGCCACCGCACCAGGCTGTAACACAGTTTTAAAGTGGCTTTCATTACTAATAAAAGGTTAACTGTTATTTTTGTTTTTCAAGACTGAAATTATTAATAAAAGAGAAAAACCAAGAGGCTAACCAATATATTACCATTCTTCTAATGAAAAAGAATTTAAAAATCCTACTACTTTCTAAATGCAGAGATCCTCAAATTGTTACTCAGAAAGGAAAAAAAATTCTTACTCTGAAAAAATAACACTCCATATCAAGCTGTTTGTTCTATATGCAAATGCATTACTCATCTTTACTGGTTAAACAGCTTGTTTTGTTAAGAGGAGATACACAAACATACTAATATCTTTATTTGGTTCTTTATCAAATGTTTACTTCTTAGTCATGTTCAGGCCTCTCATTACATGAAATAACTGAAACATTTATATTTGTGTCAGATAATTCCAATGTGAAGTATTTTTTGTCTGATTCTCTTCATGGTTGTTTTCATGAGTGATATTTTTGCTGTGAGCTCATTTTGCTTAAGGTTTTACTTGTGGAAAATTCTTTAAGGCAAGTTCCTTCAGAAGATATTTAGATTTGATTCTGTTAGGTGGTTGGGGATTACCACCATTATAGAACACTTAATCAAAATCTCAACTTTTTTTCTTTCTTTTTTTTTTACCATCAAAATAGTATGAATTCAGGTGAAAACCTATGCAAAAGCTAAGTCATAAACTTTCATGGGAGATTTATTTTTCCCCATTTTAATCAATGACAAATTTTAAGACAGACTCTTTTCCTTATAATCCCCCAGCCCCTGAAGGAAACTGGAGTGCGTTTATTTCTAGTTCACCCCTGTGGTAAGAGCAGGTCATTAGGATCCCAAAATTATCTGGGAGATGTGGCCACCTATGAGACATTCTATCCTGGATGGACCTTGAGAAACATCCTCAAGGTAAAGCAGGCTTCAGTGCTCTTTTTGGCTTTCTTGATCTTACTTTTTTTCATTTAATCCCTAGCCCACATTTTTCTTTGTTTTGCATGGTCATGGATACATTAAAATTCAAAAAAAAAAAATTTACCCAACATTTTAAGTTGTTTTTAACTTCAAGAGGGTTGTTCACTTTGTGTCTCTAGGTATCATACTACTATCTTTCAATGATGTTATTCTTTTTTTTGAGATGGAGTTTTGCTCTTGTTGCCCAGGCTGGAGTACAATGGCGCGATCTTGGCTCACTGCAACCTCTGCCTCCTGGGTTCAAGCGATTCTCCTGCCTCAGCCTCCTCAGTAGCTGGGATTACAGGCACCCAACACCACACCCGGCTAATTTTTGTATTTTTTTTTTTTTCAGACAAGAGTCTCACTCTGTCGCTCAGGCTGGAGAGCAGTGGCGTGATCTGAGCTCACTGCAACCTCTACCTCCCGGGTTCAAGTGATTCTCCTGCTTCAGCCTCCCAAGTAGCTGGGACTACAGGTGTGCATCACCATGCCCAGCTAATTTTTGTATTCTTAGTAGAGATGGAGTTTCACCATATTGGCCAGGCTGGTCTTGAACTCCTGACCTCAAGTGATCTGCCTACCTCGGCCTCCCAAAGTGCTGGGATTATAGGCGTAAGCCACCGTGCACGGCCTCAATGTTATTCTTTTTAATAGCATGTTACCTATCAGAGCTCTTGTGTCTACTACAGTGATTTTATATAAGAAGTTTTAATCCGTGTGTGTGTGTACATATATATACACACACATAACTATGTGTCTTTTGCTTGAAGATTTTGGCTCTTCCCAAAGAGGTAAATGTATACTTACTCATAAGATAAACCAAGAACTGGTAATAGTCATATATTTTATTAAATATTACAATAATTTATATTATACAATAACTGATAATAGTAAATTATTAAATAGTTAAGCAAGGTTATTATTTCAGTAATAACCCTTCTGCCTACAGAAACTCTTACTTACTTTGGAAGGAGAGCCATCAGTAATTTTCACCAACTGCCAAAGAATCGAATAATGGGAACACTGCAGTGCTTGCACGACTATCTGTATCAAATGAAAAAAAATTTTTTTAATGAAAAATTCAAAAAAATGAGATCATCTGTTTGCACCGTGCTAAGATAATATTTATCACAGTTGTTATTTTATAGTATAGCTTCAAGTCCAAATTTTTGTATAATTAATGAGAATGTATAAAATACTTGGTTAAAAAGGACAAACCAATGTATCAATCTGGAGAATAAAGACACAACATATGGGAATAAATACAGATTGAAATAGCACTATGTTTAAACAAAAATGTAGTGTCATGAATATTTTACTTAGTCAAATTTTTAAAAGGAGACTGATGAAATTATTTTTATCCAAATTTTATAGTTGAAATAACTGAATCTAAAATATTTACCCACATTTTATAAGAAAATTTCTACTTCTTTTAAAGTATTTTAATGTGAAAACAGTCATATCAAATATACATTTATGAGTATAAAGCTTAATGAATATAAAGCAAAAATACCTGTGTAACCACCACCCACATCAAGAAATAAAACATTGCCAGCACCTCCTCCCAATATAATTATCTTTCTTCTCCCAAGGGCAACAGTTATTATGGATTATTTGGGAATTGGTATATTTTAATTACCTAAGTCTGCATTCCTAGTTTTTTACGCATATCGTTGAACAGTACATAAACGTAATCATACCATATGTATTGAGTCTGACTTTTTTCATTTAACATTTATGTTTCAGATTTATTGATGTTGCATGTACCTAGAGTTCATTAGTTTTTAGTTCCGTGTAATATTTAGAATACTCCCTATTCGTCTATCATTGATAAACTTTTACACTGCTTTGAGTTTTAGGCCATTGTGGATCATATTGCGATTAACATGCTTATATATGTGTCTTGGTGCACTCTGCATGCATTTTTCTAGGGCAGAGGTTTTCAGAGTTTTTAGTTCTCAGGATCTCTTTATACTCTTAAAAGTTACTAAGAGTCCCAAAGAGTTTTTCCTTATGTGTGTTATATCTCTCAATACTATCATATTAGAAACTAAAACTAAGAAATGTTTATAAAATACTTATTAATTCACTTAAAAATTTATTACATAACAAATAATAAAACTTTCTGAAAAGAAACAAACTTTCTTTTTTTTTTGAGACAGGGTCTCACTTTGTCACTCAGGCTGGAGTGCAGTGGTGTGATCACGGCTCACTGCAGCCTCAGCCTCCCTGGCTCAGGTGGTCCTCTCGCCTCAGCCTCCCAAATAGCTGGGACTACAGGTATGCACCACCACATCTGGTTAATTTTTGTATTTTGAGTAGAGGCGGGGTTTCACCATGATGCGCAGGCTGGTCTCAAACTCCTGGACTCAAGCAATCCACCTGCCTTGGTGTCCCATACTGCTAGGATCACAGGTCTGAGCCACGGTAACCAATTATCAAAAATTTTCTTTTTTTTTTGAGACAGAGTCTTGCTCTGTTGCCCAGGCTGCAGTGCAGTGGCGTGATCTCGGCTCACTGCAAACTCCACCTACCGGGTTCAAACAATTCTCCTACCTCAGCCTCCTGAGTAGCTGGAACTACAGGCACACGCCTGACTAATTTTTTTGTATTTTAGTAGAGACGGGGTTTTGCCATGTTGCCCAGGCTGGTCTCGAACTTCTGAGATCAGGCAATCTGCCCACCTCTGCCTCCCAAAGTGCTAGGACCATAGGCGTGAGCCACCACGCCCGGCCGCAACATAAATTTTCTTTCTTTTTTTTTTTTTTGAGACGAAGTCTCGCTTTGTTGCCCAGGCGGGAGTGCAATGGCACTGTCTCGGCTCACTGCAACCTCCGCCTCCCGGGTTCAAGTGATTCTCCTGGCTCAGTTTCCCAAGTAGCTGGGATTACAGGCGCCTGCCACCACGCCTGGCTAATTTTTGTATTTTTAGTAGAGACAGGGCTTCACCATGTTGGCCACGCTGGTCTTGAACTGTTGACCTCATGATCCGCCCGCCTCAGCCTCCCAAAGGGTTGGGATTACAGGTGTGAGCCACCGTGCCTGGCCTCAAAATAAATTTTCTAAAGGAAAGAATATTTATTAAGAGTAGCACTGTTTTACATTTTTGCAAATCTCTTTAATGTCTGTCTTAATAGAAAACAACTGAATTTTCCTATCTGCTTTGCATTGTTACAATACATTGTTTTCATTGAAATATATGAAAAAATCCAGTCTCACAAAGTAGTTTGGGAAAAGAAGGTATAGTTTAATAACCTCTGTAGACAACATGAATATTCCTTGCTATGACACCAATACCCCACCTGTACACTTGCAAGAGAATGAGAGTGTAAAAAGGAAATAACATCTTGATCTTATTGTAAAAATAGTTTTGACTTCATGGACCTCTCCTGGAAACCGCCCATGGGTTCCCAGGCCACATTTTGAGAATATCAATATTATTAGGTATGTTTTATTGCAGTAAGATACATCAAGTATTCAAACAAAAATGTGGTAAAAAACCTATCCAAATTGGAGTTCTCTTTTACGTTGTAATCCTTAATCAATTTTACTTTCCTTAATTCTGATATTTGTCTCTCTGGAAAATAGGGACAAAATCCTATTCCTGATGCTCTAAGAATAGGACTTCTGGATCATACAGTATGTGTATGTACAATGTTATTAGATATTCTGAAACTGTTATTCAAAGTGTTTGTATCTACTAGTCATTGACAGTTGCTGGGTCTTCACATTTCTACCAACACTTGATATCAGATTGCTTAAGTTTGGGAATTCTATTACATATGGGTAGTGGTTTTAATTTACATTTCTCTAAATACAATGAGGATGAGCACCTTTTCAGTTTTTTTTTGAGATGGAGTATTGCACTGTCTCCCGGGCCTTGGATAGATCTTTTACTGCATTTTTGTACACAAAATGTTTACTACATTTTTTGAATAAACGATGTATCTTTTCGCAATAAAGCATACCTAATATTGATATTCCTTTATTTTATTTTACTTTAATTTTTTGAGATCAAGTCTTGCTCTGTCGCCCAGGCTAGAGTGCAGTGGTGGGTTAAGCAGTTCTCCTGCCTCAGCCTCCTGAGCAGCTGGAATTACAGGCACGTGCCACCACGCCTGACTAATTTTTGTATTTTTGGTAGAGACAGGGTTCACCATGTTGGTCAGGCTGGTCTCTAACTCCTGACCTCAGGTGATCCACCCGCCTCGACCTCCCAAAGTGCTGGGATTACAGGTGTGAGCCACCGCGCCCACCCAATATTCCATTATGTAATCAGTAAATTTATCTTGTGTCACTATGATCTTCCCCACTTGATAAACTACAAACCATAAAGGTAAACATATGTAGATAATAAGTTAAAAGGAAAATCAATAAGTAGAATGCTGCAGGAACTAGTTGAGAGTTAGAGCTGATTTTATTTTTTTAATTTAATTTAATTTTTTTGGGGGGGACAGAGTCTCACTCTGTCACCCAGGCTGGAGTGCAATGGTGTGGTCTTGGCTCACTGCAACCTCCTCCTCCCGGGTTCAAGTGATTCTCCCGCTTCAGCCACCTGAGTAGCTGGGACTACAGGTGCGTGCCACCACACCCGGCTAATCTTTGTATTTTCAGTAGAGATGGGGTTTCACTATGTTGGCCAGGCTGGTCTCGAACTCCTGAGCTCATGATCTGCCCACCTCAGCCTCCCACAGTGTTAGGATTACAGGTGTCAGCCACCGTGCCCGGCCTAGCTGATTTTACTTTAAAATTTTCAGGTTTCAGACCAGGCACAGTGGTTCACATCTGTAATCTCAGCATTTTGGCAGGCCGAGGCGGGTGGATCACCTGAGGTCAGGAGTTCAAGACCAGCCTGGCCAAGATGGTGAAACCCCGTCTCTACTAAAAATATAAAAAATTACCGGGTGTGGTGGCACATGCCTGTCTCAGCTACTTGGAGGCTGAGATATGAGAATCACTTTAACCCAGGAGGAGAAGGTTGCAGTGAGTCGAGATCATGCCACTGTACCCCAGCGTGGGTGACAGTGAGACTCTGTCTAAAAAAGAAAAAAAAATAATAAATTTTCAGGTTTCAGATCACTCAAGCAAAAGATACTTCCAATGTGCCTACTTGAGACTGACAATAACTCTTAAGAATTGGAGGTATGAGGAATGACCTGGTCCTGGGTGCAGTGGCTCACGCCTGTAATCCCAGCACTTTGGGAGGCCGAGGTGAGTGGATCACCTGAGGTCAGGAGTTCTAGACCAGCCTGGCCAACATGGCAAAACCCTGTCTCTACTAAAAATACAAAAATTAGCTAAGCATGGTGGCACATGCCTGTATTCCTGGTTACTAAGGAGGCTGAGGCAGGAGAATGACTTGAACCTGGGAGGCAGAGGTTTTATGAGTCAAGATCACACCAATGCACTCTAGCCTGGGCGACAGAGTGAGACTGTCTTAAAAAAAAAAAAAAAAAAAAAAAAAAAAAGAAAAGAAAAGAAAAAAAAAAGAAAAAGGAAAAGGGAAGAAAAAAAGAATTAGAGGAATAAGTGGTGCGCTGCCTTTGGTGCAAAATTAATGAGATGATGTCAGGATTTTATTAAACATAATTAAATGATTGACTCATGTCAGAATGCAGAAAATAGACTACTGGAACATTGTCAAGTTATAAACATTAGTGCTAAAAAAATTACCCTAATACACTAGAAGATGTTCAATGGTCCTGAGATACCTTAAGGTAAATTCTAAATTATAATATTAAGTACAATAATAATGAGGTCTGAATGGAAAAGACAAGATTTGAATTTGAAACAACCCTATCTGTTAAATTACTAGAAGAGTGATATATAAATTAATAGTAATCAATGGGAAATTAAGCTGGAAAAGAGTAATGTTGAAGAATTGCTTTATTTTGGTTATGTCATTGTCCTACTCATTATAAATATCACTTCCTTTCCTTCTACTTTTCTATTATTCTACACTATAAATATTTCAGGCTGTTTCATAGTTTTAAAGAAGTTTCTTGTCAGGGGTTATGAGGGAACAGAGACACTTGGCCATCCCATTACCTGTTTCAAATATAGAATTTCCATTCTAATCTGTTTCACACATTGGTATTCCTTTTAAGTTTACTTTTAAAGGGACTCCACTGCATTACCTTAAAATAAAAAGCTTGCTCTTATTGACTTGGAAACATTCTGCTTTCTCGCAGACATAATTCTATAACAATATAGCTTATCAGACACCATTTAGAACTTCTCCTGTCAAGCTTCACTCTTAGCCATTTTGATATTTTGTCCTCCACACCAGCAATGTTATCCTAACTTGTCCAGAAATCATTGTTCAGTAACTTCGTCTTTCTGGAGGACAAATGACACAAGAAACAAGGAACAAAAAATTGAAAAAGGCAAAAGCCACTGTTGCAACCTTGAGTACCATACTCTTTCTGCCTTGGATTAACATTGCTCTGAGCCTGGAGAGGATCATCAAATGACAGCAAGTCATTATTAGTCTGATGACTAATAATTTCTTCCAACCCATCTTCTCTGCCCTCCTGTTTCCATGAGGAAATGGTGTTCCTAGGAGGAAACGCTAATGTGTATTGCACATTTCTAGGCAAATTAACAAGTAGGAGTGCCTTTTCTATCTTTTTATCTTCTCCTGTCTGCCAGGACACCAATACCCCATGAAAACTTCGGTCCCTGAATGACTGGGGAGAGCAATTAACACCCTACTCCCCCTAATGATACTTTACGGTTATGGGTGTGAGAAATAAATTTCTATGTGTTAAGCCACTCAGATTTTGAAATTAACTGATTATAGCAGCCAGCACTACTTTAATCAAAATAAAATTGTTATTAGTCCCTTTCCTTAATAGTTCTTTAAAAGAACTATACCTTTTTATCTCTGACTAGCTGGCTGAATCAGTGAGAATCATTCAGCTTGTGGCTAATGACAGATATCACACATCTTGAAGATTAATTTTCTAATTAATGTAAAGCTTCTGGAATGTTTAAGTTTAGAAAACTGAGTTTACCTGGAAAACAAAGTCTGAATTAAGACTAGAGAATAATAGTAAGGAAAATAATTATGCATATATGTGTGTGTGTGTGTGTGTGTGTGTGTGTATACATGCATATTACCCACACCTATAGGACATGTTTAAAAACCTAAAAATCCACGTAATGACAGTGGAAAATCTGGGCTCTTCTATTTTTCTGTTGGCAAGAGACCTTAAATAGAAGGAGGCTCAAACTTTTTAGTGGACATGTGCATGATAAAAGAGTGAACTAAACTTAATTGTGTCTGATAGCCAATATTGGTCTATCATTTTTAGACTGGGTTAATATGAGCGACAATTAACATCCTCTTCAAAAAATGAGCATTTAGATGCAAATAAATAATCAATATGGCTTTCCCAAAGAGGATATAAGGCTGGCAAATAAATAAACACATGAAAAAACCTCTTTTTTTTTTTTTTTTTTTTTTTTTTTTCAGACGAAGTCTCACTCTGTTGCCCAGGCTGGAGTGCAGTGGCATGATCTCGGCTCACTGCAACCTCCATCTCCCAGGTTCAGTGAATTCTTGTGCATCAGCTTTCCGAGTAGCTAGGATTACAGATGTGTGCTACCATGCCCAGCTAATTTTTATATTTTTAGTAGAGACAGGGTTTCACCATGTTGGCCAGGCTGGTCTCAAACTCCTGGGCTCAAACGATCTGCCTGTATCGACCTCTCAAAGTGCTGGGATTATAGACATAGGACACCGCGTCCAGCCTCAACATCTTTAGTATTAGGAAAAATATGTTAGGCCAGGTGTGGTGGTTCATGCCTGTACTCCCAGCACTTTGGGAGGCCCAGGTGGGTGGACAGCTTGAGCCCACAAGTTCAAGACCAGCCTGGGCAATGTGGTGAACCCCGTTTCTATTAAAAATACAAAAAATTAGCTGGGTGTGGTGGCAGGTGTCTGTAATCCCAGATTGTGCCACTGCGCTCCAGCCTGGGTGACAGAATGAGACTCTATCTCCAAAAAAAAAAAAAAAAAAAAAAAAAAAAAAGGAAAAATGTTAAAAGCATGATGAGATACCACTATATACTTAGAAGGATGGCTAAAGTAAAGATTATCAAGTACCAATGACGATACACAATAACTGAAGCTCATACATTGTTAGCAGGAATGCAGAATGGTACAGCCACTCTGGAAAATGGTTTGACAGTTTCTAATAAAGTTAAATATATAATTACCATAAAACCTAGCAATTTTACTCTGGGGCATTTACTTAATAGAAATGAGTACTTATGAATTCAGACAAAAATTTGCATACAAATGTTCATGACAGACTTAATTGTGATAGCCAAATACTGGACACAACTCAATGTCCTTCAGTAGCCGGATGGATAAAGCAAACTGAAGTATCCACACAGTGGAATATTACTCAGCAGTAAAAAGGAACCAACTTTGACTCACACAACTTGAATTAATGTCAAAAACATTACTTTCAGGAAGATATTATGCTCAGTGAAAGACATGCTCTCAACGGTTACATGCTGTATGATTTCATTTATTTGGAAATCTTAGAAAGATGAAACTATAGTAATGAAAAACAAATCACTGATGTCCAGGAGCTTCAGTTGGGGTGAGCATATGACTATAAAAGGATAGCATGAAGAAGTCTTCTGGGATGATGAAACTGTTATGTATCTTGATTATGGTGATGACTACAAAAATCTAAACACATTAAAATTCATAAGACTGTACATAAATAAAAAATTAGTCATTTTTATTGTATAATAATTCAAAATAATATGGCAGAGTAAAATTCACTGTAACATTTTTAAGGAAATATTAAGAAATACATAAACACTGATGCAAATCCTCAGTGATATAAAGTAGCAAACGATTGAGTAAAGAGAAAAGATTAATAAATTCTAGGAAATAGGGGATTGATTATCCAATCAATGTACTGTATTATTAGCAGGATGCTATATCATAAGTTAAAAAAATAAAAAATATCATTAGAAGCGTGAAAAACTCAAGTAAAAAATTCAAGCAGTAAAAGGTTAACTTCCGTGATTAAAGAATTAAAAGATTTCCCAAAGAATGGATACGAAGCAGGCTAATGCACATTAATCCTTGGCAATTCAAGACTCTGAAATTTTATTGTCAAGCTTACATATAAATTCCAAATATTGGAAACAAGGAAGTGTAAAAAGAAAAATCACATATTAACAGTGTGGTGTAGAGATTATATTCTCTTTTTGCAATCTCTTTTTTTTTTTGAGACAGAGTTTTGCTCTTGTTGCCCAGGCTGGAGCGCAGTTGCGCAATCTCAGCTCACTGCAACCTCGGCCTCTGGGGTTCAAGCGATTCTCCTGCCTCAGCCTCCTGAGTAGCTGGGATTACAGGCATGTGCCACCATGCCTGGCTAATTTTGTATTTTTAGTAAAGACAGCATTTTGCCATACTGGCCAGGCTGGTCTCGAACTCTTGACCTCAGGTGATCACCTGCCTCGGCCTCCCAAAGTGCTGGGATTACAGGCGTAAGCCACTGTGCCCAGCCTCTTTCATTAATGTTTTATACTTTTCAGCATACAGATCTTGCACATACTTTGTTAGATTTATACCTAAGTATTTCATGTTTTTGGCACTACTGTAAATAATACATTTCATAATATTTCATTTTTCAATCGTTCATTGCTAAATAATTATTTTCTTGAGACAGAGTCTCACTCTGTGACCCAGACTGGAGTACAATGGTGCGATCTTGGCTCACTGCAACCTCTGCCTCCCAGGTTCAAGTCATTCTCATGCCTCAGCCTCTCAAGTAGCTGGGATTACAGGTGTATGCCACCATGCCGAGCTAATTTTTGTATTTTTAGTAGAGACAGAGTTTCATCATGTTGGACAAGCTGGTCTCGAACTCCTGACCTCAGGTGATCTGCCCACCTCAGCCTCCCAAAGTGTTGGGATTACAAGCATGAGTCACTGTGACTGGACTGTATTTTAATTTAAAAAGCATTAGACAGGAGGCTGAGGCAGTGGAATCACTTGAACCTAGGAGGTGGAGGTTGCAGTGAGCCGAGATCACGCCACTGCACTCCAGCCTGGGCGACAGAGCAAGACTCTGTCTCCAAAAAAAAAAAAAAAGCATTAGATGTGCATGGTAAAATATCCAACAGTATAACTGGTGTACAATTCAAGTTAACTTTCTTCCTCTAGTTTTCCACTGAGAAAGCCACTGTTCATAGTTTCTTATGAAACATCCAAAAATATATTTCAACTAAATGTATGTATATATAAATCTTCTCATCATCCTTTATCCTTCTGTATTTAACTGGTTCTCTGTAGATGAACATGTAGAATGTTTTAAATTTTAAATATTCATAAATGCTACAATGAACATATTTGCATCTATGCCTCTGTACACACATCCAAGTGTATATTTATAATCTAAATTCCTGGAACCACAAATCCTCAGAGAAAGGTATGTCCACTTTCAATTCTGATAGAGATTGGCAAGTAATCTACACATACAACAGTATTTGAGAGAAGTCAGGTATTTTTTAAAAAACATTATCAGAGTTTCTCATGGATACACATAGTTAAGAGTTACTGTAACAGAACCTAGAATGGAGAGAGGGTGAAACTGAAGTTACTAAAACAGAAAGGTTCTGATGTGATCCACAAAAGAAAGTATTAGGTTGGTAAAAAAGTTACTGTGTTTTTTTTTTGCCATTAAAAGTAACAGCAAAAACCACAATTACTTTTGCACCAACCCATAAGGGATTAAACTAAAGATATGGTAGTGGGGCTAAAAGAGTACGGCAAGAAGATATTCAGAAGGTAGAATTTATAAAAAACAATCAAGAGTCTCATGAGATTAAGGATTGCTTGTAGCACACCATTATATCCTCAGGACTTGGCACTCAAATGCATTTTTGGTAAATAATGACAAGGTAGACAGCAAGTAGGATGTACAGTGTGTGTGCTGATGAAGAAAAGGGAGGCATTAACCTAGATTCATGTCTTTTTGACTTAGAAGTCTAGACAGATAAAAAATGGATAGAAGAATACTAAAAGGTTTTTATATAGTATGATCAAGGAATAATCAGAAGTATGTAACTAAAATAATTTCTAAGCTCAGTCATGGAAATAAGTGTGTAGTCTTCTAAGAATAGCATGACTCTATCAATATAAATAACATAAATAGTAAGTCACAAGCCAGGTGCGGTGCCTCACACCTGTAATCCCAGCACTTTGGGAGGCCGAGGCGGGTGGATCACAGAGGTCAGGAGTTTGAGACCAGCCTGGCTAACATGGTGAAACCCTGTTTCTATTAAAAATATAAAAATTGGCTTGCCGTGGTGGCGGGCACTGTAGTTCCAGCTACTCGGGAGGCAGAGGCAGGAGAATTGGTTGAACCTGGGAGGCGGAGGTTGCAGTGAGCCAAGATCGCACCACTACTCTCCAGCCTGGGTGACAGCACAAGACTCTGTCTCCAAAAAACAAATTAAAATAAAAGTAAATAAATAATAAGTCACAATCTATCCAAAAACCAATAACCACTATTGGTTCAAATGTGACTATTTTTTTTTCCTTTGAGACAGTCTCATCCAGGATGGAGTGCAGTGGCATGATTTCGGCTCACTGCAACCTCTGCCTCCCAGGTACAAGAGATCCTCCCATCTTAGCCTCCCGAGTAGCTGGGATTACAGGAGCACGCCACTATGCTCAGCTAATTTTTGTATTTTTAGTATAGATGGGGTTTTGCCATGTTGCCCAGGCTGGTCTCAAACTCCTGGCCTGAAGTCATCCACCTGCCTTTGCCTCCCAAAATGACAGGATTACAGCTGTGAGTCACTGTGCCCAGCCAAAATGTGACTACATTGAAACTCGCCCCCTACATTACACTCAGTCTGAAGAATGTGTTCATGTCTAGTTCATGATGATGTATTAAATACTAGCATCTAATCTCTCCCCATTAACTGCCATTAAAACAACCTAAAAAGATATCTGAAAAAAGATAAATTCAGCTGGGTGTTGTGGCTTATGTCTGTAATGCCAGTATTTTGGTTGGCAGTGGTGGGAGGATCCCATTTGAGCCCAGGATTCCAGACCAGCCTGGGCAACATAGCGAGACCCCATCTCTATGAAATATTTCTTTTAAAAAATTAGCTGCGGTGTGGTGGTGCAAGCCTGTGGTCCCAGCTCCTTGGGAGGCTGAGGGCCTGGGAGGTAGAGGATGCAGTGAACTGTGATTGTGCCACTGCCCTCCAATCTGTGCAACAGGGAAAGTCCTTGTCTAAAAAAAAAAAAAAAAAAAAAAGATAAATACAAAAAATAAGAGTTTGCTGGCCGGGCATGGTGGCTCATGCCTGGAATCCCAGAACTCTGGGAGGCCAAGGCAGGCAGATCACCTGAGGTCAGGAGTTCAAGACCAGCCTGGCCAACATGGTGAAATCCTGTCTCTACTAAAAATACAAAAATTATCTCGGTGTGGTGGCGGGCTCCTGTAATCCCAGCTACTTGGGAGGCTGAGGCAGGAGAATTGCCTGAACCCGGGAAGTGGAGGTTGCCTGCAGTGAGCTGAGATCACACCACTACACTCCAGCCTGGGCAACAGAGCAAGACTCTGTTTGAAAATAAAAAGTTTGCCCTAAGACCAACATCAGAAGGCAAGGATAAAGTGGAAGAGTAGTGCAAGCTACCACAAACAACACATTAGTAGAAGAAAATGGGAAGAGACAATGAAAACAATTAAAAAACTTGGATTTGAGTGGGTGCGCCACTGCTATGTGACCTAAGGCTAGTTATTTAGTATCTCTGGTTTCATCATCAACAAAATGAAAATAATGAAACATATGTAAAGACTTAAAATGAAACAAATGTAAAGACTTAAAAAGACTTAAATGTAAAAGACTTAAAATACACCAGCCTGGTGGCTCCCTCCTGTAATCTCAGCACTTTGGGAGGCCAAGGTGGGTGGATCACTTGAGGTCAGGAGCTTGAGACCAGCCTGGTCAACATAGTGAAATTTCATCTCTACTAAAAATACAAAAATTAGCTGGGGACGGTGGCACATGCCTGTCATCCCAGCTATTTGGGAGGCTGAGGCATGAGAATCTCTTGAAAATACAAAAATTAGCTGGGCACGGTGGCATATGCCTGTCATCCCAGCTACCTGGGAGGCTGAAGCATGAGAATTGTTTGAACCCAGGAGGTGGAGGTTGCAGTGAGCTGAGATTGCATCACTGCACTCCAGCTTGGGCAGACAAGCGGGGAGCTTAAAATAGTACCTTGTATGTAAGAGCAAAATAAAAGTTTTCTATCCTGATGACTTGAGAGGCCCAAAGTTAGTGATACATGATTATACTTCATTTTTATGGGTGTAGTCGCACAATTTTGTTCTATGGCAAATACTATTTACAAAAACACCTGTAAATGATCGATTGGTTTTCCATTTTTAGAATCTACTGAGGGTTGTACAAACTATAAAGCAGGAAATTAATATTTTATTTTTCCAGAAAATATTTCATCTTTCAAATGGTTTCATGAAAAAAATAAAAAATAAAATAAAAAATTATTTTTCTTAGAGGTTATCTGGGATGATATTTAAATTTAAAACTATACCAACAGAAAATAGGAACAAAGTCACAAAACAGAATAGAATTTAAATATACCTTGACTTTATTCTACAAAAGTGGGTATAAGAGATATTACAATAAATTCTGAAATGTGTGCTTTTCACAAGCTAATGATTATTGTTGTTACACAACTGCAATCACTTTTAGTACTTTTCATAGATTAAAAATAATTCATTAGCACAGAAAAGGGCATAAGCAGACCCTGAAACATATTCGTGTGTCAGAAAGGATGGAGATGCTTAAAAAATAATAATAATAAAGGTCAGGTGTGGTGGCTCACATCTGTAATCCCAGCACTTTGGGAGGCCAAGGCAGGTGGATCACAAGGTCAGGAGTTCAAGACCAGTCTGTCCAAGATGGTGAAATCCCATATCTACCAATACAAAAATTAGCCGGGCGTGGTGGTGGGTGCCTGTAATCCCAGCTACTTGGGAGGCTGAGGCAGAGAATTGCTTGAACCCGGGAGGCGGAGGTTGCAGTGAGCCAAGATCACAAAAGCCTCCTGAGTAGTTGGGATTACAGGCATGGACCACCACGCCCGGCTAATTGTGTATTTTTAGTAGAGAGAGCATTTTGCCATATTGGCCTGGGTGACAGAACGAGACTTCGTCTAAAAAACAAACAAACAAACAAACAAAATCTAACGTACATAGGAACTGGATTGAAAGGAACTCCCACTGGCCAAATCTGCTACAATTTGAGAACCAAAATAAAAAAAGAGTACTGATTTACAACTTGTCAAATAAAACAGAAATAAAATAGGTATCCATGAGTCTACAGTGATACCAATTTTTTTTAAAAGGAATTCAGAACTGTAAAAAGTGAGTGAATGAATGAATAAATGGAGAAAGGAAAGTTCTTCCTTACAGTAGAGTGCCAACTAAGAAATACAAAATAAACGACAGAGTTAGAAAATCATCATTTTAGTCACTACTCTGTGACCCTCACAGTAATAACTGAGTCAGGCAAAGATCATAAATCGGTACTAAAACTATTATGTCAGAGTCTGATAAGAAACAGGATTATTACATAGTTTTAAAGAATACGTCTACAGCTCACTTCAGTAATTAAAAAGGACACTGCTAACTACACAGGAGAAACTTTGCAGACCTCACTTTAGTCAGTGATCAGAGTTAATAATATGAATAATGAACAAACTGACATCACGTGCCTCCTGATGTGATGCATTGAGGACAAAATATCATTTATGTAGTAGTCCTGCCAAGAATGTGAAACTAAAATTTAAACATGCAGATCAGACAAAACTCAAGTAAGAACATTCTGTAAAATAACTAGTCTATACTCTTCAAAATGTCATGAAACAAAAAGGCTCAGAAACAATTCCAGGTTAAAGGAGACAAAAACAAATGTAACAACTAAATGCAATGCATTATTCTGCATTGGTCCTAGGCTGAAAAAAAATTGTTAAAGGTTGGGGTGGTTGTGACAATTTTTTCTTTTTTTTTTTTTTGAGACCGAATCTTGTTCTATCACCCAGGCTGGAGTGCAGTGGCGTAAATCTCAGCTCACTGCAACCTCCTGTTCCTGGGTTCAAGTGATTCGAGTGCCTCAGCCCCCTAAGTAGCTGGGATTACAGGGACGTGCCACCACACCTGGCTACTTTTTTGTATTTTTAGTACAGACAGGGTTTTGCCATGTAGGCCAGGCTGGTCTCGAACTCCTGACCTCAAGTGATCTACCCACCTCGGTCTACCAAAGTGCTGGGATTGCAAGTGTGAGCCACCTTGCCTGGCCTAATATATATTTTATATATGCATATTAACATGTGTAACACACACATTATATATTATATATAATTTATATAATGTATACTATATATAATATATATCGTATATTACATATCGTATACAATATATATCGTATACAATATATATTATATATACATAGTGTCTAAGTGCGGAAATCTGGGAAAATATTGAAAATGGATTAGGTGAATTTTCTGTAACATGTCTATAATTTGATTGTTTTTTAAATTTATTTTAAAAAATTATTAGAATACGTAATTTCTTTTTGATCTGCCACATATTATTATTATTATTTTTTTTTGAGATGGAGTTTTGCTCTTGTTGCCCAGGCTGGAGTGCAATGGCGTGATCTTGGCTCACCGCAACCTCTGCCTCCCAGGTGCAAGCGATTCTCCTGACTCAGCCTCCCGAGTAGTTGAAATTACAGACATGTGCCACCATGCCCAGCTAATTTTGTATTTTTAGTAGAGGCAGCATTTTGCCATATTGGCCAGGCTGGTCTCGAACTTCTGGTCTTATGTGATCTGCCTGCCTCAGTCTCCCAAAATGCTTGGATTACAGGTGTGTGCCACCATGCCTGGTCAGTCTTCCACATATTCTAAAACTACTATGGTTAAAACAGTACTGATATGATAAAAGATAAATCACTAGGAGGAGAAAAAATATACAAATACATAGGTGTACCCTGAATATAGCGCAAGTTTACTCCCAGACCATCACAAAAAAGCAAATATTGTAATAAAGCAAGTCACAAAACCTTTGGTTTCGCAGTGCATATAAAAGTGTGCAATAGCATTATGTCTGAAAAAACAATGTACATAGCTTAACTAAAAAATGTAATACTTTATTGCTAGAAAATGCTAATGATCACCTGACTCTTCAGTGAGTCATAATTTTTTCAGTGGTGGAGGGTCTTGCTTGAAATGTTGATGGCTGCTGACTTAACAGGGTCGTTGTTGAAGGTTGGGGTGACTATGGCAATTTCTCAAGATGACAGTGAAGTTTGCTGCATCAATTGATTCTTCCTTTCATAAAAGATTTCTCTGTAGCATGTGATGCTGTTTGACAACATTTTCTCCACAGACCTTCTTTCAAAACTGGAGACAACCCTCTCCCACCCTTGTCACTGCTTTATCAACTAAGTTTATGTAATATCCTAAATCCTTCGTTGTCATTTTAACAATGTTCACAGCATCTTCACTAGGACTAAATACCATCTCTTTCATTGCTCATCCGTAAGAATTAACTCCTCATCTCTTCAAGTTTGAGCAGGAGATAGCAGCAACTCAGGCAAATTTTCTGGCTCCACTTCTAATTCTAGCTCTCTTGCTATCTCCACTACATCTGGGTGACTTCCTCCACTTGTCTTAACCCCTCAAAGTCATCCATGAACACTGATATCAACTTCTTCCAAACTCCTGTTAATGTTGATAGTTGGACCTCCTCCCATGAATCACTAATTTCTTAATGGTATCTAGAATGGTGAATCCTTCCCAGAAGTTTCTCAATTTTCTTGCCCAGATGCATCAACAGAGTCACTTTCTATGGCAGCCACAAGGCTTATGCAATGTTTTTTCTTAAATAATTAAGGCTTGAAAGTAAAAATTACTTCTGTTGTGTTAACAGTCATGAAAAATGAGAGAAGTGTGACTCTTCCACTTGAACATTAAGGAACATTGTAGAGTTATTAAGTGGCCTAATTTCAATATTGTTTTGTCTCAGGGAATAGGGAGGCCTGTGAGGGAAAGGGATCAGGGAAGGGCCTGTCAATGGAGCAGTCAAAACACACATAACATTGATGGATTAGGTCCACCATCTTATGTGGGTACAGTTCATGGTGCCCCAAAACAATTACAATAGAACATCAAAGATTACTGATCACCAATCACCATAGCAGATTTAATACTAATGAAAAAGTCTGAAATAACCAAGATTTACCAAAATGTGACACAGAAACACTAAGTCAGCATATGCTGTTGGGAAAATGGCACTGATAGCCTTGCTTGATGCAGGGTTGCCACAAACCTTCAATTTGAAAAAAACCACGCAATAAAGCAAAGCACAATAAAATGAGGTCTGCTTGTGTAACAATTCAGTGAAGGAAGGAACTAGGAACTTCTAGTTGAATTGGTTATTATAAAAAAAAAACAAAAGACAAACAAAAAAGTCAAACATATAGCTAATATAATCTCCCCAAACAGCTAGACAGTTTTAAGGTATCTTCAAAACATTAAGCACAACTGAGGGTCAACAGTAATAAATATTTTGGTAGCTCTTCAGTATCCCTGCTCCAAAAGGTATTTTCTCTGAATTCTTATTGTAAGTACACAGTTGGAACCTTAAAAAGTGAGCTTGCATGGTTGTATTAAGAAGTGGTTGAGGGCCGGGTGCGGTGGCTCATGCCTGAAATCCCAACACTTTGGGAAGCCAAGGCAAGCAGGTCACTTGAGGTCAGGAGTTCAAGACAGCCTGGCCAACATGGGGAAACCTCGTCTCCACTAAAACCCAAAAATTAGCCCAGCGTGGTGACGCAGCTACTCAGGCGGCCGAGGCGGAAGAATCGCTTGAACCCAGGAAGCGGAGGTCACAGTGAGCTGAGACCACGCCACTGTACTCCAGCCTGGGTGACAGAGCGAGACTCGGTCTCAAACAAACAAACAAAAAAGAAGTGGTTAAATACAGAATTTCTGTATTTTCAACAGTATCTTAAGAGATATTTCTCAGAGCTGCTAAAATGAACAAGAGTACAATCTAGTCATATTTGAGTCATGCACTCAAACTTCATACACATGGTTAAAAATACGTGTTCAAGAAATTAACAAAGTTAAAGCCATAAAACTTTTTTTTTTTTTGAGACGGAGTCTTGCTCATCGCCCAGGCTGGAGTGCAGTGGTACAATCTCTGCTCACTGCAACCTCTACCTACTGGGTTCCAGTGATTCTCCTGCCTCAGCCTCCCGAGTAGCTGGGACTACAGGTGCCCGCCACCGTGCCTGGCTAATTTTTGTATTTTTAGTAGAGATGGGGTTTTGCCATATTGGCCAGGTTGGTCTCAAACTCCTGGCCTTGTGATCCGCCCACCTTGGCCTCCCAAAGTGCTGGGATTACAGGTGTGAGCCACCGCGCCCAGCCCCTAAAGCCACAAAACTTTTAATGTCACATAAGTATGTACTTTTATCCAACAATAAAAATGGAGGAAATAAGACATATGCAATGAACATAAGCAACAGAAAACCAAAATAACAAAGACGACAACACTGTGAAGCTGTCACAAGTCAGTACTAGCACAATAATGATGGTATAGTAAGTCTAAAAATTTTGACACAGTAGATGAAACAGAGATGTACTCTTATTCTCTCCCTGGAGAAAATGGAGAAAAGGATAAAAAGAATATCTTAACTCTCTCATTCACTTTCAACTTAGAAGCATGGCTTGAAAATATGAGTGAATTTTATTTAGGTTGCTGGTCTGAGATGAAGAGAGGATGGGAAGTTGATGTCAGCAATACATTTTAAAAAAGAGAGGGTAAAATATTTAGTGTCTTTTCACAAACTACAATAAAAACACCTAATATAATCAGGGACATTTGTAGGGACCAAGAAAATGACTAATGTTAGGCAATTTAAATGAATTAATCACAGCAATAATAAAGTACTGTTTTCATAATTAACTTTTTTTTTTTTTTTTTTTGAGACAGAGTCTCACTCTGTCACCAAGGCTGAAGTGCAGTGGCACCATCTTGGCTCACTCCAACCTCCGTCTCCCAGGTTCAAGCGATTCTCCAGCCTCAGCCTCCCAAGTAGCTGGGGACTACAGGCGCATGCCACTGCATCTGGCTAATTTTTTTATTTTTAGTAGAGATGGGGTTTCACCATGTTGGCCAGGCTGGTCTCGAACTTCTGACCTCAGGTGATCCACCCTGCCTTGGCTTCCCAAAAGGCTGGAATTATAGGCGTGAACCACTGTGCCCAGCCCATGATTAATTTTTAATATAAGATTATTATTGTATCTGTTGAAATTCTTACTGCTTTAGAGTAATAAGGTATCATCTAAGCATTCTATACTACCAAATGGAAATGAATGAGATAACCCCTAAATATTACCTACACTTAATGATGGAGATGATATTTTGGTCTACATGAATATCTGCAGTGTACAAAATAACTCCTTCCTTTCTCATACTGAATCAAGTAGAGTAATTATTCTACTGAAGTCTCTTTCAGATTAGGCAAAGTTTGTTGAATTTCTGCCCCTTCTACTCTAACTTGTATATATGAGTGTACAAAGTTCTAAAGTCTATTAAAGGCTGCCATGTTAATTTAACTATGGTTCTAATATAAAAACTAAGCCATACTTAATATGATTAATACCTAGAACACGGCTGGAATATACCCATCATCAATTTTCATTATCCAAAGTTTTAAAATTGCTGCCATAGATATTAATGGTATTTCTCCTAATAGAGAAAAGTCTACCTTAACAGTAAAATTTTTAAGATATGTTATAGCAAAAGTTTTTTCTACTCTTAACACATAAGCCAGTATAATACACCTATCAATAACATTTAATTACTACAGCAATAATTCTCTCAAAAGAGGCAGCTGCCCTAATGAATCGTCAATTACTTTCTATAAAAGGCTTCTGATAATCATATGACTTCAGAAAAACAACTTTCTAGAGTCATACAGAAGGAATACCAATAAACTCCTACCTGTTCTGGCATGGCTCCATGTTCAATTCCAGTCTTCAATAATCTGTAGCAATTACCAAAGAGATCCCATTTTGTGAGATCATGTGCACTGAAATAAACAAAAATGCATCTGTTTTATTCTAGAATGGAAGGAAATTTAAATTTGAGCTCAGTTCAGGTGAGTGGAAGAATAAAATAATTTCATTTCGGCTGGGCACACTGGCTCACGCCTGTAATCCCAGCACTCTGGAAGGCCGCGGCTGGCAAATCACTTGAGGTCAGGAGTTCGAGACCAGCCTGGCCAACATGGTGAAACCCTGTCTCTATTAAAAATACACACAAAAAAATTAGCTGGGCATGGTGGCGCATGACTGTAGTCCCAGCTACTCGGGAGGCTGAGGCAGGAGAATCACTTGAACCCAGGACACGGAGGTTGCAGTGAGCCAAGATTGCGCCACTGCACTCCAGCCTGGGTAACTGAGCAAGACTCTGTCTCCAAAAAAAAAAAAAAAAAAAAAAAAAAAAAAAAAAAAAAAAGGTTTTTTTCATTTCCTTGCAGAATTGAAAAAGATCCATAAAGGAAATACTCATTAAATGCTCAAATTTGAAAGAAAGGTAGAAAGGAAAAGGAAAGAAAGAGATGATTCTATGAATTTATTAAAGAAATCAACAAAAAAATAAAACCTGACATATTTAATTGAAAATTTCTACCACATGGTCAAGCTAAGCTTATATTCTATTCCATATATGGATAAAATCCCTTTATTGTATATATAATAGTATTTTTTTTTTTTAAAAGACAGGGTCTCGCTCCGTCGCCCAGGCTGAAGTGAAGTGGCAAGATCTTGGCTCACTGCAACCTCCGCCTCCCGGGTTCAAGAGATTCTCATGCCTCAGCCTCCTGAGTAGCTGGGACTACAGGTGTGCGCCATGACACCTGGCTGATTTTTGTATTTTTGTAGACATGGGGTTTCACTATGTTGGCCAGGCTGGTCTTGAACTCCTGGACTCAAGAGATCCACCCGCCATGGTGTCCCAAAGTGCTGGGATTATAGGTGTGAGCCACCGCGTCAGGCCTATTTAAAAGTACATTTTAAAGAACTCCATTTACAATTTAAAAATATAACCACATGTGTATTTTTAAAAGAGATTTGTATTTTCAAAATGGAGATAAAGATAAAACTCGGGGAAAGGAAAAATGGGAAAGCTCAAAAACTGCATTATAGCTATTTACTTGGGCTGAGGACTTATGAATGTGATAATGGTAAATTTTTATATTCTCATGGGCTCTACTACTAAAAATAGTCATTCTGACACTAGTAACTTCTGTTTTCAAATGACAGTTTTTTAAAAAAATAAAAGTTTGCTTTTCTAGGGAATTCTAAAAAAAATTTACTTGTATATAAAGGCTTAGATTTTGGAAACTGCTTTTGAATTTTGAAGTACTGATTAGTGCAAAAGCTATATTCAAACTCTCTTTGGACAACAAAGTTCTTTTTGTCCTTTCTTCATGGAGAAGACCGGCATATCTCATTACAATGCAAGTGAAAATTACAATTTGACAACACAAATTTCAGCCACCGCACCCAGCCTTTTTTTTTTAAAGAGAGAGTCTTGCTCTGTTGCCCTGAGGTGCAGTGGTGTAATCTTGGCTCTCTACAATCTCTGCCTCCTGGGTTCAAGCGATTCTCGTGCCATAGCCCCAAGAGTAGCTGGGAATACAGGCGTGTGCCACCATGCCCGGCTAATTTTTGTGTGTGTTTTTTTTTTTTTTTTTTTAGCAGAGATGGGGTTTTGCCATCTTGGCCAGGCTGGTCTTGAACCCCTGGGCTCAAGTGATCCACCTATCTCAACCTCCCAAAGTGCTGAGATTACAGGCATAAGCCACCATGCCTGGTCCCAAATCTTATTTCTTACTTATTAAGAGCAAGATTTCTAAAAGCTATCATTTGAAAATTATACCTGTAGCACTCTAGTGATAAAATAAGCCTAATTTGTTAAATACTCATGGGCTGAAACTTTTACAGTATATATTCATTACATTAAGTGATAGCTAAATCATTACAGTAAATAAATTTTATACCTTAAGTAATTAAATGATAGGCCAGGCACAGTGACTCACGTCTGTAATCCCAGCACTTTGGGAGGCCGAGTGCCAGTGGATTGCTTGAGGTCAGGAGTTCAAGACCAGCCTGGCCAACATGGTGAAACCATCTCTATTAAAAATATAAAAATTAGCTGAGCAAGGTGGTGTACACCTGTGGTCCCAGCTACTCGAGAGGCTAAGGCATAAGAATCACTTAAGCCTGGAAGGCGGCAGTTGCAGTGAGCCGAGATCGGGCCACTACATTCCAGTCTGGGCGACAGAGTGAGACTCTGTCAAAAAAAAAAAAAAAAAAAAAAAAGTAATTCAGTGATAGCAAAACATAATCATCTAGAGAAAACTGAATAAAGGAAAAACATATCTCAATATTCTCTAAAATTCCCATTTTTTAAAAAACAACTATTTTGTTTTAATTGAGATAGGGTCTGCCTATTGCCCAGGCTGGTCTCAAACTCGTGGGGCTCAAGCAATCCACCTCCCTTGGCTTCCCAAAGTGCTGGGATTATAAGGTGTGAGTCATCACACCAGGCCTAAAATTCCCATTGTTATTAATGTCAAACACAACAATCAGTCAGTGTATGTTGGCTGTTACATGTCATTCACTAAATCTATTTTATCTTTTTGTTGTTACTGAGATCAGATCTCACTATACTGCCCATGCTGAAGTGCAGTGGCTATTCACAGGTACGATCATGGGCCAGTGTCATGATCAAGTGCAGCCTTGAACTCCTGGGCTCAAGTGATCTTCCTTCCTCAACCTCCCAAGTGGCTGGGACCATAGCTGTGTGCTTACACACCTGGGTTACTACATTTACTTGATTTATTTATTTTTTGAGACAGCCTGTTGCCCAGGCTAGAGTGCAGAGGCACGATCTCGGCTCACGACAACCCCCACCTCCTGGGTTCAAGCGATTCTCCTGCTTCTCCTGCCTCAGCCTCCTGAGTAGCTGGGACCACAGGTGGACACTCTCATGCCCAATTTTTGTATTTTTTGTACAGACAGGGTTTCGCCAGGCTGGTCTCCAATTCATGGCCTCAAGCAATCTGCCCATCTCGGCCTCTCAAAGTGTTGGGGTTACAGGCATGAGCCACCTCGTTGCCTTTACTTTAAATAAAATAACGTACTTGTGAAAAGAAGTTAACCGCTTTAATGTAGAAAGAACATTGTAAATGTCATCATCATCAGCTTCTTCTCCCTATAAAAAAAGGAAACATCACATCATTACAACTTTACTCACCTTATAGTATATTACTACTTATTGCCTAAATAAAAATTCTTCTAAATTATATTAATAGTATATATTCATTGTAGATCCATAATACAAATAAGCAAAAAGGCAAAAACACCCATAACTCTAACAACCTAGAAATAATTTCTGCATTTTAAATAATGTTGTGATAAACATGACTTTGAAAAGTTTTCTGATACTATAGATAAAACCCTTTAAAATTTCTAAGAGAAAAATGTACTTGAAAGATTTTCAATGATTTCCAATATTTTATTTATTGTCAGTCACTTTTGTAGCTTGAAAATCACAAGGAAAATCATAAATAATGGTTGAAAAAAACTGGTAAGTTTCAATAGTAGGAAAGAGTCTTTTATAAATCAGTTACATGGTCATCAGAGCACAGAGAACTATGGAAATTCCAGACTGCCTTATATAGATTGATGAGAGAGAGGGAAAGAGGAAGAAGTCACAGAAATAATTAGAAAATAAGCAATTGGAGATGTTTGCTGATATCTTGGGCATACCATTGATAAGCAGGCATCCTTAAAAGTAGACTTAATTTGTACGCTCTATTCATTAGCATATCACAATAATTCAGCAATATTAAAATGTAAATTAGGTCCCAGAAATAGAAAATGAGTTAGGAAAAATTAGACTTTAAAGAGATTTTTTTGCCCGATGTGGTGGCTCATGCCTGTAATCCCAGCACTTTGGGAGGCTGAGGTGGGCGGATCACTTGAGATCAGGAGTTCACCAGCCTGGTCAATATGGTGAAAACCCATTTCTACTAAAAATAAAAAAACAGCCAAGCGTGGTGACAGGTGCCTGTAATCCCAGCTACTCAAGAGGCTGAGGCAGGAGAATCACTTGAACCTGGGAGGCGGAGGTTGCGGTGAGCAACGAACTGAGATCGTGCCACTGCACTCTAGCCTGGGTGACAAAGCAAGACTCTGCCTCAAAAAAAAAAAAAAAAAAAAATTTCTTGAAAGAGAAAAGAAATTCTAGTTTTTATGACAGATTTTTAGAATAAAAATAAGGCATAACCAAGGCTGATCTTTATAGAATACACAATTGTAATAAGGTTGCTAAGTTTTGGAAGGGGCAGACAATTCTACTCAATTTCATTTTAAAATGAAAATGATTTACACACTCAGCTATCTTAAGTAATTCTCAGTCAATATTATTATATGTACACATTAACTTTAGAACAGACCTCTTGCAATAGGTCTTCCACAGAATGATTGAATCGATCTACAAACTCATCAATCAGCTGGCTTCGAGCTATGTCAACTCTGTTCTGGATGGTATATTCTTCACTGCATAAGATACTATAGGTTTTACTGCAGGCTTCTAGAACATCTGATTCTACGTGTTTCTCCACAACAAACTTAATCTGTTTTAATAAAGCATCCAGATGCTGAGGAGACAAAAAAAGAAAAACTGTAATATTTAGGTTAACAATAAAAAATAAAAAATTAGCATCTGTCAAATAACAAGTCTATAAGAGTACATGAAAATAATTCAGTTAATAAAACTATAACAGCTGAATTTCAATTTCATAATATCATTACCTTTTCCATTCTACCTGTGCTGTAGATTTCTAAATCAAAATACTGTGGGATTTGTAGCAAGTTTGCTACCTTCTCTGCATCTGCAGAATACTAGAAGGAGAAGCAAAGAAAAAGACAGTAACTACTTTAATAGTACAATGAAAGCAAACTCAGTGACATAACAAAACTGTAAATGAAACTGTACCTTTGACAGTAACATAGGAAGTGTAATAATAAAATGTTCAGTCAATTTGTTTCTATCATCAATTTGAGTTTTCCTTTCTTTGGCAGTTAGCACCTAGAAACAAAATCGGAAAAGAAGAAGAGTATTGTGTTAAATTATAAATCCAAACTGTTACATATATTGATGAAGCACTGGCAAATAATATAACCACAAATTTTAAGAGAAACTTAATGACTGAAATAAACACAAGAAAGTTTATGCAAATTTTTACATAACATGCACTACTACCTTATCAAACAGCTAAAGTCTGGGCGAATTACTATTTGTTTATGTCAAATAAAAATATATACATATTAATAAAACCATAGTTACCATTATTAAAATACTGAAACCAATCAATACCCAATTTTTCTAGGGTTTTAATCTCAGTGTGTTAACAGTGATCTTCCTATGTTAAATATACACACACTTTTTAAAGTAACGCCTTTTAAATACCAACAGAAGCTAACACATTCTCACTTATTTTTAAAGCACACACTAATAATATCTCTGGATTCATTTACATTTGAGTCTCCTTGTAACTAAACTCACAAATCTGTTAAACAGCTATCAAGAAAAAAGAGTATAGTTTGTGCTCATGGAACAAATTTAAGCTGCTAATGCTCATCACTTTAGCCTGTATCCAACATGTGAAACCACAGGTGATTCCAAAAATAAAATATTAAAATGTAAGTTCAGTTTAACATAATCATTTCCCCTAAGTATTCTGCATTTTATTATCTTGAAGGGATTTGCCATCATAATGTCAAATGGTTTTACGGAACAGAAACATTCCAATATAAATTGCCACTTCATAAATGTGAACCTCAATGTTTAAGAATATGTGCAAGAAGTAATAGCACTGCCTATTTGATTGTTCAGTCTTTTTTTTTTTTATTTTTTTTTATTTTTGAGACAGAGTCTTGCTCTGTCACCCAGGCTGGAGTGCAGTGGCACGATCTCGGCTCCCTGCAACCTCTGCCTCCTGGGTTCTAGTGATTCTCCTGCATCAGCCTCCTGAGTAGCTGGGACTATGGGTATGTCCTACCATGCATGGCTAATTTTTGTATTTTTGTAGAGATGGGGTTTCACCACGTTGACGAGGCTGGTCTCAAACTCCTGACCTCAAGTGATCCACCACGCCCGGCCTTGTTGTTCAATCTTTTAAGCATATAAAATAATCACTTTTGAATGATCTACCAACTACTGTGTTTACCTCTGCACAAAGCAATTAAGGGAACTACATGTATGTCTAGGAATGTATTCAATACATTGAAAAGTCTTGAAATTCATTTGACAATGTATGAAACATCTAAGGATACTGATTTTAGGGAAATGGCTATTTTTGATGGAACGATCTTTTTTTTTTTTTTTTTTTGAGACGAAGTCTTGTTGTGACACCCAGGCTGGAGTGCAATGGCGCGATATTGGCTCACTGCAACCTCCGCTTTGCTTCCTGGGTTTGAGCGATTCTCCTGCCTCAGCCTCCCAAGTAGCTGGGACTACAGGTGCGTACCACTAAGTCGGGCTAAGTTTTGTATTTTTGGTAGAGACGGGTTTTCACCATATTGGCCAGGCTGGTCCAACTCCTGACCGCAAGTGATCCGCCCACCTTGGCCTCCCAAAGTGCTGGAATTACAGGTGTGAGCCACTGCGCCCAGCCTGAGTGGTCATTTTGTTAGGCACTCTACATACATGAACTCATCTAGTCCTCAAAATACCTCTGAGGGGATAACAAAAATGGCATGATACCTATGAAGAAGGAATTTGCCAATATCTAACAAAATTGTATATATATTTTTCCTTTGACCTAGCAATACCAATTCTATCTCACCAACACACCTGGTACAAGTAATGAGATATGCATAAGATTATTCATTATTTCTTTTTTGATGGAGTCTCACTCTGTCGCCAGGCTAGAGTGCAGTGGTGCAATCTCGGCTCACCGCAACCTCTGACTCCCTGGTTCAAGAGATTCTCCTGCCTCAGCCTTCTGAGTAGCTGGGATTACAGGCACGCACCACCACACCTAGCTAATTTTTGTATTTTTAGTAGAGATGGGGTTTCATCATGTTGGCCAGGATGATCTCGATCTCCCGACCTCGTGATCTGCCCGCCCCGGCCTCCCAAAGTGTTGGGTTTACAGGCATGAGCCACCATGCCCAGCTGATTATTCATTATTTCTAGTAGCAAAAGACTAGCAACAGTACAAAAGACTGTGCGTAGGTGAACTTTCAGTAGTGCATCCACCTAATAGACACTATACAGCCAGAAGAAAATGAAGACCTCCAAATAAAGACATGGACTGATTTCCAGGATACACTGCTAAAAAAAGAAAGGTACAGAATAGTATATAAAGTATAGTATCTTTGGTAAAAGATTGGGGGGTGAGTGGGTGGAATGTGAAATATGAATATATATATCTGTATGTGTACATGCCTTTACCTATTTGTGCAAAATGAAACACCTGAAGAATAAACCAGAAACAAATAAAAATGGTTACTAATAAGAATGAGGTGTAGAGAAAGTTATATAAATAAGATTTCTCTGACTATATCTTTTCACATGGTTTTGACTTTTTAACTAATGTAAATGTTTTACCTATTTCAAAAAAATAAGTTTGGGAAAAAAACTCATAAATTCAAAGAGGTAAAAACTCTATTAGGCTAAATTTAGGTCAAATACCAATATGAATGTATGATTTAAATACGTGTATGTGTGTGTATGTATGTATGTATGTTTATATATATGTATATATATAAACATATATACATATACATATATATCTATAAAAGAAGAAGATATGTGAAAAGTGCAAGAAAGTAATTAAAAAATAAGATATGTGAAAAGGACAAGAAATTAGTATGAAGGGGCTTATCACTAGTCAAAGTTGGGATAGCATATACTTTAAAGACTATTAAGGAAAATTTCAGAAACACTCAAAAGCAGAACAATAACCATTAGCACTGTCATTCTTGTTTCATTAATTATCTCTCAGTTTTTTTTTTCTATGGCATTTTAGGGGAAATCCTTGTACATTTGTCCCTTGAACAACATAGTTTGGAACTACATGGTTCATTTATATGCAGATTTTTTTCAATAAACATATTGGAAAATTTTTTGGAGATTTGCAACAATTAAAAAAAAAAAACTTGTGGCCGGGCGCGGTGGCTCATGCCTGTAATCCCAGCACTTTGGGAGGCCGAGGCGGGCAGATCACGAGGTCAGGAGATCGAGACCATCCTGGCTAACACAGTGAAACCCCGTCTCTACTAAAAATACAAAAAAAAATTAGCTGCGTGAGGTGGCAGGTGCCTGTAGTCCCAGCTACTCTGGAGGCTGAGGCAAGAGAATGGCGTGAACCCCCAGGGGGCGGAGCCTGCAGTGAGCCGAGATCGCGCCACTGCACTCCAGCCTGGGCAATAGCGAGACTCCGTCTCAAAAACAAACAAACAAACAATAAAACTTGCAGACAAGCCATGTAGCCTAGAAATATTGGAAAACAAAAGCAAATTTAGACTCATCATGATGTATAAAATATATGTAGATATTTAACATTCACTACTATTAAATATATATGAATCTATTGTAAGAACTTAAAATTTATCAAAACTCACACACACACTTACAGATTGTACATGGCACCATTCGCACATGACAGCAATGTGAATAAAGATACAGTATCGTGGCTAGGAATGGTGGCTCACGCCTGTAATCCCAGAACTTTGGGAGGCTGAGACAGACAGATCACTAGACATCAGGAGTTCAAGAGCAGTTTGGCCAACATAATGAAACCCCATCTCTACTAAAAAATACCGGCTGAGCGTGGTGGCTCACGCATGTAATCCCAGCACTTTGGGAGGCCGAGGTGGGTGGATCATGAGGTCAGGAGATCGAGACCATCCTGGCTAACACGGTGAAACCCTGCCTCTACTAAAAATACAAAAATTAGCCAGGTGTGGCGCCTGTAGTCACAGTTACTTGTGAGGCTGAGGCAGGAGAATGGCATGAACCCAGGAGGCGCAGCTTGCAGTGAGCCGAGATCGCGCCACCGCACTCCAGCCTGGGCGACAGAGCGAGACTCGTCTCTTAAAAAAAAAAAAAAAAAAATTAGTGGGATGTGGTGGCAAGCGCATGTAATCCCAGCTGCTCAGGAAGCTGAGGCAGGAGAATCGCTTGAACCCGGGAGGCAGATGTTGAAGTGAGCCGAGATCACACTACTGCACTCCTGCCTGGGCAACAGAGCGAGACTCCAACTCAAAAAAAAAAAAAAGATATAGTATTAATCATAACTGTACAGAATTAACTTTAGCACACATTCTACTACAATAATATTGTACACATCTACTGTTGCTATTGCAGTGAGCTCAAGTATTGCCAAGTATTCACTAAAAAAGCCCCATGACACTAATCATCTTTGCATGAACAGTTGGTCTCTCCAGTGAATTGTGTATCATAGTCAAAAGTGATCTTGTGGTTCTCACTTACCATGTTTAGTGCCATACCATAAACCTTGAATAACATTATGGGACCCATATGTGCTACTAGTGATGCTGGAAGTGTTCCCAAGAAGCAGAGAAAAGTTATTACAAGAAAAAATTTAAAGAAAAAAATTAAATTGCTTGATATGTCTGCAGCTACAGTTGCCCACCATTTCAAGATAAATGAATCTGGTATAAGGACCATTGTAAAAAAAAAAAAAAAAAATTCTTAAAGCCATTACTGCTATACTAGCAGGTGCAAAAACCACTGTACCTTTTGCAAAATACCTTTTTATTTCACATTAGAAGTACAGCTTATATATGGGTGCAGAATTGCTATAAAAAAGGCACACCTATACTCATATGATTTTAAAAAAGTGAAGTCATATAATAACAACTTAAAGCCAAAGGAATGTGAAGGTTACAAAGCTGAGAATTTAAAGCCAGCAAAGGATAGTTTGATAATTTTAGAAAGAGGTTTCACTTTAAAAATGTCAAGAGAAGAGGAAAAACTGTTTCTGCTGACCAAGAGGCAGCTGACCACTCTCCAAGACGCCATTAAGAAAATCACTGAAGAAAAGGATATCTGCCTGCAAAGGTTTTTAATGCAGATCACAGTGCCCTATTCTGGAAAAAAAAAAAAAATGCCACAAAGGACACTTATTAGTAAGGAAGAGAGGTGAGTACCACTTTAAAGCAAGAAGAAATACACTAATCTACTCATTTGTGCAAATGAAGCTGGGTTTATGATCAGGACTGCCCTTATCTGTAAAGCTGCTAACTCTCAAAAGCCTTGAAGGGAAAAGATAAACATCAGCTGCCTGTCTTTTTTTGCCAGTAATGTCTAACAAGAAGGCCTGGACAACAAGGACCCCTTTTCTGGATTGGTTTACACTGACGCTGTAAAGTCCCTGAAGCCAGGAAGTACCTTGCCAGTAAGGGATTGCCTTTTAAAGTTCTTCTGATAACGGACAATGCCCCTGACCAACCAGAACCCAGTAAGTTCAACACCACAGGCATCAAAATGGTCTACTTGCTCCTAAACACAGTATCTCTAAATCAGCCTACAGATCAGGGGTCCATAGAACCCTTAAAGGTCATTAAACATAGTACTCAATGGAAAGGGCTGTCAACACTATTGAAGAGAACCCTGATAGAATATGATGGAAGTCTGGAAGAATTACACCACTGAAAATGCCATTGTTGTTCTAAAGCCATCAAGCCCCCCAAAATAAATACCTGTTGGAGAAAACTGTGTCCAGATGTTATGTACGATTTCACAGAACTTATGACAGAACCAATCAAGAAAATCATCAAAGAGATTGTGGTTATAGTATAAAATGTGGGGAATGAAAGACTTCAACATATAGATCTTAGAGAAATTAGAGAGCAAATAGACACCAGCCAGGAATGAGGGCTCACGTCTGTAATCCCCGCACTGTGGGATGCCAAGGTGGGAGAATCACCTGAGGAAAGGAATTCGAGACCAGCCTGGCCAACATGGTGAAACCCCGTATCTACTAAAAATACAGAAAACTAGCTAGGCGTGGTGGCACAGGCCTGTAAAACCCAGCCACTCGGGAGGCTGAGGCAGGAGAATTACTTGAACCCATGAGGCAGAGGTTGCAGTAAGCCCAGATAGCATCATTGCACTCCAGCCTGGAACAGAGCGCAGGCTGGGAGAGGTGGCTCACACCTGTAATCCCAGCACTTTGGGAGGCCGAAACGGGTGGATGACCTGAAGTCAGGAGTTCGAGACCAGCCTGGCCAACGTGGCGAAACCCTGTGTCTACTAAAAATACAAAAACTAGCTGGCCCTGGTGGCGGGTGCATGTAATCCCTGGTACTTGGGAGTCTGAGGCAGGAGAATCGCTTGAACCCGGGAGGTGGAGGTTGCAGTGAGCCCAGATCACGCCACTGCACTCCAGCCTGGATGACAAGAGCGAAACTCTGTCTCAAAAACAAAAAAGACTACACCAGAGGAACTAATAGAGGATGACTTGATGGAGATGAGTGCTTCTGAACTGGTACCAGATGATGAGGAAGAAAATGCTGAAGAAGGGGTGCCTAAATCAACATTAGATAATTTGGCAGAAGAGTTCCAATTATTTAAGACTGCTTTTGCTTCTTTGGTGACACAGACCCTTGTATTACGTGGGCACTGAAATTAAAGCAAATAGTGGAAGGAGGATTGGTATCACACAGAATGAAAAAGCAAAAAGACAGAAATTACAATGTATTTCTGTAAAGTTACAGTGAGTGTACCTGCCTCTCCTTCCTTCTCCATCTCTTCTGCTTCTGCCACTGGAGACAGCAAGACAAAAACCCTCTTCCTCCTCCCCAGTGTACTCAATGTCAACATGTCAAGGATGAAGACTTTTATGTTGATCCAGTTAATAAATAGTAAATATATTTTCTCTTCCTTCTGATTTTCTTAAAAACTTTTTTCTCCTCTAGCTTAATTTATTGCAAGAATACAGTGTATAATACATATTACATACAAAATGTGTTAATCCATTGTTTGTGTTAACAGCTTTAAGGCTTCTGATCATTTAGGTTATTGGTAGGCTATAGTAGTTAAGTTCTGGGGGAATCAAAAGTTACACGTGAATTTTTTAAATTTTAAGATTCATAAAAATATTTCATAAATTTGCATGTCATCCTTGCAAAGGGGCCATGCTCATCTTCTCTATATTGATCCAAATTCAGTATATCTGCTGCCGAAGTGAGCACACATGGATTTTTGACTGTGCAGGTCAGTGCCACTAACCCCTGCATTGTTCAAGGGTAAACGGTATATAATTTCACCCTTAAATATTTCAGCATATGTCTCTAGCAGATGAGGACCACTATAATTCCTCTGTTTTTATTTTTAAATATGAATGATTACTGTAGGGATTATAATATACATTTTTAACTTGTAACTGACTTCAGGTTGATATTGAATTAATTATAATAAAACATAGCAATTTTGCTCCAATATAGTTCCATATCTTTTTCCCTTTTGTGTTACTCTTGTCACATATATTTATGTTATAATCTCAACACTATAGTGCTATAATTATCTACTTAAATCAGGGGTATCCAATTTTTTGGCTTCCCTGGGCCACAATGGAAGAACAATTGTCTGGGGCTACACATAAAATACACTACCACTAACGATAGCTGAAGAGCTTAAAAAAAAAAAAAAAAAGCGAAAATATCTCATAGTGTTTTAAGTTTAAAAATTTGTGTTGGGCTGCATTCAAAGCTGTCCTGGGCCACATGCAGCCTGCAGGCCACAGGTTGGACAAGCTTGATTTAAATAATTTCATGTTCTTTCAAGGAAATTAAGAGAAGGAAACAGACATAGACAGACACACACACACACACACACACACACACACACACACACACACACACAGCCTTTTACCTTTTATATCCACTCACATACTTACCATTTCAGATTTACATTCTTCCTTTTTTTTTTTGGAGACAGAGTCTTACTCTGTCACCCAGGCTAGAGTGCAGTGGGGTGATCTCAGCTCACTGAAACTTCTGCCTTCTGGGTTCAAGCAATTCTCCTGCCTCAGCCTCTCGAGTAGCTGGGATTACAGGCATGTGCCACCATGCCCAGCTAATTTTTGTAATTTTAGTAGAGATGGGGTTTCGCCATGTTGGCCAGGCTGGTCTTGAACTCCTGACCTTAGGTAATCCACCTGCCTTGGCCTCCCAAAGTGACAGGACTGCAGGAGTGAGCCACTGCACCCAGCCCATTCCTTCTTTTTTCATTCCTTCTTGTGGATTTGTTTTATCACCTTATGATATTCCTTATGGCTTGAAGGACTTTTCTTTTTTTTTGAGTCACAGTCTCACTCTGTTGCCCAGGCTGGAGTGCAGTGGCACGATCTTGGCTCACCACAACCTCTGCCTCCCGGGTTCAAGAGATTCTCCTGCCTCAGCCTTCCGAGTGGCTGGGACTACAAGCGTATGCCACCATGCCTGGCTAATTTTTGTATTTTTAGTAGAGATAGGGTTTCCCATGTTGGCCAGGCTGGAGTCGAACTCCTGACCTTGTGATCCACCTGCCTCAGCCTCCCAAAGTGCTGGGATTACAGGCGTGAACCACTGTGCCTGGCTGAAGGACTTCTTTTAGCATTTCTGGTATGGGAGATCTAGCAACACATTCTCCAAATTTTTCCTTTTTGTTTCTCTGGTAATGGTTTTTTACACCTTCATCTTTGGAAGATAATCTTATTAAATTTGTAATTCTTGGTTGGCCATTTTGTTGACTTTCACTGAATATGTCATTCCACTGTCTTCTGGACTCCACTATTTCTGATAAGCTAACTGTTAATACTATTGCTACTGCCCTCTACATTAGTTGTTGATCTCTTGTTGCTTTCAAGATTTTTTGTCTTTGTCTTTTAACAATGTGACTATGTTGTGTCTATATGTGGAACTTTTGTGTTTATTTTATTTGGATTTTGTTAAGCTTCTTGAATCTGCAAATTGTCTCTCATCAAATTTGGGAGGTTTTCAGTGATTATTTCTTCAAATATTTTTTCTGCCTCTATTCCTCTCTCCTTTCCTTCTGGGATTCCCATTATACATATTTCAGTGCACATGATGGTGGTTCCACACATTTCTGAGGCTCTGATAGTATTTCTTCAATCTTTTTTCTTCTCTGTTCTTCAGAATGGATAATTTCTATTAATCTTCATGTTTTTCTATTGTCTCTTTCATCATCTTAAATCTGCTAATTAACTTACTCAGTTAATTTTAAATTTGTGCATTGTACTTCTCACCAGAAATTCCATTTGGGTTTTCATTATTGAGATTCTCTACTTCTTGTTTTCATATTTTCCTGTAATTCTTTGAATATACTTATTAAAAGGCCTCTGAAGTCTTTGCCTGCTAAATCCAACATATAGCCCTACTGAGAAGCCATTTCTATTGTCTGCTTTTTTTCCTGAGTATGGTCACATTTTACTGTTTCTTTGCATGGCTGTAGTTTTTCTTGAAAGTAGACATTTTTGAATAATACAGTAACTAAAGATTTTAATTTTTGTTTTCTTTTTTTTTGGGGGGGGGGGGGCACAGAGTCTTGCTCTGTCACCCAGGCTGGAGAGCAGTGGCATGATCTGGGCTCCCTGCAACCTCTGCCTCTGGGTTCAAGTGATTCTCCTGCTTCAGCCTCTCGAGTAGCTGGAACTACAGGTGCATGCCACCCTGCCCAGCTCATTTTTGTATTTTTAGTAGAGACGGGGTTTCACTATGTTGGCCAGGCTGGTCTTGAACTCCTGACTTCAAGTAATCCCCCACCTAGGCCTCATAAGTGCTAGGATTACAGGCATGAGCCACTTAATCCATTCTCTCTGACAACAAAGCTTCTGGTTTTTGCACGCAGTGCCACT